>NC_000023.11:152657424-152960454 GCF_000001405.40 Homo sapiens
GGACTTTAACAAAGTAAAATATGAAGAAACGTAAAATTATGCTTCTGAAAAATATACTGAAATAAAATTTTGTAAATAGCTAAAAGAAAAATAAATAAATATAATAACAAGTACTCTACCAGGTCATCGTGTTTCCTCTCTGTTGGATTAGAAGATATTGAGCAGGACAGCTGTCTGGGCCCAGGAAACCTCTGGCTTCCATCACTCACTTCCCATGGCCTTCCCACCGCTTTTCACATAGACCTCTTCATACCCCAGGACAGTGGAAGCCATGGTTTTCAAGCCGAGGGGAATTAGCAACAGCACAGTTTAAATTAGTTTTGATTTTTGCAGAAGCCATTCTTAATCTTCTAAAACAAAACTTTTAAAACAGAACAGGCCACTGTGGTGCCAAAATACAAGGTAGAAGTTTCGTTCAATTTTATAGGGGGAGAGCCCCGACTTGAGCCCGCAAGTCAAGGCTGCAGTAAGCCATAATCGTGCCACTGCACTCCAGCCTGGGAAACAGAGCAAGACTGTCTCAAAACAAAACAAAAGGGTTGGAGGAAAGAACTTAAAAGAAGTAATATCTTCCAAGGTAGTGTTCTCAAAGAGAAACAAAAGGGAGTAGAAATACGCCAGCTTCTTAGGAAGTCTCCCTCCAGTATCACTCTGGGTTGGGAAAGGAGGTTAAAAATTTATTGGAGATTATGGACCCCAGCTCTCCACGCACCAACTCCTCCCCACCCGCTTCTCTCAGAAGCACTCTGTGTGCCCTTGGACAAGACTTTGTTCATTTGGGAGCCTCTTCTAGTCCTGTCTCTCCCTGGCCCCTGACCAGCTAGCCAGCCCATTCTGACCCCAGGCTAGGTGCTCAAAGCTCTACCCATTAAGGGGAAGATTTTCCCTTGCCACTCTCTTTCAAGACCACCCCCAGGTGTGCCTGACATGCAGTGCCGTCCATTTTCAGCTTGTACACACAGACTGAACCAGCTCATTTATAAACCAGCTAGGGCCCTTTCCCTCCTACAGCTGGTCATAAAGGGCTCCCCCATGTGGTCACAGGTACAAAGTGGGGAAGGGGCGCTGGTACAACTGTGATAAGCAGTGTAGGGGTCAAAGCCATCTGCTCATGCAGTTACTTGTGCTCTCTGGTCCTGCACAGGCTGGGAACAGGCCAGCAATGTCATCCCTGCTCCTCTCAGCCACTGGATGGGAGCAGCCCCAGGGGAAGCATGGCCTCCACACAAGTACAGTTGTAGCTGATAAGTAACAATGCCTCCAATAGCAGATTCTCTTACTGGAGAGCTGAAAGACACACAACTCCATGGCCACCACACAAACACACCTTTCTATTGCTACTGTTGGTCTGCCTCTCGGAGCATAACATTTTTCACCTAATCAAAAACCCTCTTGTTACTCTAGGTTGGTATGGGCCAGGCCTCGAGAAATCCCACCCTGATACACTCTCCATGGAGAAGTATGTAAATCCTTTCGTGAAGAAAGTGAAACCTCCACCTTCCTCTCCAATAAATAAAAGTGGCTGCCCCATCACACCACCAGACAATGGCTAACTACTTGGAAATACCCAATTTAGTATTAGATAATGAGTCAGGAAAGGTTAGGTGCTGCTATTGTGACAATCCCAAAATCCCAGTGACTTGACCCCCCAAAAATGTTTATTTCCTTCTCACATTGCGCATCTAATGCAGGTCATCAGGGGAGCTTCTGCTCATGGTGGCAACTCAGGAACAAGCTGACAGAGATTTCATCGTGTGCTTCTACAATCTTTGTAGTAAGGGGAAGGGAAAGTAGTGGGGCTCACACTAGTAACTAAATACTGCAGCCAGAAAGGACATACCTCACTCAAACTCATGACTCATTAGGTAGAACCAACACCATAGCCTAACCCGACTATAAGGAACCAGGACATTCAGTTTGCTGTGTACCCAAGAGGGGTGATCTATATATTCTGGAATTGCACTAGTGGCAACCATAGGTGTCTTCCGTTGATCTTTGAAAGGATGTTACTTTCTCATTTCCCCGCTTAAAGGTACTCATGCCCTCCCTTTGTGGTAGTCTTCTCATCTTAAGCCAGTAACATATGCAAAAGTTCTAAAATACTGCCATTCATCAGTAAGAGTGTCTACTGTAGGTAGTATTCAGGAGAAGCTCCAGGCAGATAGTCATTCTCCTCATCCTTTCCCCCCAGGGAAAGGAAAAACAGCCCCTTTGCTATTTCTGACAGGCTGCACTACCAAAATCCCAGAGGTCATGGGAGTCAGGAGCTGAAACCTGGTCCCCAACTGTCTACAGTTTTAGGAGCAGACTTTTCTTGTGTAAGCTTTCTACCTTCACCTCTGAGGTTTGCAAGCAATAGGATAGATATATATACATATACATATACATATACATATACATATACATATACATATACATATACATACATATACATACATATATACCTATGATAGGTATGAGAGGGATGAGAAGAGATTATTAGGAAAATTGGCTCACTCAATTATGGAGGCTGAGAAGTCCCACAAAATACCATCTGCAAACTGGAGAGCCAAAGAAGCCAGAAGTGTGGCTCAGTCTAAGTCCAGTGAAGGCCTCAGAACCACAGAAGCCAATAGGTGTAACTCTCAGTCCCAGGCTGAAGTCCCAAGAACCCGGAAAGATGATGGTGCGAGTCCTAAAGTCCAAAGGCCAGAGAGCCTGGAATTGATGTCCAAAAGCAGAAGAAGATGGATGTCACAGCTCCAGAAGACAGATAGTGCAAATTTGCCTTTCTTCTACCTTCTTGTTCAATCTGGGTCTCAGCCAATTGAATGGTGTCACCCACATTGAGTGAGGGCAGATCTTCCTTATTCAGGCCATTGATTCAAATGCCAGTCACTCCCAGAAACACCCTCATAGACACACTCAGAAATAATACTTTATCAGCTATCTGGACATTAGCCCAGTCAACTTGACACCTAAAATTAAGTATCACAGGCTGTATACCCCATTCTGGCTATAAGAAAGGCTAACTGCACCAGAGACACTAAAGCCAAAGCTGAGGAAGAAAAACTCCTCAACAGCTGAGTTGGTCCTGGGCACAGTGAATCTGGAGATGACCCAAACCTTCAGTGAACTCTCTCACGAAAACACAAGTCAACCTCTTTTGGAATCTCAGGGTTCCTGAGTTCTGATGAGGGCCCTGTCAAGAGTGAGGGCAGCTAAGAGGAAGTATGTGAAGCAGAGGTGGGGCAGGTGTTGATCCGGGTGGGCATTGATCATGGGTGGATGAGATTAACACGAAAGCACCCTTCATCCTACATGATCCCCCCAGCAATCACCCTGGGGCTCATTTTGAATGACCCCATTCTCATACAGAGGCTGATTATCAGCCTGAAGTGTTTCCTACCAGAAGCTGCAAATCCCAGTTTGATGGTGGAAGGTCTTCATTAACGCACTGAAAGGCACCGTTAAGAAAATGAAAAGGCAAGCACAGACTGGGAGAAAATATTTGCAAAACACATGTCTGATACAGGACTTGTATCCAAAATATACAAAGTACTCATAATTCAACAATAAGAAAACAAAAAAAAATTAAAAATGGGCAAAAGATATGAAAAGGTACTTATCAAAGAAAACATACAGATGGCAAATAAGCATAAGAAAAGATAAGCATCATTTATAATTAGGGAATTACATATTTAAACAACAATGAGATATCACCACATCATATTAGGATGCCTAAAATACAAACCACTGACAATACCAATTGCTGGTTAGGATGCTGAGCAACAGAAATTCCCATTAATTGCTGGTAGTAATGCAAAATAGTACACTTGTTTGGAGGACACTTCAGCAGTTTCTTACAAAGCTAAACATAGCCTTACCATATGATGCAACAATCATAGATTTTGATATTTTATCTTATTTAGTAGAAAACTTATCTCCACACAAAACTCCATACAAATGTTATGGCAGCTTTATCCATAATTTCCCAAAGCTGGAAGCAACCAAGATGCCCCTCAATAGGTGAATGGATAAACAAACTCTGGTACATTCAAACCTCAGAATAAAAATACCATTCAGCAATAAAAATGAGCTATGAAGCCATGAAAAAAACACAGAGGTATTTTAAATGCATATTGCTAAGTGAAAGAAGCCAGTTTGAAAAGGCCACGCACCATATGATTCCAACTATGTGACATGCTAGAGAAAGTAAAATTATTGATATAAAAAGATCAGTGCTTGCTAGGGATTCAGGGAGAAAGAGTGAGCATAAATAGGTGAAGCACAAGAAATTCATTAGGACAATGAAACTATTCCATATGGTACTGGAATGGTGGGTAAATGACATTGGACATTTTTTAAAAACCATGAAAATATACAACACAAAGTAAGCCTTAATGTAAACAATAGACTTTAGTTAATAATAATTTATCAACATTGGTTCATTAATTGTAACAAATATACCACACTAATGCAAAAAGCTCATAATAAGGAAAATTGTATAAGAGGATGAGGCTACTGGGAACTATCAGTACTGTCCAATTTCCTATAAATTAGAACTGTTTTATAATGTCTATTAATTTAAAATATAAAACATACAACTAACACACAACCCAGATTTCATACTTGGGCATTTATCCTGGAAAAATGAAAATGTATGATCACACTGAAAGCTGTACATGAATGTCCACAGTAGCTTTATTTATAATACCCAAATGCTGAAAACAGCCCAAATGACCTTCAATGGGGTAATGTCTAAACAAACTATGGTAGATCTGTACATAGGATACTACTTAGCAATGAAAAGGAAGAAACTGTTGATATATGCAACAGCTCAAGGGAATTATGTTGTTTTCATTCAGGCTGCTGTAACAAAATACCTTAAAGTGGGTAATTTATAAATATTAGAAATTTATTTCTCATAGTTCTGGAGGCTGGCAAGTCCAAAATCAAGGTGCCAGCACAGTGTCTGGTGGGGGCTCTCTGCTTTATAAACAGCACTTCTTGCAGTGTCCTCACATGGTGAAAGGGGCTAACAGCTCCCTCGAACCTCCTGAACTAATTCCATTTATGTGGGATCCACCCTCATGACTTAATCACCGTCTAAAAGGTCCCACCTCTTAATATTATCACATTGTCAATTAAGTTTCAACACATGAATTTTGTGAGGATACATTCAGATCGTAGTGTATGCTAAGTGAAAAAAGCTAAAACTCACAATGAGAGACTACCATCCACCTATTAGATTAGCTAATATGGAAAAGACTGACAATACCAAGTATTGGTGAGAATTTGGCAGTTTCTTAAAATGTTAAACATGCACCTATCATGTCATGCAAGTATACCACTTCTAGGTAATTATATAAAACTTCCCCAAATGTAAAAGAATCTATTGTAACAGAAGGCAGATCCATGGTTTCTTGGGAATGGAAGTTCAGGGAGGGGGCTCCTACAGGAGGAATTATGAAGGGTAGAAGAAAACTTTTGAGGGTGATGCATCTGTTCACTCTCTTTATTGTGATGATGGTTTTTCAGAGGTATACATGTGTCAAAGCTTATGAAATTTACACATAATGCAGGTTTTTTTATGTCAAATATCTTTTAATAAAGCTTTTTTTCTTATTCTTCAACTTTTATTTTAGATTCTGGGCGTGCATGTGCAGGTTTGATAACTGGTTATATTGCCTGATGCTGAGGTTTGGGGTACAAATGATCCCGTCATCCAGGTGCTGAGCACAGAACCCAACAGTTTTTCAACCCTTGCTCCCCTCCCTCCCCAGTCCAGTAATCCGCAGTGTGTATTTGGTTTTTGGTTCCTGTGTTAATTCACTTAGGACAATGGCCTCCACCTGCGACCAGGTTGCTGCAAATTGCATCACATGATTTTGTTCTTTCTTATGAATGCATAGTATTCCATGGTGTATATGTATGTTTTCTTTATCCAGTCCACAATTGATGGGCAGCTAGGGTGATTCCATGTCTTTGCTATTGTGAATAGTGCTGCAACGAACATGCTAGTGCCTGTGCCTTTTTGGTACAATAATTGGTTTTCTTTTGGATATATGCCAAGTAATGGGATTGCTGGAACAAATGGTAGTCCTGTTTTGAGTTATTTGAGAAACCGCTAAAGTACCTTCCACAGTGGCTGAACTAATTTACATTCCCACCAATAGTGTATAAGCATTCCCTTTTTTCTGCAGCCTCGCCAACATCTGTTGTTTTTGACTTTTCAAGAATAGCCATTCTTACTGGGGTGAGATGGTATCTCATTGTGGTTTTGATTTGCATTTCTCTTATGATTAGTGATGCTGAACATTTTTTCACGATGGTTGGCTGCTTGTATGCAATCTTTTGAGAAGTGTCTCTTTGTGTCTTTTGCTCAGTTTTTAAATGGGGTTGTGGGTTATTTTTCCTTGTTGAACTGTTTAAGTTCCTTATAGATTCTGGATATTAGACCTTTGTCAGATGCATACTTTTGCAAATTTTTCCCCATTCTGTCTTGATACTTACCTTGCTGTGCAGAATTTTTTTAGTTTAATTAGATCTGACTTATCAATTTTTATTTTTGCTGCAATTGCTTTTGAGGACTTTGTCATAAATTATTTCCCAGGACCCATGTCCAGAATAGTGTTTTCTGATATTTTCTTCTAGGATTCTGATATGATTTGGGTCTGTATTCCCACCCAAATCTCATGTCGAATGTAATCCTCGGTGTTGGGAGAGGGGCCTGGTAGGAGGGAATTGTATTATGGGGGCGGATTTCTCCCTTGATGTGCTCGTAATAATGAGTGAGATCTCACAAGATCTGATTGTTTATAAAAGTGTGTAGCACTTCCCCCCTCTCTTTCTCTTCCTCCTGCTTCAGCCATGTAAGACGTGCCTCCTTCCTCTTTGCCTTCTGCCATGATTGTAAGTTTCCTGAGGCCTCCCTAGCCATGCTTCCTGTACAGCCTGCCAAACTGTGAGTCAGTTGAAGCTCTTTTCCTTTTCAATTACTCAGTCTCAGGTAGATCTTTATAGCAACACGAGAACAGACTAATATGGATCTTTACAGTTTGAGGTCTTACATTTAAATCTTTATCTTGAGTTAATTTCAGCATGTGGTGGTGAAAGGGGTCCAGTTTCATTCTTTTGCATATGGTTAGCCAGCTATCCCAGCACCATTTATTAAATAGGGAGTACTTTCCTCATTGCTTATTTTTGTTGACTTTGTCAAGGATTAGATGGCAGTAGGTGTATGGCTTTATTTCTGGGTTCTCTATTATGTTCCATTGGTCTATGTGTCTGTTTTTCTACCAGTACCATGCTGTTTCAGTTACTGTAGCTTTATACTATAGTTTGAAGTCAGGTAATGTGATGCCTCCATCTTTGTTCCTTTTGCTTATGATGACTTTGGCAATTCAGGCTATTTTTTGCTTCTATGTGAATTTTAGAATAGTTTTTTCCAATTCTGTGAAAAAATAACATTGGTAGTTTGATAAGAATAGCATTGAATCTGTAGATTGTTTCAGGCAATATAGTCATTTTAACAATATTGATTCTTCCAATCTATGAGCATGAAATATTTTTCCATTTATTTGTGTCATCTGTGATTTCTTTTAGCAGGGTTTTGTAGTTCTCCTTGTAGAGATCTTTCACTTCCTTGGTTAGATATATTCCTAGCTATTCCACCTTTCTGTGGCTATTGTAAATGTGGTTGCATTCTTGATTTGGCTCTCAGCTTGAACGTTAATGATGTATAGAAATGCTACTGATTTTTGTATATTGATTTTGTATCCTGAAAGTTTGCTGAAGTTGTTTGTCAGTTCCAGAAGCCTTTTTGTGGAGGCTTTAGGATTTTCTAGGTAGAGAAGCCTATTGTTTACAAGAGCTGTTTTTCAAAAATTATATTTTCTACAAGAACAAAACAACTTTTGAAAAGAATAAAAATAAAAGACTTGGGAAGGGAGAGTATTTAATGACTGGGATTATTTTAAAATCCTGGGATATGGTGTTAATTTAAAAATCAAGACTTTTTAAATGGGCTTATTACTATTTAAAAATACTCTGTATGGATTCAACTGTCTTCAGGAAGATGGAGTAGAGGTACTTTTCTCTGTTTAACATGGTAGACATAACTAAACTGCCTGGACCTTGGCTATACTACAAGCACAAGAAGAGTCTGAATAGTGGAAAGAAGAAAGAAAACTCTCTAGTGACCTTGGGACCAAAGGAGTGGCATGGTGGGGCATTGCCTGGGTTTCCTTTTGCCTCATATATCCCAGACTTGGAGACAAAGAAGCAACAAACCCAGAAATGCCAATGGGCACAGACAAGAAAAGCCCCAACAAAAACTTGCTCTCTCCAGCCAAAGGACCAGGACAGGGGTAACCCATTAAGGCAGAAAATGTTTAGACATTAACTGCTCTACTCCAGCCAGACAACACAGAAAAAAATGTGGCTCCACCCCAAACAGACAGCAAAGACCAAGTAGTGAGCCCAGATATCTAACCTTATCAGGCTATACCAAAGTATTTGAAACCCCACTCGACTGCACCCCACCAGAGATGGTAACAGAGAAGACTCAGTAGGGGCCTGGGAGTTTGATTCCTTACCAGTTGGTAAGGAGGCCTAGCAGAGACTCAGGATTTCAATATGGCATAGATACTGCAACCACGCCCAACCACCATGATGTCAGTGCTCCACATGGGGAGCAGTAATGAGGCAGTCCTGCCCCTCCAGGAAGGAGATATTCAGGGGAAGTCTAGTAGGGAGTTGGAATTGCCACCATTTCCCAACAGTAACAAAGACAACCTCCCTGGGTGTCAGTGGAGGCCAAGCTAGGAACCCATCTGGCAGTGATGAAGCAGTGGCCTCCTTCCCCTGCTAGAGCAGTGTCAGAGGAAGTTAGTTAAAATAGAAGGTTTGAACAAGATCCAGTCTTATGGCACAATACTAAAATGCCCAGGATGCAATTAAAATAAAATAAAACCTCATCATGCCAAGAATCAGGAAAATCTCAACTTAAATGAGAATAGACAATCAAGACAGGCTAACACCAAAAGGACACAGATGTTGGACTTATTTTCCGAAAAGTATTAGAAATAAATCATCATAAAAATGTTTCAACGAGTAATTACAAACACACTTAAAACACAGGAAAACAGAAAGTCTCAGCAAGAAACAGGAGATATTAAAAGAACAAATGGAAACTTTAGAACTGAAAAATACAATAACTGAAATTAAAACCTTAACTGATGTATTCAACAGCAGAATGGAGAGGACAGAAGGGAAATCAGTGAACTGAAGACAGAGTAATAAAAATGATCCAGTCTGAACAACAGAGTTAAAAATAGAAGGAAAACATAAACAAAGCTGCAGGGACCAATAGGATTGTGCCAAAAGATCTGTTATTTCTACCATCGAAGTCCCAGAAGGAGAGGAGAAAGAGACTAAGGCTGCAAATGTATTAAAATGACACCTTTTATAAGGGGATAACAATTCAAATGACAGAGGATTTATTTGTAGAAAACACAGAGGCTAGAAAAAGTGGTACAAGATCTTTCAAGTGCAGAAAACGATCTAAACATACCAATTGAAATACAGAGAATAGAATAGTGGATTCAAAAAATTACCCAATTATATGGTGTCTGTAAGAAACTCGCTCAAATATAATGATATAAGTAGGTTGAAAATAAACATGAATGTTGATAACACCTTTATTTGTAGTAGTCAAAAAATTGAAACAACTAAAATATCCTTCAATAAATGAATGGTTAAACAACCTGTGATACATAACTACTCCACAATAAAAATGAGAAAACTACTGAAAGGTGCAACAACAACTTATATGGACCTCAAGGGCATTATGCTCATTGAAAAAATCCAGTATTAAAATTCCATTTCATACTGTGTGGCTCCATGTACGTAACATTCCTGATATAACAGTTATAAATATGGACAACAGACTGTTGGTTTCCAGGAATTGGGGATTGTGCGGGGGGGAAAGCGTGAGTGTGATTATAAAGGGTAGCACAGGGAAGTTTGTGTAGATGGTATAGTTCTGTATCTTAATTGTATCATGATCTGTACCTTGACTGGGGTGGTAGTTGCAAATCTACACTTCTGATAAATTGGCAACAAATATATTGTATCAGTTTCCTGATTTTGAGGTAGTAATCCTTGGCTGAAATTGGATGGTTACTTAGAACTTCTCTACTACCATTGTAGCTTCCTTGAATCTATAATTATTTCAACATAAAACATTTTTAAAGTGTATACAGGCCTCCATTTTTGACAAAGTATTTAAAAAGATATTCTGAACAACCCCCGTTATGAAAACAACTAAAGTGCTGAGTAAATAACTCAAGTCTTTTAAAATACCTAACTGCTTGGCATTGAAATATGGAATTTACTGGAGCCATGTATGAAATGATAGTGGGAATCCTGGAAGGTGAGAGAGTATCAAAGTCAGCTTTAATCCTTGGGTTTCTGGAAAATCTTAGAAGTGTGCTTCTATTGTGATGGGTACATGAAGTACAAAGTACAGGAGATGAAGCCTACAGCCTTCCCAAGGAGGGAAGTCTAATGGGAGATTAATAGCAGGTATAACAGAAGATCATCTGCTTGGGAACTTGCTACAGTATCAGATGGATGAGATGACAAAGGAATTCACTTGTCATGGCCTTTGTACTGGATAGAGGAAAAACCAGCGCCCTGAAAAATTATAATACTTTTAAGTCATATATTTTATGATACACTGGTATCAAGAGTATATAAATAACTCTTATAACTCAAAAATAAAAAGAAAGATATCCTAATTTTAAAATGGGCAGAAGATTTCAATAGACATTTCTCCAAAGAACATATATGAATGACCAATAAGCATAATAAAAGAAGCCAGATCTTATTAGGCATTATGGAAATACAAATCAAAACCACAGTGAGATACCACTTCACATCCACTAGGATGGCTGGAATCTAAAAGACAGATAACAACAAGCATTGGTGAGGATATGGAGAAATTGAAACCATCATACATTGCTAGGATTGTAACATGGTGCAAGCACTTTGGAAAGGTTTAGCAGTTGTTCAAAAACGTAAACATGGAGTCATCATTTGACCCAGCAATTCCACTTCTTGGTATACACCCAAGAAAAATGAAAACGTATGTCCACACAAAAACCTGTACAAAAATGTTTATAGCAGCACTATTCACAATATCCCAAAGGTAGAAACAACCTACATGTCCATCAGTGGAAGAGTAGATAAACAAAATGTGGCATATTCATACAATGGAATATTATTTGGCCCTAAAAAGAATGAAGTTATACATGCTGCAACATAGATGAAGCTTGAAAACATTATGCTATGTAAAAAAAGCTATTAACAGAAGACTACATATTATATGATACTATTTATATGAAAGGCTCAGAATAGGCAAACTTACAGAGACAGGAAGTGGACTAGTGATTGCCTGGGGCTGGGGATGTGAGGCTGGAAGGAAATGAAGAAGGAATACTAATGGGTACAGGGCTTCTTATTGGGAAGATAGAAATATTCTAAAATTGATTGTGGTGATGGTTGCACAATCGTGTGGACACAGTAAAAACAATGAATTGTATGTATAAATGGGTGATTTTATGGTATTTGAATTGTATCTCAATAAAGCTGTTTTTTTAAAAGCAAGTTGAAGGATAAGATGCCATTTGTGCTAACTGATGGGTGATTGAGAGTATTAGTTTAGAAACCTTTTGTCAACAGAGCTGACGTTTATATTTACTGAATCCATTACTAATTTAATCAAATAAAATTCACCCTCACTGACAGCCTCATTCTGTGAGTGAGTCTGCCTTTCCCCAAGATAGCAGAGCATACAGGGACATTGGTGGTGGCCTAACTCCCCACTTCCCCCCATTGCACAGATGGGGAAACTGAGACTCAGGGAAGAGATAGCACATGCTACTTAGTAAGTTAGCAGGAGAGCAGGGACTGGAATGTGAATCTCCTCACCCCTGTCCCAGACTCTTACCACTGTACAACTTGTCATCCACATTCTTATTTCCTTCTCCTTTCCCTTCCTTTCTTTTCCCTCCTCTCCAAAGCAGACCCTATTTTCTCACATATTTGCTTCAGCGTTCTTTTTTTTAAAAAAAATCTTCCTTTTCTCTCTCCCTCACTTCCTCTCGCCCTTCCTTCCCTTTTCCTTCCTTTTTTTTTAAAAAAAAAACAGCGCTACTATTTTCCCAAAGAGTGATTTAAAGCTGGTTCTCTATAGTCGACTGTAATCAGGGTCATACTTTCCCTTCAGTCCAACATCATTCCTCAAAGTACTGGACACAGCCCCTGGGGCTTGTGTATGGGCATGCCAGGCTGTGAAGAGTGCACATCTGATGGCAGAGGGGGAGGGAAAGGTTGTCCCACAGGAGTGGAGGTGGAAGTGGGTTGGGCAATTGCCATTCCGTGAAGGTCTGAGGTCCTAGCTGTGGTTTCTTAATCTTCTCCTTTCCTCCTCTCCTCAGTACCACTAAGTATCTTTATATTTGAGATTGGCAGTATGTATTTAAATAATTCTGTCTGGAACTTGTACCAAAAACTACTGTTTTTCCCCCTTATTAGTCTATCTTGTATCTGCAGCCTCTGTTTCTGATTATTTAGGTGACTCATGTCTAGCTGCTGGAATGAAGAAGAGAAGGGGCCTTCTAGAGCAAGCCATGTGAGTAGGGGGAGTGGATAAATTCATCCATGAGAACCTGAGTCGTGTCTAGCCACCATGTTGATAGTGCCAGGGAGGCAATTGGGGCCCTAGGGAGGGGTCTAGGGAAGATATTGTCCCAACAGTAGCATTTTGCACAGCTTGTCGGGGAGGGTGGCCCTTCAGGGAACCAGGTCTGGGCTGGTCGTCCAGTTCTGACTTTCCTGCTGACTCTCTGCTTTTCTGAGATCCTCACTTTTCCTTTCACAGTATCTCCAGAACACTAACAAATCAAATTCCTGTATTTCAAACAAAATCATAGCAGCAAATAACTCCAGGAGTTCTCTCCTATAGACAAAGTGATTGCTCCTTCTTTCTATCTTTCCCCAATGTTTCTATACAGCTGGTCTATTTCTATAGTCTTGGTAGATAGCCTAGAGATTGTGTCTTCTCTTCCCTCCTCCTATCTCTTTTCACTTTTTTTCTTCCAACACTTTCACCTGGAGGATGACCAGAGTGAAGGCTATGGCTGCAGTAGGTCCAGGATGGATGGGAGTGGAATCTTCCAGGGACCTTGCCTTAGTCAAGGGCCAGGGCTGTGCCTGCCTCTCCCCACCTTTACCAACTTTCTTGGGCACCAGTCAGAGTCCAGCACGTTGACATCACTGGGCACAACTGTCCTTAGTCTCCTCTCTGATGCAAAGAACATATAAGGATTCTAATCTCTACCTTCTGGGGACTAAGGTCTCAGGCCGAGTGGGGGGCCCTGGCTGGCCAGCTCATGGCTGTTTCAGTGGGTGAGGCACTTGGCATCTGGAATAACCTATGGCAGTGGGAGTACAGCCTTGAGAAGGCATGGGTCTCATTTTGCTGGCTTGGCACCCATGTGCCTTTTCATACCCAGCAGCCTGGGAAGAAGCCGGGGAAATCCCTAAGGAAACTACAAGAACTTCAGCAAGGTTACATGGTCAACCTACAAAAATGAAGTGTTATTACATACAACTACAAGTAAAAAATGGGGAATCAAAAGTTTAAAATATCATTTTAATAGCTCCAAACACATAATATGTATGTATAAATCTAAAAAATCATGTGTAGGATCTATATGCTGAAAATAACAAAATGCTGATTAAATAAATCAAATACGACCTAAATAATTAACTAATTGATAGAGACACATATCATGTTAGTGGACTGGTAGACCCAACCTAGTGAAGATGTCAATTCTCACTCTATTGATCTATATATTCAAAGAGATATCCATCAAAATTGCAGCAGGATTTTTGTAAATATAAATAGGCTGATTCCAAAAGTTCATGGAAGGGAAAAGGAACTAGAATACCTAAAACAATCACAATATGCTGTTAAACACAGATGCAAAAGTCCCCAGCAAAATACTAGCAAACTGAATTCAACAGCATATTAACAGAATTATGCACCATGATCAAGTGGAATTTATCCTGGGGATGCAAAAGCTCCTTAATATTGTTCCTGGCAATGACTTTATGACTGTGACTCCAAAAGCTCAGGCAACAAAAGCAAAAATAAACACATGGGAGTTCAATCAAACTGAAAAAGTTTCTGCACAGCAAAGGAAACAATCAATGAGATGGAAAGGGAACCTATGGAATTGGAGGAAATATTTGCAAACCACATGTCTGATAGAGAGCTAATATCCAAAATATACAAGGAACTCATATAATTCAACAGTAAAAAGAAAACAGAATAGGCAAAATATCTGAATGGACATTTCTCTGAAGAAGGCCAAGAGGTATATAAAAAAGTGATCAACATCACTAATCATCAGGGAAATGAAAATCAAAACTACAATGAGATATCATCTTACCTCTTAGAATGGCTATTATCAAAAAGTCAAATGATAAGCATTGGTAAGGATGGGGACGAAAGAACACCCTTGTACAGTAAACTATCGCAAGAACAAAAAACCAAACACCGCATATTCTCACTCATAGGTGGGAATTGAACAATGAGAACACATGGACACAGGAAGGGGAACATCACACTCTGGGGACTGTTGTGGGGTGGGGGGAGGGGGGAGGGATAGCATTGGGAGATATACCTAATGCTAGATGACGAGTTAGTGGGTGCAGCGCACCAGCATGGCACATGTATACATATGTAACTAACCTGCACAATGTGCACATGTACCCTAAAACTTAAAGTATAATAAAAAAAAAAAGAACACCCTTGTATACTGGTTGCTGGGAGTGTCAACTGGCACTGACATTATGGAAAACAGTATGGAAGTTTTTCAGAAAACAAAAAATAACGCCCATGATCCACCAATCCCAGCTCTGGGTAAATATCCAAAGAAATTAAAATTGGGATCTCAGAGAGACATCTGCACTCCCATGTTCCTTGCAGCATTATTCACAGTAGCAAAGGTATGGAAACAACCTATGTGTCCATCAGTGGATGGATGAATAAAGAAACTGTTATTATTCAGACATAAAAAACATGAAATCCTGTCATGTGCAGCAACATGGATGAAACTGGAGGACATTATACTAAGTAAAATAAATCAGGCACAAAAGAACAAATACTGCATGATCTCATTTACATGGGGAATCTAAATAAATCAACCTCATAGAAAGAGAGAGTAGAAAGGTGGTTGTCAAGGGCTGGAAGTTGGTGGAAATCGAGGAATCCTGGTCAATGTGTACAAAATTTCAGTCATAAGATGAGTAAGTTCTGGAGATCTGATATACAACATGGTTACTATAGTTAATAATAATGTATTATATATACTTGAAATTTGCTAAGAGAGTAGATCTTAAGTGTATTCACCACATGTAAAAAGTAACTATATAGGCATTTTTATTTGTCAAAAAGTTATAAAAAGCATAATAAATTTGGAAGTTTAGCAGAATTATACCACCTGATTTTAAGATAAGCCTGTAGTAATCAAGACCTTGTGGTGTCAGTCAAGGCATGGACACAGATCAATGAAACTGAGTAGAGAGCCCAGAAGTACACCCACATAAGTATGGCCTGTAGAGTTTTACCAAGACCTAAAGTAATTCAATTGACAAATGTTGGTCTTTTCAATAAATGATATTGGAACAATTAGATATCCAGGTGTAAAAAATGTATCATAGACCTAAATGTTAAATGAAAAAGAACAACATTTTTAAAGAAAGCATTGCAGAAAATCTCATGACCTGGACTAGGCAAAGAGGTCTTGAACATGACAACAAAAGTAGGATTCATAGAGGAAGCAAATAAATTAGAATTTCTCAAAATTAAAAACTTTCACTCTTAGAAAGACAATAAAAAGTCAAAAAGCCAGCAACGGACAAGAAGTAAATATTTGCAAATCGTATATCCAACAAAGGATTTGTGTCTAGAATACATAATGAGCTCTCAAAATTTAACAATTAAAAAACACATGACACAGTTTTTTTGTTGCTGTTTGTTGTTTTTGAGACACAGTCTCACTCTTTTTTTTTTTTTTTTTTTTTTTTTTTTTTTTTTTTTTTTTTTTAGACAGAGTCTTGCTCTGTCACCCAGGCTGGAGTGGCACAGTCTCGGCTCACTGCAACCTCCGCCTCCCGGGTTCAAGCGATTCTCCTGCCTCAGCCTCCTGAGTATAGGTGCGTGACACCATGCCTGACTACCTTTTGTATTTTTTAGTAGAGACGGGGTTTCACCATATTGGTCAGGCTGGTCTCGAATTCCTGACCTCATGATCCACCCGCCTCAGCATCCCAAAGTGCTGGGATTACAGGCGTGAGCCACCATGCCCGGTCTAACCCAGTTTTGATAAGGGGCAAAATACCTCAATAAGTACTTCACCAAAGTGAGCATATAATAGCAAATAAGCACATAAAAATTGTTTTACATCATTAACCATCAGAAAAATGTCAATTGAAATCAAAATGAGATAACACTACACACATTGGAAAATGATTAAAATTAAAAAATTGACATTACTAAGTGCTAGTAAGGATAAAGAACAACTTGAAACTCATACATTACTGTGGGAATGTAAAATGTCATAGCCATTGCAGAAGATGATTTGGTAATTTCCCAAAAACATACACTTACATGACTCAGCAATGCCAATCCTGGGAGAAATAACAACGTTTGTTCACAAAAAAGCCTACACCTGAATTTTTATAAAAGTTCTATTCATATTTGCCCAAAATCTGCAAACAACCCAAATATCCTTCCATGGGTATTGGCTAAACAAGCTGTGCTGCATCTGAACAATTGTATACTATTTAGCAAAAAAAAGAAAAAAAAAGAAAGAAAAAGAAAGAAAGATACACACAACTTGGATTAAACTCAAAGGCATTTTTGCTGACAAGTGTATTCATAATAAAATAGCAAGAAGATCCTCTTGATTATTGCAGTCCTCATTTCTTTTTTTTTAAATTTTTTGTGTTTTTTTATTATACTTTAAGTTCTAGGGTACATGTGCACAACGTGCAGGTTTGTTACGTATGTATACATGTGCCATGTTGGTGTGCTGCACCCATTAACTGGTCATTTACATTAGGTATATCTCCTAATGCTATCCCTCCCCACTCCCCCCACCCCACAACAGTCCCCAGTGTATGCTGTTCCCCTTCCTGTGTCCAAGTGTTCTGATTGTTCAATTCCCACCTATGAGTGAGAACATGCGGTGTTTGGTTTTTTGTCCTTGCGATAGTTTGCTGAGAATGATGGCTTCCAGCTTCATCCATGTGCCTACAAAGGACATGAACTCATCATTTTTTATGGCTGCATAGTATTCCATGGTGTATATGTGCCACATTTTCTTAATCCAGTCTAACACTGATGGACATTTCGGTTGGTTCTAAGTCTTTGCTATTGTGAATAGTGCCACAATAAACATGTGAGTGCATGTGTCTTTATAGCAGCATGATTTATAATCCTTTGGGTATATACCCAGTAATGGGATGGCTGGGTCAAGTAATATTTCTAGTTCTAGGTCCTTGAGGAATTGCCACACTGTCTTCCACAATGGTTGAACTAGTTTACAGTCCCACCAACAGGCTAAAAGTGTTCCCATTTCTCCACATCCTGTCCAGCACCTGTTGTTTCCTGACTTTTTAATGATCACCATTCTAAAAGGTGTGAGATGGTATCTCATTGTGGTTTTGATTTGCATTTCTCTGATGGCCAGTGATGATGAGCATTTTTTCATGTGTCTCTTGGCTGCATAAATGTCTTCTTTTGAGAAGTATCTGTCCATATCCTTCGACCACTTTTTGATGGGGTTGTTTGTTTTTTTCGTGTAAATTTGTTTGAGTTCTTTGTAGATTCTGGATATTAGCCCTTTCTCAGATGAGTAGATTGCAAAAATTTTCTCCCATCCTGTAGGTTGCCTGTTCACTCTGATGGTAGTTCCTTTTGCTGTGCAGAAGCTCTTTAGTTTAATTAGATCCCATTTGTCAATTTTGGCTTTTGTTGCCATTGCTTTTGGTGTTTTAGACATGAAGTCCTTGCCCATGCCTATGTCCTGAATGATATTGCCTAGGTTTTCTTCTAGGGTTTTTATGGTTTTAGGTCTAACATTTAAGTCTTTAATCCATCTTGAATTAATTTTTGTCTAAAGTGTAAGGAAGGGATCCAGTTTCAGCTTTCTACTTATTGCTAGCCAGTTTTCCCAGCACCATTTATTAAATAGGGAATCCTTTCCCCATTTCTTGTTTTTGTCAGGTTTGTCAAAGATCAGATGGTTGTAGGTGTGTGGTATTATTTCTGAGGGCTCTCTTCTGTTCCATTGGTCTATATCTCTGTTTTGGTACCAGTACCATGCTGTTTTGGTTACTGTAGCCTTGTAGTATAGTTTGAAGTCAGGTAGCGTGATGCCTCCAGCTTTGTTCTTTTGGCTTAGGATTGTCTTGGCAATGCAGGTTATTTTTGGTTCCATATGAACTTTAAAGTAGTTGTTTCCAATTCTGTGAAGAAAGTCATTGGTAGCTTGATGCGGATGGCATTGGATCTATAAATTACCTTGGGCACTATGACCATTTTCACTATATTGATTCTTCCTACCCATGAGCATGGAATGTTCTTCCATTTGTTTGTGTCCTCTTTTAATTCGTTGAGCAGTGGTTTGTAGTTCTCCTTCAAGAGGTCCTTTACATCCCTTGTAAGTTGGATTCTTAGGTATTTTATTCTCTTTGAAGCAATTCTGAATGGGAGTTCACTCATGATTTGGCTCTCTGTTTGTCTGTTATTGGTGTATAAGAATGCTTGTGATTTTTGCACATTGATTTTGTATCCTGAGACTTTGCTGAAGTTGCTTATCAGCTTAAGGAGATTTTGGGCTGAGACGATGGGGTTTTCTAAATATACAATCATGTCATCCCGAAACAGGGACAATTTGACTTCCTCTTTTCCTAATTGAATATCCTTTATTCCTTTCTCCTGCCTGATTGCCCTGGCCAGAACTTCCAACACTATGTTGAACAGGAGTGGTGAGAGAGGGCATCCCTGTCTTGTGCTGGTTTTCAAAGGGAATGCTTCCAGTTTTTGCCCATTCAGTATGATATTGGCTGTGGGCTTGTCATAAATAGCTCTTATTATTTTGAGATATGTCCAATCAATACCTAATTTATTGAGAGTTTTTAGCATGAAGGGCTGTTGAATTTTGTCGAAGGCCTTTTCTACATCTATTGGGATAATCATGTGGTTTTTGTCTTTGGTTCTGTTTATATGATGGATTACGTTTATTGATTTGTGTATGTTGAACCAGTCTTGCATCCCTGGGATGAAGCCCACTTGATGATGGTGGATAAGCTTTTTGAGGTGCTGCTGGATTCGGTTTGCCAGTATTTTATTGAGAATTGTTGCATCAATATTCATCAGGGATATTGGTCTAAAATTCTCTTTTTTTATTGTGCCTCTGCCAGGCTTTGGTATCAGGATGATGCTGGCCTCATAAAATGAGTTAGGGAGGATTCCCTCTTTTTCTATTGATTGGAATAGTTTCAGAAGGAATGGTACCAGGTCCTCCTTGTACCTCTGGTAGAATTTGGCTGTGAATCCGTCTGGTCCTGGACTTTTTTTCGTTGGTAGGCTATTAATTATTGCCTCAATTTCAGAGCCTGTTATTGGTCTATTTAGGGATTCAACTTTTTCCTGGTTTAGTCTTGGGAGGGTGTATGTGTCCAGGAATTTATCCATTTCTTCTAGATTTTCTGGTTTGTTTGCATAGAGGTGTTTATAGTATTCTCTGATGGTAGTTTGTATTTCTGTGGGGTCGGTGGTGATATCCCCTTTATCATTTTTATTGCGTCCATTTTATTCTTCTCCCTTTTCTTTTTTATTAGTCTTCCTAGCGGTATATCAATTTTATTGATCTTTTCAAAAAACCAGCTCCTGGATTCATTGATTTTTTGAAGGGTTTTTTGTGTCTCTATCTCCTTCAGTTCTGCTCTGATCTTAGTTATTTCTTGCCTTCTGCTAGCTTTTGAATGTGTTTGCTCTTACTTCTCTATTTCTTTTAATTGTGATGTTAGGGTGTCAATTTTAGATCTTTCCTGCTTTCTCTTGTGGGCATTTAGTGCTATAAATTTCTCTCTACACACTGCTTTAAATGTGTCCCAGAGAGTCTGGTATGTTGTGTCTTTGTTCTGATTGGTTTCAAGGAACATCTTTCTTTCTGCCTTCATTTCGTTATGTACCCAGTAGTCATTCAGGAGCAGGTTGTTCAGTTTCCATGTAGTTGTGTGGTTTTTGAGTGAGTTTCTTAATCCTGAGTTCTAGTTTGATTGCACTGTGGTCTGAGAGACAGTTTGTTATCATTTCTGTTCTTTTACATTTGCTGAGGAGTGCTTTACTTCCAACTATATGGTCAATTTTGGAACAAGTGCGATGTGGTGCTGAGAAGAATGTATATTCTGTTGATTTGGGGTGGAGTGTTCTGTAGATGTCTTTTAGGTCCGCTTGGTGCAGAGCTGAGTTCAATTCCTGGATATCCTTGTTAACTTTCTGTCTCATTGATCTGTCTAATGTTGACAGTGGGGTGTTAAAGTCTCCCATTATTATTGTGTGGAAGTCTAAGTCTCTTTGTAGGTCTCTAAGGGCTTGCTTTATGAATCTGGGTGCTCCTGTATTGGGTGCATATATATTTAGGATAGTTAGCTCTTCTTATTGACTGGATCCCTTTACCATTATGTAATAGCCTTCTTTGTCTCTTTTGATCTTTGTTGGTTTAAAGTCCGTTTTGTCAGAGACTAGGATTGCAACCCCTACCTTTTTTTGTTTTCCATTTGTTTGGTAGATCTTCCTCCATCCCTTTATTTCGAGCCTATGTGTGTCTCTACATGTGAGATGGGTCTCCTGAATACAGCACACAGATGGGTCCTGACTCTTTATCCAATTTGCCAGTCTGTGTCTTTTCACTGGAGCATTTAGCCCATTTACATTTAAGGTTAATATTGTTATGTGTGAATCTCATCCTGTCATTATGATGCTACCTGGTTATTTTGCTCGTTAGTTGATGCAGTTTCTTCCCAGCATCTGGCTGGGGAAGAGCCCCCGTGGGAAGGTGTGTGTCTTCTCCCAGAGGCCACTACAATCGCAGGCACTGCAGCTCCCCAGGGAGCACCTGGCCTGGGACCCGCAGCCATTCTCTGCAAGGGGTACAGCTGGGCGAATACTCAGAGGTGACAGAAACAGAGCATCCCCCACCCATCACTTCATCAAAGAGCCAGGAGCCAAGAGGAGAACCCTCCTGAGTAAGGATTGAGGGTCCACTCACCCCACATAGAGGGACCACAGAATCCAGTTCAGCCCCTCCTGTCAGCCCTGGAAGACCCTGACAATGTTGTCGCCCCGACCATATCCCTCCCTCCACTGCCACCTCAGGGGACTCGGAGTCAGTGCTTTGGTCTGAGGGGAGCAGACACCATCCACACAGGATGGGATCCAGGCTCTGCCAGGCATCAAGGTCAGGACCTTGAGGATGACTGAGAGTGCCCACCCCCTCGACCTCGACCCCCCACCCCCACCCCCATTTCCACCCCCACTCATAGCAGAATCTGCTATGACACCAGCAGTCAACCCAAGGAAGCCCCAGGCTTGGTGGCCGGATGTGACGGCTAGGGGGTCAGAGAAGCGAGGGTCTCGGTCTGAGGGGCGGCTTGAGATTGGCAGAGGGAAGTGGACCCAGGCTCTGTGAGAAGACAAGGTGAGAGGCTGAGGGAGGACTGAGGACGCCTCCACCCCAGATAGAGGACCCCAAATAATTCAGCGTCACCCCTGCTGCCAGCCCTGGACCACCTAGGGGAGTACTTCTCAGTCTGGGCCACCCCCCGGCGCCCTGCCAACCCCCGCCGCTTATGCCACAGGGGACTCTGGAGTCAGAGCTTGGTGTGACCAAGGCAGGGGTGGTTAGGAGAGGGCAGGGCCCAGGTTCTGCCAGGTTTCAAGGTGAGGACCCTGAGGAACGACTGAGGGCCTCCCTCACCCCCAAGCCCACCGTCACCGCCACGACCTACAGCCTCAGGATCCCCATCCCCATCCCCATCTTCACCCCCATCCTCGCCCCCACCCCTCCTCCATTCCCATTCCCATCCCCACCCCCACCCCGACAGAATCAGGTTTTGCCCCTGCTGTCAACGCAGGGAAGCCCCGGGTGCCCGGATGTGATGCCACTGATTTGCGCCTCAGGGATCAGAGGGAAGCGAGGGCCTGGTTTTGAGGGGTGGCTTAAGATCGGCGGAGGAAAGCGGGCCCGGGCTGTGTGTGAAGGAAAGGTGAGGCGTTGAGGGAGGACTAGGGACACCCCGTTGCAACCCAAGATAGAGGACCCTAAAAAATCCAGCACCACCCCTGCTGCCAACCCAGGACCACCCGGGGGCGGACTTCTCAGGCTGGGCCGCCCCCAACTCTCTGCCACTTAAGCCTCAGGGGACTCTGGAGTCAGAGGTTGGTGTGATCAGGGCAGGGCTGCCTAGGAGAGGGCAGCAGCCAGGCTCTGCCAGCCATCACGTTCAGGACCCTCAGAGAGGGTTGAGGGCTCCACAGAGCGGGGCTCTGTCCTTGCTGTCAGCCCTGGGAATTTCCAGGCATGGTGGCCAGGCATGTGGATCCTGGCATGGGCATCCAGGGCTGACGGAGGGAAGGGGCTTCATATCATGAGCACGGATTGCGGGGAGCAGAGGGAGGGCCCAGGCCCTGCTGGGAGACAAGGGAGGCCTGAGAGAGGCCCGAGGGCACCCAGGACCCCAGGACAGGGGGCCCACCCACCCCCTGTTTGAGACTGAGGTGCCTCCTCATTTGGCCTTGGGAATCTGAGGGATGAAGACTCAGGTCAGCAGGCTGGGGTGGGGCCCAAGCCTGCCAGGAGTCAAGGGCAGGAAGAAGAGGGAGGACTGACGGGAACTTGGAGTCCAGATCAGTGGGGACCTCGACCCTGGGAGGTCCCAGGCACAGTGGCCACATGTGGCCTGGACTCGCTGTGCCTTTGGGGTGTCAGGGAGGAGAGGACTGTGGTCTGGGGAGTGGGGCCTCAGGTCAGCAGAGAGAGGAGTCCCAGAGCTCTGAAGGATGACTCAGAAGACCTTTCTTCCCAGACTTAGGAAACCTGCCCCTACTGTCAGTCCTGGGAGGCCTGGGCAGGACTGTGGGGAAGGGATGCTGTCCCACCACTTTCTCCCTGAGGGTATCAGGGACATGGTGGCCTTGGCATACAGTTCAGCAGGAGGGAAAGAGCCGGGCCCTGTCGGGACTCAATCTGAACACCTGGAAGACACCCAGACAGCGGAGGGCCCCCTGAAACTTGCACCTTCTGTCAGCTTTGGGAATCCCACGCAGGGGTGACCGTGTGGTGCCCCCTCACCTCTACCTCCCGGGTCTCAGTGAGGTGGGGGCCTTGGTCTGAGGGGCGTCCTCCGCTCAGCAGAGGTAGCCACACCTGGTCAGCACCGGATAGAGTCCAGGGTCTTCCAGGAGTGAAGGGGAGGAAGTTTGGTAAGGACTGAAGGTAAGAAGTTACCTCCACATCATAAAGAAGAAGGGAACTTGCAGAGCCGCCCAGCTTCCCCTGTTCTCAGCCCTGGGAGGCCACAGGCAGGGATGGCATGTGGCATGCTCTCATTTCTGCCATGTGGTTGGAGGTGGGAGGTCTCAGGGAGGTGAGGACCTTGGTCCCAGTGACACTGACAGGCCAGTAGAGGGAGCCACACCTGGTCAGCAGAGGGAGGAGTCCCAGCATCTGCAGGACCCACGGTGTGCACCTTTCATGAGGACTGGAGGTACCCCCAGCCCAGAAAGAAGAGACCCCGCAGAGTCTGCTGTCCTTGTTCTTAGCTCTGGGGGGACCTGATCCAGGGTGGCCCTAAGTGGCAATCTCACTTGTGCCACGGGCAGGAAGTTGGAGAACCCTCAGGGAGATGTGGTCTTGGTGTAAAGGGGAGATGTCTGCTCATCTCAGGGGGCTGAGGGTTGAGGAACGGCAGGTCCCGGCAGGAGTAAAGATGAATAACCCACAGGAGAACTTTGGAACTTCCACCCCAGAACAGAAGGGGGCAGCCCCTGGTGTCAGCCCTGGACACCCCATGGAGGGGTGACGGGATGTGAGTCCTCCTCATGTCGGCTTTGGGATCTCAGGGAGGTGAGGACCTAGTTCTCAGTGGGTTACTCAGGCCAACACAGGGACCCCCATCTGATTAACAGACAGAGCGGACCCAGGATCTGCTAAGACCCCAGGTGAGGAACCTGAGGGAGGATTAAGGGTACCGCTGGACCAGAAGGCAGATGGAGGCCCCACAGAAATCTGCCTTGCCCCTGCTGTTTCCGCAGAGAGCATGGCCAGAGCTGTCAGTTGAGGCCCCCTCTCTTATACCAGGATCAGTGGTCTCAGGGAGGGGGAGGCCTTGGTTGGAGGGGCTGCATTTAGGTCAGAGGGAGGGTCCCAGGCTCAGCCAGGAGTCAAGGTGAGGACTAAGTGGACCCCACACGGCGAATGCACATGACCCAGCCCTGCCCTGCCTTTTCTGTCAGGCATGGGAAACTGCAGGGAACAGTGGGTGGATGGAATCCCCTCACTTCCTTTACTGGTGTCTCTTGGAGATAGGGATTTGATTTAAGGTGGTGGCCTCAGGTAAACAGGGAGAGTCCCAGGATCTGCAGGCATCAAGATGTGGACCAAGCAGGTTCCTCATCTCAGGACACATGGACCCAGCTGAATATGGCCACCTCTTACTGTCCTTGCCTGGAAGCCCTGAGCAGGTGTGGCCAGATGTGGGTCCCCTCATGTCCTTCTGTTCCATATCAGGGATATGAGCTCTTGATCTGAGAGTTTCTCAGGCCAGCAAAGGGGCAGGATTCAGGCCCTGCTAGGAGAAACGTGAAGGTCCTGAGTGAGCATAGAAGGGGCCATCTATGCAAAAGAGTGAGGGAACTGACAGAGTCCAGCCCACCCTCCTGACAGCACTCGGGGGACTGAGGCTGTGCTTGCAGCCTGCACCCTGAGGGCCCCTTGATCCCTCTTCCAGGAGCTCCAGGAACTTGGAGGTGAGGCTTTAGTCTGAGTCAGTGTCCTCAAGCCACAGAGCAGAGGAGACCCAGGCAGTGCCAGCAGTCAAGGTGAGGTGTTCACCCTGAATGTATACCAAGGGTCCCACCCACCCATAATGGATGGGACCCCAGAGCGCCCAGCCCCACCTGCCCTACCCTCAGCCTTGGGGCCTTGGCCTCTGCTGGCTGGCTGTAACCTGAGAAGCTGTGTCACTTCTTTCTTCAGATTCTCAGGGGACAGGCTGACCAGGAGGACAGGAGCCCCAGGAGGCCCCAGAGGAGCACTGAAGGAGAAGATCCGTAAGTAGGCCTTTGTTAGAGCCTCCTCCAAAGTCTGGTTCTTAGCTGAGGCCTCTCACACGCTCCCTCTCTCCCCAGGCCTGTGCATCCCCATTACCCAGCTCCTGCCCACACTCCCGCTTGCTGCCTTGACCAGAGTCATCATGCCTCTTGGACAGAGGAGTCAGCACTACATGCCTGAGGAAGGCCTTGAGGCCCAAGGAGAGGTCCCTGGCCTGGTGGGTGGGCAGGGTCCTGTGCCTGAGGAGGAGGAGGCTGCCTCTTCCTCCTCTAGTCTGATCATGGGCACCCTGGAGGAGTTGTGTGCTGCTGAGGCACTGAGTCCTCCCCAGAGTATGCAGGGAGCCTCCTCCTCCCCCACTACCATCGATAACACTCTATGGAACCAATCCGATGAGGGCTCCAGCAGCCAAGAAAAGGAGGAGCCAATCACCTTGCCCATCCCAAGTGTCATGGAGTCCTTCCTCCGAGAGGCACTCTGACAAGGTGTCTGATTTAGTTAGTGTCCTGCTCCACAAGTTTCGAATTAAGGAGTCAGTCACAAAGGCAGAAATGGTGGATAGTGTCATCAAAAATCACGAAGACTACTTCGCTTTCATTTTCAAGGAATCCTCCGAGTACATGCAGCTGATCTTTGGCATCGACGTGAAGGAAGTGGTCCCCACCGGCCATTCCTATGTCCTTGTCACCTCTCTGGGCCTCTCCTATGATGGCATGCTGGTTGATGACCCGAGCAAGCCCAAGACGGGCCTCCTAATAATTGTCCTGTGTGTGATCTTCACGGAGGGCAACTGCGCCCCAGAGGAGGTTATGTGGGAAGCCCTGAATGTGATAGAGGTGTATGCTGGGAGGGAGCACTTCATCTATGGGGAGCCCAGGAAGCTGCTCACCCGGGATTGGGTGCAGGAAAATTACCTGGAGTACTGGCAGGTGCCCAGAAGTGATCCTGCATGCTATGAGGAAGAGAGAGTTTCAGCAGGCGATGCAGCCAGGGCCAGTGGAGGGTGGGGTGGACTAGTGCACGTTCCAGGGCTACATCCAGCAGCTTCCCCACCCTGTGTGACATGAGGCCCATTCTTCACTCTAAAGAGAGCAGTCAGCGTTCTCACTAGTGAAAGGCACGGTGGGTGGAAGGGAACTCAGTGTATAATGTCTTTGTGTTCTGTTCTATTTGGATGAGTTTGCTATTTTGTAAAACATATTGGGAAGCCCTTCATCTGGTTTTGCGGTTTGGAACAAGATGCCATGGCATTGGAATAGGTGTTTCCTTGGAGAATGAAATACATTAGCAAAAAAATTGATGGGGTCATGAAACAGAGAAATAAAAGGAAAAGATAGGCTGCTCTGCCCGTAGAGTAGCTATTCTTTTATTTACTTTCTTAATAAACTTGCTCTCACTTTACTCTATGGATTCACCTCGAATTCTTTCTTGCACGAGCTCCAAGAACCCTCTTTTGGAGTCTGCACTGGGACCCCATTCCAGTAACATCTTTCCGGTGAACCCTGAAGGGACAATACTGAGGAAACCCCCTGACCCAAAGGAAATAGACGGCAGCACTGACTGGCAGACTTTGGAGTCAGGAAAACTTTTCTTCTGGGCTATTGACAGCTTTTAACAATTCAGTAAAGTATACTTCTGTGAACAAAATTCAGAGCATATTTGTTTCTCTCTACCTAATTTCTCTAGAATTTGGAAACTGCTTGTGAATATTCTTAACTTATAGCAATATAGTTATTTGCATAAGTGCAATAAGAATCTGTTTTCTTTTGCAACAAGACACAATTGGAGAAACTGGTTATTTTACCAAGGCTTTGACTGGAATGGTGTTCTTTCCTTTAAGGGATCAAACTTGACTTATAGAGCCAATAAAAACCCCTTGGGAAAACTAGCCTCATAACTTGTCTACACAGTCCCTGTGCAGGGTTACTGACCTGTGGTAAGTAAAGAATGTCATTATCTGACAGGCCCAGGAGCCCCAAGTTATCTTGGGACCTCAAGAGGAGAGGATTTTACCCAACTCAGAGGTATTTGACGGCACCCACCCCAGGCTGGACTCAGCTTTAAAAAGGTCTTATCTGAGATTCCTTCTATGGAACAGAGCTCCATGAAAGCCATTTATTTTTATTTTTTATTTTCATTTATTTATTTATTTATTTATTTATTTATTTATTTATTTATTTATTTTCGAGACCGAGTTTTGCTCTTGCTGCCCAGGCTGGAGTGCAGGAGGGTGATCTTGGCTCACTGCAACCTCCGCCTCCTGGGTTCAAGCGATTCTCTTGCCTCAGCCTCCCGAGTAGCTGGGATTACAGGCACCCACCACTACGCTCGGCTAATCTTATATATATATATATATATATATACACACACACACATATATATATATACACACATATATATGTGTATATATGTGTGTGTGTGTGTCTGTGTGTGTGTGTGTGTGTGTGTGTGTGTGTGTATATATATATATATAATTTTTTTTTTCTTTTAGTAGAGATGGGGTTTCAACATGTTGGCCTGGCTGGTCTTGAACTCCTGACCTCAGGTGATCCGCCCACCTCAGCCTCCCAAAGTGCTGGGATTACAGGCGTGAGCCACCATGCCCGGCCCATCAAAGCCAGTTTTAAAAGAGCTTATGTGAGGCTGGGCGTGGTGGCTCATGCCTGCAGTCCCAGCACTTTGGGAGGCTGAGGCAGGAGGACTGCTTGAGCCCAGGAGTTCGAGACCAGACTGGGCAACATTGGGAGACTGCCTCTATTAAAACATAAAATAAAAATAAAAATATAAAGAGCGTATGTGAAAAATAATTATTCTTGCTGCACTTTATACAAATGATCAGGCCAAGTATAATAAAACAAACCAGTCTTACCATGATTTGTCTTTAGTAAAAATGGGAGACTGGAGAGAGAAAAAAATATGATGTTGCAAAAACTATGGTGCACCTGTTATTAGATTCTAGTTTCATTCGTTGTTTTAAAGTTTTTTTCTGCAATTTAGACTCACTTTTCTTATTCCTGTGAACCAATCAGTGATCCCTGACTGCTATTTAGAAGAAGCAAGAGGGATGGGTAATGTAAAAATCTGGATCAATATTCTAGTTCTGGGCACATATTGAAATCAGATAGTGACCCCGTATCAGCCTGGTTCTAACAGTTGCCCAGTTCAAGGAAAGCCTTCTTACTTAGTTTACCTTGGGATAATTTTACTTATTTTGCTTTACTGTTGTGGAATACACTGGTGTTGTATTCTTGGTGCAGGAGTGCAGGATAAGCTTACTCAATGTTTTCTTAAACTGAACACTTATTAATCTTCCAGATAACATGTTTTGTCAGAACTCAGAGTTGTGTATGACCCTCACCAAACTGACGCTTTCTGACTGAGCTCCTCTCTGTCCTGAATTCAAAAGACTCTCATAATTAGGCAGTAATATCATCACCCCTATTCAGCCTGAAGAAGTTACAGAAGATGGATCTTCATCCCTCTACAACCCTTAGGAATAAAGGTTCTCAGATAAAAGGGAGGAGGGAAATGTCAGAGGTGTTTGAACCAGAGCAACTCCATCTTGAACAGGGTCTGGGTAAAATAGGGCTGAGACCTACTGGGCTACATTCCCAGGAGGTAAGGCATTCTTAGTCACAGGATGAGACAGTATGTCGGCACAAGATACAGGTCATAAAGACCTTGCTGATAAAACGGGTTGCAGTAAAGAAGCCAGCCAAAACCCACCAAAGCCAAGATGGCAATGAGAGTGACCTCTGGTCATCCTCACTGCTCATTATATGCATTAGCATGCTAAAAGACACTCCCACCGGCACCACGACAGTTTACAGATGCCATGGCAACGTTTGGAAGTTACCCTATATGGCTGAAAAAGGGGAGGAGCCCTCAGTTCCAAGAATTCCCCACTTTTTTCCTGGAAAACTCATGAATAGTCCACCCCTTGTTTAGCATATAATCAAGAAATAACCATAAAAATGGGCAACCAGCCGGGCGCCATGGCTCACGCCTGTAATCCTAGCACTTTGGGAGGCCAAAGGGGGTGGATCACGAGGTCAGGAGATCGACAGCATCCTGGCTACCACAGTGAAACTCTGTCTCTACTAAAAATACAAAAAATTTGCCGGGCATGGTGGCAGGCACCTGCAGTCCAGCTACTTGGGAGAATGGGGCAGGAGAATGGCATGAACCAGGGAGGCGGAGCTTGCAGTGAGCCGAGATCACGCCACTGCACTGCAGCCTGGGCGACAGAGTGAGACTCTGTCTCAAAAAAAAATAAAAATAAAAATAAAAATAAGAAGGCGACCAGCAGCCCTCAGGGCTATGGAGTAGCCATTCTTTTATTTCTTTACTTTCTTAATAAACTTGCTCTCACTTTACTCTAAAAAATAGAAATAAAAGGAAAAGACAGTTAATTCTCAGCTTTTTATTCATGTGCTGTTCTATAAAATTAAGCCATATATGTGTACCTGGATTTTCTTGGCTTATTCAAGGATGTAGGAGAAATTATATCTTAAATGGAAGTCCTGGTCACTGGCTCATTCTTTCTCAAACACTCACTGAGCATCTGCTCTTTGGAAAGCACTGTGTTACTGGAGATACTGGCATAAGTCAGACCCACCCCTACCCGAAGGGTGGTAGAGTCTAGGAGCTATAGTCATAAAATTAAGTTGGTGAGATTTCCTCTAAGACCTAGAGGAAAAGTAAGAGAGGGCAGAATGTGTGGTGCTCCCGGTGAGAGTGGTGGAGTGTAAATGCCCTGAGCCAGGGCCTTTTGGGCTTTGGGAAACTGCAGTTCCTTCGGAGGAAGCTGATTCTAATGAAGCTGGTGGGTCCAGGGTCAGATTCTCAGGGAGAGAAAAGCCTGGAATGGAAAACTGCTCTGAGCAGTTCATTATGGTTGGTGGATGAACATAGACGAGTTTCCACCTGGGGCAGGAATGGAAGGCATCCTGTGCTCTTATCCCAGTGCGGTTGAATACAGCCCAAGAGCTAGGTGATGGATACTCATCATCTGCAAGGGTTTCCTGGGAGGTAAGGGTGAATCTCTCAGGAAGGGAGGCCCAGAAGCCACTGGCAAGGTACTCTTCTGCCTTAGTGGGAGAGCTAGAGCTGACTCTAGTCAAATGGCATTCTAATTAGGTTATCTCAAGTGTAATTTGGCCATTCCTGAGCATGGGCTAGATTTTGCGTGGTGATTATATGAATGAAAATAGTGGTTGAGATGGAAAAGCAGCTGAGAGGGAGGAAAAGAGTTGGTCCTGGACTCACGTTCCAGGAACACTGAGCTGCAATCCAGCTGAAGAAGACTCCTCCACACACAAATTAAACAATAGATCCTCTAGGAGGGAAATTCTACTGTGTTTTGTCTATGAAGCAACACTTTGGGCTGAGTTGGTATTCTATTCTCTGTACTGTTGTGCTACGTACTCTGAGGTTTCCTAGATAACAATAACAACAGCAACAACAAAATTCCCAGAGGCAACTATGGTAGGATCTGAGTTCCAAATAGTAACACAAATAACTGCCAAACATTAACGATCTAATATATGCCAGGCCCTGAGCCAAGTGCTTTACTTACATTGCACACACTCCAAAAGTCCTATAAGACAGACTTTATCAAACCTGCTTCACAGATGAAGAACCTGATGCTCATGCGGCTTGATGATTTCCCCATAATTACATGGCTAATAAGCAACACGGTTGGGATTGCATCCCTGCTAGATTAGGATGGGCCCCAATCCAATATGACTGGTGTCCTTATAAGAAGAGGACATTAGGACACAGACACACACAGAGGAAAGACCATGTGAAGACACAGGAAGAGAATGGCCATCTACAAGTCAAGGAGACAGGCCTCAGGACAACTCAACCCTGCCCACACCTTGAGCCTGAACTTGTAGCCTCCGGGACTGGGAAAATACATTTCTGACGCTTAAGCTCCCCCAGTCTGTGGTACCTTGTTATGATAGCCAAAGCAAACTAATACACATGGTCCGAATTCATCTGAGTGTATGTCATTCCTTCTCGTCCCAACCTGAAGCAGACCTTCGTCTTGCTATTTACTTCTCAGGAATCCACGTCTCTCAGGCAACCAAAAGAAGGACCCTGTGGTCAAGCTACAAAAAGTATGCCTATAGAAGTGCTATGGACTGAAATGTGCTCCCCTCCAAAAAAAAAAAAAAATGTATATGTTGAAGCTCTAAGTCCCAATGTGATGGTCTGGAGATGGGGCCTTTGGGAGGTAATTAGGGTTAGATGAGCTCCTGAGAGCGTAGGCCCTCATGATTGGATTAATGTCTGTATTCGTTCATTCTTGCGTTGCTATAAAAAAATACCTGAGACTGGGTAATTTATTAAAAAAAATAGGTTTAATTGGCTTACGGTTTGCAGGATGTACAGGAAGCGTGGCAGCATCTGCTTCTGGAGAGGCCTTAGGGAGCTTTTACTTATGGCAGTAGGCAAAGAAGGAGCAGGCTCTTCACTTGGTGAAAGCAGGAGCAAGAGAGACGGGGGGGGCATTGCCACACACTATTATATGACCGTATGTCGTGAGAAATCACTCACTATCATGAGCACAGTACCAAGGTGATGGTACTAAACTATTAATGAGAAATCTGCCCCCATGATCCAATCACCTCCCACCAGGCCCCACCTCCAACACTGTGGATTACAATTCAGCGTGAGATTTGGTGGGGACACTGATCCAGACCATATCAGTGTCCTTATAGGAAGAAATGCCAGAGAGCTTGCACATTTTTCTCTTTCTCTCTCTGCCATGTGAGGACTCACAGAGAAGGTGGGCATCCATAAGCCAGAAAGAAGACCCTCACCAGACACCCACCATACTGGCATTCTGACTTTTGGCTTCCCAGCCTCCAGAACTGGGAGAAAATAAGCATCTGTTGTGTAAGACCCCCAGTCTATAGCATTTTGTTACAGCAGCATGAAATGACTAAGACATGAAGGAAGGTGACAATGAGAACCAACACAATTTAGGAATCGTCTGTGGTTCCTTGAGAGCCAACTCTGTCCAGGTGCCAGCATTTCTGTGCATTCCCAGCACTTTCCCGAATTATAGCACCCTTCCACAATGGTCTTGCCCCATGTGCCTGCCTGTCCAATTCTGGAATCGAGCTTGCTGCTAAGCTCTTCATGGTTGCATCCTTTAAAGGCTGTGCCCTACTTCCAGTGGGACAGCCAAGAGTCACCTGCCCTTCTCCTAACATAGAACAGTTCTACTTTCTGGAGAAGTCCCCTGACTGTCCCTGTTCCTCACACTGGGGCCCCTCTAATAGCAAAAATACATTTGACTTTGAATAGAGACCTTTAGACATCTGATCATCCTGTTGGATGTCTTCAACACATTCTTAAAATGTTTTCCAAGTCAGCTGGTGAGTAGCGTCTGATTTTGACTTATAATATATCAGTTCCTGGGATACAACCCTGAAGTTAGAAAGTGTTTGAAACCATCCTATATTTACAATAGGACTTTAATAAGCTGTCTCATTGGAAACTGGCCACAGAGCACATACATAGATGGTCAAAAGCCAAAGCCTCTTGTATTAGCTCAGGCTGCCATAACAAAGTACCATAACAAAGTACCACTGGGTGGCTTAAACAAATAGGTAGATGTTTCTCGCATTTCTGGAGGCTGGGAAGTTTGAGATCAAGGTTCTAGCAGGTTTGATGCCTGGTGAGGGTCTCTTCCTGGCTTGTAGACAGCTACCTTCTCTGTGTGTCTGCACATGGCAGAAGGAGAGAATGCGAGCAAGCTCTCTGATGTCTCTTATAAGAGCGGTAATCCCATCACGAAGGTTCCACCTTAATGACCTCATCTAACTCTAATTACGTCCAAAGGCCTCATCTACAGATACATCACACTGGGTCTTAGGGTTTCAACATATGAGTTTTGGTGGGGGTGGGGGCACAGTTCAGTTCACAGCATCTCCTTCATAAGTGACAGATGAGGAAGGACTGTCAAAATCACTGTGGGGCAAATATCTACTGAAGCTGAATTCCTAAAACCCTAAAGTTCTCCTAGGAGACGAAAAGTGGTTCCTCGGTAGGCATGCTAGCTCTGATTAGAAATGGAAAAAAAATCAGAAATGAAAAAAAGAACTCTCTTGGCACTACTTCTGGTCTGTGGATCTGCCCCACAGGAAAGACATAGCTTTCAATGTGTCTAATGGCATCTGAACAGACGTTCAGGTAACAGGAGGGTAGCAGAGACCCACAGGTTGAGGTTTTACCCATGAATTAAAAGAATGAGAAATTCTCAGCCTACTAAGGTTTCAGACATTATTGCAAATGACAGTGCAGAAAAGTGTTAGTAAGTGAAGATAGTTAGTATATCTAACTATACTAGTGAGTGAAGAAGTTAGTATATCACACGAGGTGCTGAGGTATACTGGATCCTTAGAAAACTACATGTGATCCTGTATTTGAAAGCATCTGTCATACAGTACACACTTAAAAAAAGTTGGAGAACGTAAAGAAAATCTGGTTTTCTCCGAAACTCCTCCCAGCAATGAAGAGGGCTGTTGTCATAGCAAATAATAATAGTTCCTTTTTGTTGAGCACCTACTATGCAACAGTTTATGGGAGAGACTATAGTGCTCACCCACATCTCATCTTCCTCTCTTTCCTGGATACATGGGAACAGTACAGTCCACTTGTAGTTAGGAAGGGTCATGTGACAACCCCTTACCACTGAAACATGAGCAGAAGCATTGTTTGTCACATCTAGACATCTGAGAGCCAGTGTGCCATTTCCATGCTTTCTCCCTCCATCTAATAGTAAACATGGCAGCCTCATGTTGAGGTGGTGGAATCCCGAGGTGGAAGCTGCCTGGATACCTGGGTCACGGGAGAGTGGAGAGGCCCTGTCAAACCACATCAGGACTCATGTGCACATTAAATAAACTTGTGTTTTGTCATGTCACTCAAATTCCAGGGTTTGCCTATTGCATCAGCTAGCAGTTACTTCAGTTACTTTAACTGACTAATACACAGCTACTATTTTTGCTGTTAGGCTTATTTAGATATTGTAATTTAAAAGATAATTGTGCCTATATTCTTGTTGCAAAAGAAATCTAAAATACAGATAATTCACAATTCTTCTCTGTATAAAGTTCCTCCACAATTCAGCCCGCACCTCAGAGGTCACCACAATCAGCAACCTGCTGTGTACTATTTTATTGTATATTTTTATTCTTTTCTGTTTTAGTTTGTTTTTGAATGCATTTATTTCACAAATATGTTCATTAGGTGCTATAAAAATGTTTGTATCACCTTTTGTGTTTGTATAAATTAAATCAACAATAATTTCGGTCAAAATTAGTAGTCCCGAGAATTTTTCTCCTTTATACAGGGTGCATATCCGGGGGCCTTCAAAAAGCTCATGAAAAAAAATTGAATTAAAAGATAAAAATAAAAAATATGAACCAATTTCTGAACATAAACTATATCAAGTTCAAGACACTTTTGTAAGTGACGATACCAGATATTTAGTCCATTCCTAAAGAACTGAGAGTCCTGGGAATTTAACCACGTCAGTGCAGTCCTTTTACATTATTAACTGAAGAAAACTGAGTGTCCTTTGACAACTTCTCAAGATTTGGACTGTGGGCTTTTGCGTTAACGCTGAAATGAGTTAAGACTTTGGGGGACTGTTGGGAAGGCAGGATTGGTTTTGAAAGGTGAAGACATGAGATTTGGGAGGGGCCACATGTGGAATGATATTGTTTGGCTCTGTGTCCCCACACAAATCTCATCTTGTAGCTCCCAATATTCCCACATGTTGTGGGAGGGACCCAGTGGGAGATAATTGAATCATGGGGTTGGGTCTTTCCCATACTGTTCTCGTGATAGTGAATAAGTCTCAAGAGATCTGATGGTTTTAAAAACGGCAGTTTCCCTGTACAAGCTCTCTCTCTCTTTGTCTGCCGCCATCCATGTAAGACGTGACTTGCTCCTCCTTGCCTTCCACCATGATTGTGAGGCCTACCCAGCCACGTGGAACTGCAAGTCCAATAAACATCTTTCTTTTGTAACATTCCCAGTCTCTGGTATGCTTTATCAGCTGTGTGAAAAGGAATAAATACAGAGGGGTTCCCCTACTTCATTTGAAGGTTTATTAACTAACAATAATCAGTATAGTGTGGAATTGTCCTAAATTTAGAAACACATAAAAAGAAGAGAGTAAAGTCCAGGAATGGATCCACATGTATATGCATATATATATAAGTCAAATATTGATAAAGATACAAATGAAGATTCGAGGAGAGAAATGATAGTGTATTCAACTGGGTCTAGAACAACTGGATATCTATATGCAAAACTGAATTTCAATCCGTAATTGCTTTCTTCCTGTCTATCTATCTATCTAGCTACCTACCTACATATCTATCTATGTAAAAAGGGAGGGAGAGAAAGAAAGATAAAGGTTTCATAAGGAATTATCTCATGTGATTATGAGGTCTTGTATATCCCAAATCTGTGAGGCAGGCCAGCAGGCTAGAAACTCACACAACATTTTTATGTTAGTCTTGCGGTAGAATTCCTTTTCCAGGAAACCTTAGTCTTTTCTCTTAACACCTTCAACTAACTGGATGAGGCCCATCCACATTATGGAGATTAAACTGCTTCCCTTAAAGTCAACTGATGGTAAATGTCAATCACAACTACAAAATACCTTCACAACAACATCTAGACTACTGTTTGACCACACGGCTGAGCACTATAGCCTAGACAAGTTGACACATAATACTAACCATCGCACATATCTTACACCATACAAAAATGTAACTCAAAATGAACCACAGACTTAAATGTCAAAATTATGGGTTTTTTTTTTTTCTGTAGGAGAAAACAAAAAAAAATTGTGTTACCTGAGGTTATGTCTTAGTAAGCTCAGGCTGCCCTAACAAAATGCCATGGACTGAGTAGCTGAAACAAAACAAATTTATTTTTTTTCACAGTTTTGAAGTATGGAAGTCCCAGATCAAGGACTGGCAGGGTTGGTTTCTGGTGACGGCCTTATTCCTGGCTTGTAGATAGCCCTTTCTCAATATATCCGTTCTTGGCCTTTCCTCTGTGCATGTGCAGAGAGAGAGAGAGAGAGAGAGCTAGTGCAGGCACACAAGTAATTTCTTCTGTCTCTTCTAACTGCTTATAACCATACTAATCCTATGGGATCAAGGCCCCACCCTTATGACCTCTTTTAATATTAATTACTTCCTTAGAGGCCTCATCTCCAAATGCAGACACCCCGGGGCTGAGGGCTTCAAAGTATGAATTTGGTGGAGGACATAAGCATTAGCAAAGAATGCACACATAGATTAATAAAACAGAATAGAGCTCAGAAATAGACCTGCACACTTATAGTCAGGTGATTCACAACAAAGGCAATAATGGTGAAAGTACAGTTTTTCCAGCAAAAGGTGCCTGAACAATTAGACATCTACAGGCAAATTATAATAACCTAGAAACATCCTTACATATTCCAGAAAAATTAACTCGATATAAATCACAGACCTAATGCAAAATGCAAAAACTATACAACCCTCTATAAGAAAACATAAGAGAAAATTCACATAACTTTGAGTTCAGTGGTGAGTTTTTAAATTCAACACCAAAAGCATGATCAATGAAAGAAAAATTTACCAAGTAGATTTTATTAAAATAAACATCATGTGCTCTTCAAAGGACAATGTTAAGAGAATGAAAACAGAAGCCACAGACTAGCAGAAAACATCGGTGGTACACATATGTGATAAAGAACATATCTCTACAACATACACGAATTCTTAAAGTTCAACGACAGAAAAAACATGAAAATAGGCAAAGATCTGAACACACTCCTCACAAAAGAAGATATACACATGGCAAATAAGCATAAAAAAGTACTGAGAATCCGTTCTCATTAGATAACTGTGTACTAAAATGAGATACCACTACACACCTATTAGAATGTCCAAAATCCATAAAAAAGCAAAAAAAAAAAAAAAAAGAAAAGAAAACCAAGATCAATTGCCAGGGAAGATGTGGAGCAACAGAAACTCTCATTCATTGCTGGTGGAAATGCAACATGGTACAGCCACTTTGGAAGACAATTTGGCGTTTTCTTAAAAAACTGAACACAGCATAAGATTCAGCAGTCATAATCAATTTACCCAATTGACGTGAAAACTTACGTCTACATAAAAATTTGTATACGATTGTATACAAAAGATTATTTCATAATCACCAAAAATAGAAGCATCCAAAATGTATTTCATTTGGTGGATGGATATATATATACACACGCACTATGGTACAACCAGACAATGATACTACTACTCCTCAATGAAAAGGAATAAGTTCTGAGCCACACAAAGTTATACATGACTCTTCAGTTCATTATGCTAGGTGAAAGAAACCAGTCTAAAAAGGCTACATAGTATGCGAGTCTATTTATATGACATTCAGGAAAAGGCAAAATTATAAAGATGAAACACCTATCAGTGGCAGCCAAGGGGGTTATCTGACAAGCACAGGGGATTTATCAGGGCAGTGAAACTAGTATGGTAATACTGTAATGGTGGATGCATGCTTGCTTTCATCTGAATATTTGTGTTCCCACAAACTTCATCTGCTGAAATACCAAGGTGATGGTATTAGGTAGAAGGTGGGGTATTTGGAGAATGACTAGTTCATGAGAGCAGAGTCCTCATGAATGGGATCAGTGTTTTTATAAAATAGACTCCACAGAGATCCCTTGCCCCTTCTTCCATGTGAGGACATAGGGGAAAGGCAACTGTCTATGAACTAGGGAGCAGGTCTCCATCAGACATGAAATCTGCCAGCACCTTGATCTTGGACTTCCCAACCTCTAGAATGTGAGAAATAAAGTTGTGTTGTTTATAAGCCACCCAGTCTACACTATTTTTGTTATGGAAGCCCAAAGGGACTAAGACAACGGCACGAGGCATTTGTCAAAACCCATAGATCTTTACAGCACAAAGAGTGAAGCTTAATGTATGTAAAGTCTAAAAGTAACTTAAGAAGTTGGAGAATCATGGGACAGAATGTAGAATGTTACACACACACACAAACCTAGCTGTATTATACATGTATGAAACCACTACAGTGAAGCAAGTGGCGGGAAAGTTACCATATTTGGGTACTCCATCAAAGAAATATGTTTTTTATAAAGTATAAGTCGGCCAGATAAGCATGTAAAATAGTTGAATATTTGATAATCATTTATATAATTTTTCAGATATGAAAACTATTGGGATTCTGTTTAATAAAACGTCCTTATCTTTTAAAAATGCATATTGAGTTATTTCGAGATGAAATGGTCTAATGCCTTAGATTCGCTCCACGTTATTCCAGAAGCTGATGTGCAGGTAGGCAAGTGTCTAACTGGAACCAGATTTGCTGTGTATTTAAAGTTGTTCATGCTGGGTATCTAGTATCCTGGGTTCATTACATTAGTTCCTATTATTCTGTATGTGTGAAGGCTTTCCCTAGTAAAACTTTTTTTATAATAAATATGCCATTAAAAGTGAAATCCTAAATGAAACTGACCACTTTGTAGAAATAAAATAAACCAGTAACCAAACTGATCCAAAAAGAAAAAGAAAACTTTAATTAAACTATAAAAACTGAAACTGTACAATGTTCAAAGCTCAAGCCACCTTCAAACATTCCAGGTTAGGCAGTATTGGAGGCCAATTCTACCAAATGATCAGGGAAAACTAACCACCATCTTATCTCATCTCTTCTAGAACATACAAAATATTTACAATTGTTCAATTCATTCTTCCAGACTAGCCCTCCTGGATTCAAAAACCAGATGAGGACCACATCCCACCCTTGATGGGAAAAAAAGCACACATTAAGTAAGCTCCCTTACATAGCAGCAAATATCCTACGTAAATTACTAGCATATTAAATAAACAGGCTCTGCCCAAGGAAATAACATACGGTTTAACATTAGGGGAAAAAAAAAAAACGGTTTCATTGTAATTCCTTACATACAAAATGGAGGAGAAAAAAATTTGATTGTGTCAACGGGTACAGAAAAAGCTTTTTAAAGAAATTTAATATGAGTTCATGGTAAAAAAAAAAAAAGTATTTAACCTATATTCAAAGAGAAATTGCACTTCCTAAAATCAACAGCAAACATACTTAAATGCAAAACGTTCGAATAATTATCATTCACGTCAGGAACGAGAAGTAGATGTAGGCTATTATCTCTACGATTGAAATCAGGATTGAGACACAAAGAGCTATAAGTACCAAAATGAGTAAGTGGTATGAATACTGGAAGAATATGTAATGTTTAGTGATAATACCATTATCGATCTTGAAAATTCAAAGGAAAAGGTATGTGGAATATTCAAGTGCATCGGCCTTCAGAACGAGGAGTGCAACAGATTACTACAGCAAAATCAAAATCTTCACCTCACGAAAGCAATAACTAACTACAACAATTAATAGACAATATGCCATTTGCAATAGCAACAAAATTCATGAATTGCCTGAAAAGAAGTCTAATAAAAATGTATAAGGTCTTTATAGAGACAACTGTCGAAGTATACTGACATATTCAGGTAAAAAAAAGCTTGAAATACATAGAGGAGTATAACATATTCATTCATGGGGAGCACAACACTGTAAAAATGTAAACTCAGCTTAAATTATTTACAATTTAGTGCCTTACCTGTAGCCGCCGCCATTACAACAAATTTGGGCTGCTGTGCTCTGCTTCCCAAATCAAACCTGGAAAATTACAGAATGGAAACAGTAAATAAAAAACCAGTATCAGCAACAAAATCTACGCAACAAAACAGGGAAAGCCCAGGGTGAGACTCAAGGCTGTGTTGAGCTGGTACTTGTGTTTGACACTTGCAGTGTTGGTTGGAGGGGGTTAGCAGCAGGGATGTTGGGGAGGTTTGTAGCCGGCCTACACGGTAGATGACAGAATGGGTAGAATAAAAGTTTGAAATTTTCCACTTCACTTCTTTGCACAATCTGAGGCAGCCTCTGAAAACACGATGCCAAGAGCCCTAGGTAATAGCAGGACACCAGGAAAATTTGGTTGGTTAAGGCAGTATGACTCCAGAGTTCTGCTAATAACAACCTGAAACCACCATAGTGGCAGAGGAATTACATTTTTAAAAAAAAAAAATTCTTTCAACAGAACACAAAGACTGAAATAGGAGGTCACTACAACCGCGGGAGCTGCCGCCCCGCCCTGCAGGGAGCACCTGGCCTGGGACCCGCAGGCATTCTCTACAAGGGGTGCAGCTGTGCAAATGCTCACAGGTGACAGAAACAGAGCATCTCCTGCCCATCACTTCATCCAACAGCCAGAGGTGACGAAGACGACCCTCCTGAGTGAGGACTGAGGGTCCACACCGCCCCCCCACCCCACACACCATAGAGGGACCACAGAATCCAGCTCAGCCCCTCTTGTCAGCCCTGGTAAACGCAGGCAGTGATGTCACCCAGACCACACCCCTTCCCCCAATGCCACTTCAGGGGGACTCAGAGTCAGAGACTTGGTCTGAGGGGAGCAGAAGCAATCTGCAGAGGATGGCGGTCCAGGCTCAGCCAGGCATCAACTTCAGGACCCTGAGGGATGACCGAAGGCCCCGCCCACCCACCCCCAACTCCCCCGACCCCACCAGGATCTACAGCCTCAGGACCCCCGTCCCAATCCTTACCCCTTGCCCCATCACCATCTTCATGCTTACCTCCACCCCCATCCGATCCCCATCCAGGCAGAATCCAGTTCCACCCCTGCCCGGAACCCAGGGTAGTACCGTTGCCAGGATGTGACGCCACTGACTTGCGCATTGGAGGTCAGAAGACCGCGAGATTCTCGCCCTGAGCAACGAGCGACGGCCTGACGTCGGCGGAGGGAAGCCGGCCCAGGCTCGGTGAGGAGGCAAGGTAAGACGCTGAGGGAGGACTGAGGCGGGCCTCACCTCAGACAGAGGGCCTCAAATAATCCAGTGCTGCCTCTGCTGCCGGGCCTGGGCCACCCCGCAGGGGAAGACTTCCAGGCTGGGTCGCCACTACCTCACCCCGCCGACCCCCGCCGCTTTAGCCACGGGGAACTCTGGGGACAGAGCTTAATGTGGCCAGGGCAGGGCTGGTTAGAAGAGGTCAGGGCCCACGCTGTGGCAGGAATCAAGGTCAGGACCCCGAGAGGGAACTGAGGGCAGCCTAACCACCACCCTCACCACCATTCCCGTCCCCCAACACCAACCCCACCCCCATCCCCCATTCCCCATTCCCATCCCCACCCCCACCCCTATCCTGGCAGAATCCGGGCTTTGCCCCTGGTATCAAGTCACGGAAGCTCCGGGAATGGCGGCCAGGCACGTGAGTCCTGAGGTTCACATCTACGGCTAAGGGAGGGAAGGGGTTCGGTATCGCGAGTATGGCCGTTGGGAGGCAGCGAAAGGGCCCAGGCCCTCCTGGAAGACAGTGGAGTCCTGAGGGGACCCAGCATGCCAGGACAGGGGGCCCACTGTACCCCTGTCTCAAACCGAGGCACCTTTTCATTCGGCTACGGGAATCCTAGGGATGCAGACCCACTTCAGCAGGGGGTTGGGGCCCAGCCCTGCGAGGAGTCATGGGGAGGAAGAAGAGGGAGGACTGAGGGGACCTTGGAGTCCAGATCAGTGGCAACCTTGGGCTGGGGGATGCTGGGCACAGTGGCCAAATGTGCTCTGTGCTCATTGCGCCTTCAGGGTGACCAGAGAGTTGAGGGCTGTGGTCTGAAGAGTGGGACTTCAGGTCAGCAGAGGGAGGAATCCCAGGATCTGCAGGGCCCAAGGTGTACCCCCAAGGGGCCCCTATGTGGTGGACAGATGCAGTGGTCCTAGGATCTGCCAAGCATCCAGGTGAAGAGACTGAGGGAGGATTGAGGGTACCCCTGGGACAGAATGCGGACTGGGGGCCCCATAAAAATCTGCCCTGCTCCTGCTGTTACCTCAGAGAGCCTGGGCAGGGCTGTCAGCTGAGGTCCCTCCATTATCCTAGGATCACTGATGTCAGGGAAGGGGAAGCCTTGGTCTGAGGGGGCTGCACTCAGGGCAGTAGAGGGAGGCTCTCAGACCCTACTAGGAGTGGAGGTGAGGACCAAGCAGTCTCCTCACCCAGGGTACATGGACTTCAATAAATTTGGACATCTCTCGTTGTCCTTTCCGGGAGGACCTGGGAATGTATGGCCAGATGTGGGTCCCCTCATGTTTTTCTGTACCATATCAGGTATGTGAGTTCTTGACATGAGAGATTCTCAGGCCAGCAGAAGGGAGGGATTAGGCCCTATAAGGAGAAAGGTGAGGGCCCTGAGTGAGCACAGAGGGGATCCTCCACCCCAGTAGAGTGGGGACCTCACAGAGTCTGGCCAACCCTCCTGACAGTTCTGGGAATCCGTGGCTGCGTTTGCTGTCTGCACATTGGGGGCCCGTGGATTCCTCTCCCAGGAATCAGGAGCTCCAGGAACAAGGCAGTGAGGACTTGGTCTGAGGCAGTGTCCTCAGGTCACAGAGTAGAGGGGGCTCAGATAGTGCCAACGGTGAAGGTTTGCCTTGGATTCAAACCAAGGGCCCCACCTGCCCCAGAACACATGGACTCCAGAGCGCCTGGCCTCACCCTCAATACTTTCAGTCCTGCAGCCTCAGCATGCGCTGGCCGGATGTACCCTGAGGTGCCCTCTCACTTCCTCCTTCAGGTTCTGAGGGGACAGGCTGACCTGGAGGACCAGAGGCCCCCGGAGGAGCACTGAAGGAGAAGATCTGTAAGTAAGCCTTTGTTAGAGCCTCCAAGGTTCCATTCAGTACTCAGCTGAGGTCTCTCACATGCTCCCTCTCTCCCCAGGCCAGTGGGTCTCCATTGCCCAGCTCCTGCCCACACTCCCGCCTGTTGCCCTGACCAGAGTCATCATGCCTCTTGAGCAGAGGAGTCAGCACTGCAAGCCTGAAGAAGGCCTTGAGGCCCGAGGAGAGGCCCTGGGCCTGGTGGGTGCGCAGGCTCCTGCTACTGAGGAGCAGGAGGCTGCCTCCTCCTCTTCTACTCTAGTTGAAGTCACCCTGGGGGAGGTGCCTGCTGCCGAGTCACCAGATCCTCCCCAGAGTCCTCAGGGAGCCTCCAGCCTCCCCACTACCATGAACTACCCTCTCTGGAGCCAATCCTATGAGGACTCCAGCAACCAAGAAGAGGAGGGGCCAAGCACCTTCCCTGACCTGGAGTCCGAGTTCCAAGCAGCACTCAGTAGGAAGGTGGCCGAGTTGGTTCATTTTCTGCTCCTCAAGTATCGAGCCAGGGAGCCGGTCACAAAGGCAGAAATGCTGGGGAGTGTCGTCGGAAATTGGCAGTATTTCTTTCCTGTGATCTTCAGCAAAGCTTCCAGTTCCTTGCAGCTGGTCTTTGGCATCGAGCTGATGGAAGTGGACCCCATCGGCCACTTGTACATCTTTGCCACCTGCCTGGGCCTCTCCTACGATGGCCTGCTGGGTGACAATCAGATCATGCCCAAGGCAGGCCTCCTGATAATCGTCCTGGCCATAATCGCAAGAGAGGGCGACTGTGCCCCTGAGGAGAAAATCTGGGAGGAGCTGAGTGTGTTAGAGGTGTTTGAGGGGAGGGAAGACAGTATCTTGGGGGATCCCAAGAAGCTGCTCACCCAACATTTCGTGCAGGAAAACTACCTGGAGTACCGGCAGGTCCCCGGCAGTGATCCTGCATGTTATGAATTCCTGTGGGGTCCAAGGGCCCTCGTTGAAACCAGCTATGTGAAAGTCCTGCACCATATGGTAAAGATCAGTGGAGGACCTCACATTTCCTACCCACCCCTGCATGAGTGGGTTTTGAGAGAGGGGGAAGAGTGAGTCTGAGCACGAGTTGCAGCCAGGGCCAGTGGGAGGGGGTCTGGGCCAGTGCACCTTCCGGGGCCGCATCCCTTAGTTTCCACTGCCTCCTGTGACGTGAGGCCCATTCTTCACTCTTTGAAGCGAGCAGTCAGCATTCTTAGTAGTGGGTTTCTGTTCTGTTGGATGACTTTGAGATTATTCTTTGTTTCCTGTTGGAGTTGTTCAAATGTTCCTTTTAACGGATGGTTGAATGAGCGTCAGCATCCAGGTTTATGAATGACAGTAGTCACACATAGTGCTGTTTATATAGTTTAGGAGTAAGAGTCTTGTTTTTTACTCAAATTGGGAAATCCATTCCATTTTGTGAATTGTGACATAATAATAGCAGTGGTAAAAGTATTTGCTTAAAATTGTGAGCGAATTAGCAATAACATACATGAGATAACTCAAGAAATCAAAAGATAGTTGATTCTTGCCTTGTACCTCAATCTATTCTGTAAAATTAAACAAATATGCAAACCAGGATTTCCTTGACTTCTTTGAGAATGCAAGCGAAATTAAATCTGAATAAATAATTCTTCCTCTTCACTGGCTCGTTTCTTTTCCGTTCACTCAGCATCTGCTCTGTGGGAGGCCCTGGGTTAGTAGTGGGGATGCTAAGGTAAGCCAGACTCACGCCTACCCATAGGGCTGTAGAGCCTAGGACCTGCAGTCATATAATTAAGGTGGTGAGAAGTCCTGTAAGATGTAGAGGAAATGTAAGAGAGGGGTGAGGGTGTGGCGCTCCGGGTGAGAGTAGTGGAGTGTCAGTGCCCTGAGCTGGGGCATTTTGGGCTTTGGGAAACTTCAGTTCCTTCTGAAGGAGCTGACTCTAATGAAGTTGGGTGGGCCCAGAGCCAGATTCTCAGAGTGTGGGAGAAAAGCCTGGAATGGAAAGCAACTCTGAGCAGTTTCTTTCGAATGGGGGATGAACAGAGAGGAATCTCTACCTCAGGCAGGAATGGAAGGTGTCGTCTGCTTTTGTCCCACTGCTGTTGAACGCAGCCCAAGATCTAGGTGATGGACACCCATCATCTGCAAGGGTTTCCTGAGCGATAAGGCTGAATTTCCCAGGAAGGGTGGCCCAGAAGCCCCTGGCCAGGTGCTTTTCTGCCGGGCAGGGAGAGCCAGAGCTGACTCCATTAAAAAAGGCATTCCAACTAGGTTATCTCAAGTGCAATTTGACCAATTGTAAGCACGGGCTAGATTTTGGATGGTAACAAAATGGATGAAAATGGTGGTTTGGGTGGGAAAGCAGCTGGGAGAGAGAGAAGCAGTTGGTCTTTTGACGCAGATTGTAGGAGCTCCGAGCTGCACCTGGCTGGGCGAAACTCCTGCACACCCAAATTTTGAAGCGCGTTCTCTGAGAGGAAATACTTAACTGAATTTTATGGAAGAAGCTTCTGTTTGGGGCTAATTATTCCATGTCCTATTGAGCTGTATATTCTCTGGTAAGTCCTGGAGAACAACGACAGCAACAACAAAATCCCGGAGTGTTAGGGCCTCGGGTTAAAAAATATTGGAAATAACAGCCATCCGCCATTTGTTAAACTTCTAATTTATACCAGGCCCGGAGTCAGGTGCTTCACCTGCGTTGCATACACTCCAACTGTCCTACTAGACAGTCCTTATCACATCTGCTTACAGATGAAGAATCCAAGGCTCACAGGGTGTGTGAATTGGGATATAAAAACAGGGTATTTCCTGGGTATTTCCCAGGATCACGTGGCTAGTGAGGAACAGGGCAGAACCCGACCCCTGTTCTGAATTCCTTTAGAGCCCATGCTGTTCCCACTTCTCCCAGCCCGAGGCTGACCTCCTGACAGCGACTTCATTTTTCTTCTCAGCACTGCACCATGTCTCTCAGGTGACAAAAAGAAGGACCTCGAGGCCAGCGTAATAAAGCAGGCCTGGAGAACGCGACAATGAGAATCAAACACCATTTGGGGCTGGTGTGCACTGGGTTCCCTGAGAGCTGACACTGGCAAGATGTGTTCATTTCTGTCCAGCCCCAGCACTTTCAGAATTACAGCACATTTCCCCGGGTCACTTCCATGTGTCCTGTCTGACTCCGGAACCTATAGGGCCTGCTGATCAGCTCCTCACTGGTCCCCACAGAACAGCCCAGAATCCCCTGCTCACCTCCTGACAGGGAGCATTCCTTCTCACAGTAGAAGTCCTCTGGCTGTCCCGTCTCTCACCCAGGAAGCCATATGATATCAACAATCCTTTTGATATAAAAATTCACATGGGGACAGTGACGTTTAGACACCTGGTTACCACTCCGGTTGTCTTCAATACACTCTCTAATTGTTTTCTGAAAGGGCTGAGTAGTCTGTTTCTCCATATTATCTAAGGGTTCTTGTGTGATGTCACCCTGAAGTGAGAGGAATTTGGAACCACCTTGATACCTGAAATCAGACTTTCACAGGGCGTCCTTTTGGAATTCGCCTCTGAATACATGCACAGATAAATGGTCAAAGAGCAAACCATCCCTCATGAGTACTAGATGAGAAAAACCTTGGGAAATCCCAGTGGAACAAACATCTACTTACTGAGGCTGAATTCCTAAATTTCTGGAGTCCTCCAGGAGTCTAAAAACGATTCCTTGAAAACATGTCAACTCTAATGAAAGAGGAATAATTAAGCAGCCTTCTGTTTCTTGTCTGTTTACCTGCTCCACGGGAAAATACTGGCCTTTATTGTGCCTACAGGCACTCGAGAGGTGTTCAGGCTTGTGGAGGGTAGCAGAAATTCACAGGTTAACATTTTGACCGGGAATCAAATGGAGGAAAAATGCTCAGCCTACTAAGGATTAAAGGGTATTGCAAAGGGAAGCCTTCTCGCCGAGACTTCCAAGATTCTTGGGCAGTTAGTTGTGATCGTATATTTGAAAACATCAGTTACATATTTGACACTGGAAAAAGTTGGAGAATGTCACGGCAAATTTGGCCTTCTCAGAAACTCCTCCTAGAAATGAGAAGGGTAGTGTAATACCAAAGAATCACAGTTGTTTTTGTTGAGCACCTACTATGTAACAGTTTATGGGGGAGGGTATAGTACTCACACACATTTTGTCTCTGTCTCCTTCCTGGACACATGGGAACAGTAAAGTCCTTGCAGTTAGGATGGGTCATGTGACATTTCCTTTATACCAATATAGGAGCAGAAGCATTGTTTGTCACATCCAGGCATGTGGGAGCCAGTGTGCCATTTCCAAGCTTTCTCTCCGCTTTCACTAGCAAACATGGCAGCTTCATCTTGAGATGACGGAATCACAAGGTGGAAGCAGCTTGGATTCCTGGGTCCCGTGAGAGTGGAGAGCCCCTGGCAAACTGCATCAGAACTTATTTGCACATAAAATAAACTTGTGTTGTGGCAAGCCATTCGTGGTTGTTCTGTTGCAATGGCTAGCAGTTACTTAAACTGACATGGCTAGTATTTCTGTTTGTCAGGTTTAATTTTTTTTTATTTAAAATGTAGTATTGTACATATTCTTATTGCAAAACTTATAGAAATGTAGATAATTCACAATTTTCCCCTTTACAAATCTCCTCCACATTTAACAACGCCCACCACCCCCACCGCCCCCTCAGAGGTCACCACAATTAACGGTGTTGTATATTATTTTACTGCTGACTCTAGGCTTCTCACTGACAGATAAACTATAACAATATGTTGTTTTTATTTAATATACAAGAACAATGATATACATACTGATATTCTTTTATCACTTTATAAAATGGATGTAGGATCTTTCCACAACGGTAGATAGATAGATAGATAGATAGATCTTTCTCACTTTTGAAACCACTTTCTATAATTCTAAAGTAGACATGCACCACAATTAATTAAACTCTTTCTTCCTAGTGGACATATAAGTTGTTTCCCATTTGCTGTATGATAACTACAATAAAATCAACATCTCTGAATATGAATTTTTAGGCAAACATGGTTTTCTTATAAGAAGGATATATTAACATGGACACTGGGTTAAAGTGAAAGGGTGAAAATAGTTTAACATTTAAAATATTTCTAAAATGTTATTACAAAAGTGCTGTACCAATTCAAATTCTCATAAAAATCACAATTGATTTAAAATTCTGAAATGTGGACAGGACATTTCTTCTCTGCTTTGAGAAGGATTTGGTGAGACTGAAGAGGAGCCAGGTAATGAGAGCAGACAGGAGACCCTCAGCCCGTGAGGGAGGATCCAGGGAGGATCCTGGGGAGAGCCGTTGCTAGCGTCCATGAGAGAGACCACATGCGAAACCAAGTCCACAGAGCCCCAGGCAGGCTGTCACTCCGAGCTCTAAATCCAGACTTCAGGCCGGTGGGGTCAGGGGCCTGAGGGAGAGAAGGGGGAAGGGAGGAGGGAGGACAGGACAATGAATAGGAATAGAGTTGGGAAATCCCGGCAACATCATCACCAGCTGGAGGGGGCCCTGTGATCTGAGTGTTGGCTGAATGCACCAGGGCTGTGCTGGTCAACCTTCCCGCCCTCAGAATCCCCTTCCCTCTCTCAGGAAGAGCTTGGCTGACTCCCTGCGTCATTCTGGGCCAGCTACCTCTCTTGAACACTCCAGTGGTCCTTTGTACCTTCACCAGCGTCCCAGATGTGGGAACTGTCTTCATGCCTGCTGGGGGCTGGTGTTTTATCCCCCGGGGACCTTCTATAGAGGCTGGGCTATGTGAGTGGGTTGCTGACTGATGACCAACTGCCGAGACAGGCCAGGAATGCCCATGAGCAGTTGAAAGGGGCAGTGGGGCTGCATGGAGGAGAAATGGGAGGAGGAGTGCCCTGGGACTAGTCAGCTCAGACTCTGCAGATGAAGGATTGGCTGTGGACGTGCCTTGAAAATGTTCCAGTTGGCCACTGTGTCTCAGATAGCCTTCTGTGGCTTCTGAACCCTTGGCACAGAACGGGACAGGAGTCCTAGGGCAGTGACCGCTGGCGTATGTTGCCAGATGACAGTGTCTGGGGTAGGGGGCTGGACCAAGGTGTGTACGTGAGCAGGTTGTATGGCAAGGCATTGCAGGTGGCAGCTTTCCTTGTTAAACTGATGGGGACGTGTGGGGTCCAATACAGGAAGCATCCTGTTGGGAGCATCCTCACCTCCATGACAGTGTTTGGGCCTGGGGAGAAGGCGTCTGCAGTGACCCTCTCCGTGGTAGTTTCCACAGGGTTTCTGAACTCAACTGAGCACAGGTGAAGGAACTGTGGGTTTCTTCATGTAGGCAGGAGGCCCAGGAAGGGCAGACTCCATAATTTGAATCAAAGAATTCCCATGCCAGGTGATTTCATTCATTCCATGCACGTATTGATTCCTACAGAAAACTTTTATTCAATATATGCTGAGGAAACACCAAGTCAACAAAACAATAGAAAGTGGCAAGGCCCTTAATTCAGTCTGTAGGGAGTCGGGGGAGATGAAGAGGTGGTGTGAATCGCCCATCTGAGCCAGGGAAGCCAGGAAGGCAGAGCCAGACTTGGGGACTGGCAGTGTGCAAGAAAAGGAGCGACAGCCTGTGTCCAGGCCAGAAAGCTCTCCTTCTATTACACTATCGATCTGGTTTTCTTCCTGGATGCTGCCTGTGTGTGAAAGCAACTGCTGCTCTCTGTGCCTACCTGCCTCTGTTAGTAGGGAAAATGGTCATGGTCAGCGGATGCTCACTTCTGCTCACCTTGGATCACTTCTACTGAAGGGATGGTTTGACAACAAGAAGACAGGAAGAAACTTTTGGGGAGGATGAATATATTTTTCACCTTCACTGTGGTTGTGGTTTCATGGGACTAAACATTTCTCAAAACTCTTTGATTTGTTTCTCAGTACTTAGGAGAAAAAGTAAGCAGAAAACCAGGAAGGATATAGATGACCTGAAAAGCACCATTAACTACTCTGACTAAATAAAACAATAAGAAAAGCACCGCATTCAACAATAGCAGAATAAACAATCCTCTCAAGTGTGCATGAAATATCTCCCAAGATAGATGGTATTCTGGGCCATCAAACAAAGCTTACAAATTGAAAAGAATAGAAATAATAGATAGCCTCTTCTTAGGCCATAATATAATTAAACTCAAAACCAAACACCAAGATATCTGAAAAATGCCCAAATATTGGAAATTTTAAAATAAGCTCCTATATAACCTATGGGTCAAAGAGGGAGTCCCAGGAGAATTTTAAAAATACATTAAGTTGAATGAAAGTAAAAATGTACATACAAAAAGTGGGATTCTGCTAAAGTGTGTCCTTGAGGGAAATATATAGCATATTTTAAATGTTTATATTAGAAAATGAAATCTAAAATCAATAACCAAAAGTTTCACCCTAGGAAACCAAAGAACGAAGAGCAAGTTGAATTAGAGAAATTGTAGAGGATGCCCCCCTCCCTTCCCACACTCCCACCTCTTTCCCCTTACTCCCTACCCCTACCATTTGAGACACACAGACACACACATCATTTTGCAACATGTTCACTTTATTTTCATCACCATGGGGCACACTCTTTGGGGTGTAAAATGTACTCTACACCCTGTTGGCTATTTATCTGGGGTTAGACCTCTGGAGACTTTTCAGATAGACTTGAAGTCTCTGGCCTTGCCCGGGAATTACTGGCTGTCCGAAGAGAGACTGGAGAAGGTGGTGGTCTCCTTGCCCTTGTGGTCCCGCTATGGCTCATTTTGATTGAGTTCCTCGTTCGGCTGGTCAGAGTGGCTGGATAGTGTTGGCCCACTCCATTCCTCAGGTTTTTTTGAAGCGGCGGTCTTTTAGGGAGAGCCTTTTGTTCCTGGAACTTCCTTGATGGGTCCCTTTTCCCTTCCGGGTTGTCTTGGGAACCTAGAAGGAAACAGGGAGATCAAAGAAGGGCACTGGTTTGGGGAAGAGGATGGAGGAGGGGTGAGAACAGGGGCTTCATAGAGAAATGGTGCAGGCTGGGGTGGGGGTTGTGCCAGGGGAGGACAGGGTAGGAGTCAGAGCTTGGGTGGGCCGTTCACTTTGATAGGGCTTCTGGGCCAGGGTTGAGAGGATGCCTTCCACTTCCTCGCCTCTTTGGTGTTGGTGGGTGGTTGTTGGACAATGGGCTGGAGGCTCGTGGTTTCCTGGACATCTTCACCAGACCAGTGTCTCTCAACAGTCTACTCCAGTCCACCTGGTCTCTCCAAGCCTCCCCCAGGACAGTGAAGGCAGGCCAGCAGGCTAGAAACTCACAGCGCATTTTTATGTTAGTCTTGTGGTAGAATTCCTTTTCCAGGAAACCTTGGTCTTTTCTCTTAACACCTTCAACTAATTGGATGAGGCCCATCCACATTATGGAAGTTAAACTGCTTTACTTAAAATCAACTGATTGTAAATGTTGATCACATCTACAAAATACCTTCACAGCAACATCTAGACTACTGTTTGACCACACAGCTGAGCAGTATAGCCTAGACAAGTTGACACATAGTACTAGCCATTGCACATATCTTGCACCATACAGAAATGTAACTCAAAATGAACTACAGACTTTAAATGTCAAAATTACTTTTTTTTTTTCTAGGAGGAAACAAAAAAAAATTGTGTCACCTGAAGTTATGTCTTAAGTCAGCTCAGGCTGCCATAACAAAATGCCATTGAGTGAGTAGCTAAAACAACAGAAATTTATTTTTTTTCTCACAGTTTTGAAGTCTGGAAGTCCTAGATCAAGGACTGGCGGGGTTGGCTTCTGGTGATGGCCTTATTCGTGGCTTGTAGATGGCCCTTTATTAATCTGTCCATTCTTGGCCTTTCCTCTGTGCATGTGCAGAGAGAGAGAGAAAGAAAGAGAGAGAGAGAGAGAGAGAGAGAGAAAGAGAGAGAGAGAGAGAGAGAGAAAGGTCATGTAGGCACAAAAGTACTTTCTTCTGTCTCTTCTCCCTTCTTATAACCAAACTAATTCTATGGGATCAAGGTCCCACCCTTATGGCCTCTTTTAACATTAATCACTTCCCTAGAAGCCTCATCTCCAAATACAGACACCCTGGGGCTGAGGGCTTCAAAATATGAATTTGGTGGAGGACATAAGCATTAGCAAAGAATAGACACACAGATTAATAAAACAGAATAGAGCTCAGAAATAGACCTGCACGCATATAGTCAGGTGATTCACAACAAAGGCAATAATGGTGAAAGTACAGGTTTTCCAACAAAAGGTGTCGGAACAATTAGACACCTATACACAAATTATAATAACCTGGACATATCCTTACATATTCCATGAAAACTAACTCAAGATACATCATAGGTCTAATGAAAAATGCAAAAACAATACAACCTCTATAAGAAAACATAAGAGAAAATCCACATAACTTTGAGTTTGGTGATGAGTTTTTAAATTCAACACCAAAAGCATGATCAAGGAAAGAAAAATTTGCCAAGTTGATTTTATTAAAATAAAAATCTTATGCTCTTCAAAGGACAATGTTAAGAGAATGAAAACAGAAGCCACAGACTAGCAGAAAACATCTGCGGTACACATATGTGATAAAGAACTTGTCTCTACAATATATGCGAATTCTTAAAGCTCAATGATAGAAAAAATGAAAATAGTCAAAGATCTGAACACACACTACACAAAAGAAGATATACACATGGCAAATAAGCATAATAAAAGTACTGAGCACCCTTTGGCATTAGATAATTGTGTACTAAAATGGGATACCACTGCACACCTATCAGAATGTCCAAAATCCATAGAAAACCAAAACAAAGAATACAAGACCAAGAACAATTGCCAGCGAAGATGTGGAGCAACGGAAACTCTCCTTCATTGCTGGTAGAAATGCAAAATGGCACAGCCACTTTGGAAGGCAGTTTGGCGTTTTCTTAAAAAAATGAAAATAGACTTAGCACAAGATTCAGCAGCCATACTCAATCAATTTACCCAATTGATTTGAAAACTTATGTCTACATAAAAATTTGTATATGAATGTATACAATAGCTTATTTCATAATCACCAAAAATAGAAGCATCCAAAATGTATTTCATTTGGTGAATGGATATATATATATATATATATATATATATATATATATATATATAACCAGACATTGATACTACTCCTCAATGAAAAGGAATAAGTTCCAAGCCACACAAAGTTATACATGACTCTTCAGTTCATTATGCTAAGTGAAAGAAACCAGTCTAAAAAGGCTACATAGTATAAGATTCTATTTATATGACATTCTGGAAAATGCAAAATTATAAAGATGAAAAACCTATCAGTGGTGGCCATGGGGTTTATCCGACAAGCACAAGGGAATTTATCAGGGCAGTGAAACTGGTATGCATAATACTGCAATGGTGGTTCCGTGCTTGCTTTGGTCTGAATATTTGTGTTGCCACAAAATTCATCTGCTGAATTACCAAGGTGATGGTATTAGGCAGAAGGTGGGGTATTTGGAGAATGACTAGATCATGAGAGCAGAGTCCTCATGAATGGGATTAGTGTTTTTATAAAACAGACTCCACGGAGATCCCTTATCCCTTCTTGCATGTGAGGATCTAGGGAAAAGGCAGCTGTCTATGAACTAGGGAGCAGGACTCCACCAGACATGAAATCTGCCAGCACCTTGATCTTGGACTTCCCAACCTCCAGAATGTGAGAAATAAAGTTGCGTTGTCTATAAGCCACCCAGTCTATCACTATTTTTGTTATGGAAGCCCAAACGGACTAAGACAATGGCACGAGGCATTTGTCAAAACCCATAGATCTTTACAGCACAAAGAGTGAAGCTTAATGTATGTAAAGTTTAAAAGTAACTTAAGAGGTTGGAGAATCACGGGACGGCAGGTAGAATGTTCCACACACACACACACACACACACACACCTAGTTGTATAATAGATATATGAAACCACCACAATGAAGCAAGTGGGGGGAAAAGTTAACACATTTTGTACTCCATCAAAGAAATATATATTTTATAAAGTTTAAGTTGGCCAGATAAGTGTGTAACATAGTTGAACATTTGATAATCATTTATTTAATTTTTTAGATATGAAAACTATCGGCTTTTTGTTTTAAAAAAATCCTTATCTTTTAAAAATGCATATTAAGTTATTTAGAGATGAAATGGTCTAATGCCTTAGATTTACTCCACGTTATTCCAGCAGCTCATATGCAGGTAGGCGAGTGTTTAACTGGAACCAGATTTGCTGTGTATTTAAAGATGTTCATGCTCGGTATCAAGTATCCTGGGTTCATTATATTCGTTCCTGTTATTCTGTATGTGTGAAGGCTTTCCCTAATAAAACTTTTTTATCATAAATATGCCATTAAAAGTGAAATCCTAAATGAAACTGACCACTTTGTAGAAATAAAATAAATCAGTAACCAAACTGATCCAAAGAGGAAAAGAAAACTTTAACTATACAACAGAAACTGTACAATATTCAAAGCTCAAGCCACCCTCAAACATTCCAGGTTAGACAGCTTTGGAGGCCAATTTTACCAAATGATCAGGGAAAACTAACCACCGCCTTATATCAACTCTTCCAGAACATACAAAAGACTGACAATTGTTCAGTTCATTCTCCCAGGCTAGCCCTCCTGGATTTAAAAACCAGATGAGGACCACATACCTCCCCTGATGGAAAAAGAACACATCAAGTAAGCTCTCTTACACAGCAGTAAATATCCTACATAAATTAGTAGTACATTAAACGAATAAACAGGCTCTGCCCAAGGAAATAAAATATGATTTAACATTAGAAAAAACATCTGTTTCATTGTGATTCCTTACATACAAAATGGAAGAGAAAAAAATTTGATCCTGCCAACGGGTACAGAAAAAGCTTTTTAAATAAATTTAATATGAATTCATGGTAAAAAAGAAAATATTTAGGCAACCTATACTGAAAGAGAACTTCCATTTCCTAAAATCAACAGCAAACATACTTAAATGTCAAATGTTCGAAGAATTATCATTCAAGTCAGGAACGAGAAGTAGATGTAGCCTATTATCTCTACATTTGAAATCAGGATTGAGACACAAAGAGCTGTAAGTACCGAAATGAGTGAGTGGTATGAACATTGGAAAAACATGTAGTGTTTAGTGATAATACCATTATCGATCTTGAAAATTCAAAGGAAAAGGTATGCGGAATATTCAAGTGCATCGGCCTTCAGAACGAGGTATGCAACAGATTACTACAGCAAAATCAAAATCTTCACCTCACGAAAGCAATAACTAACTACAACAATTGATAGACAATATGCCACTTGCAATAGCAACAAAATCCAAGAATTACCTGAATAGAAGCCTAATAAAAATGTATAAGTTGTTTATAGAGGCAACTACCGAAGTATACTGACATATTCAGGAAAAAAGAGCTTGAAATCCATAGAGGAGTATAACATATTCATTCACGGGGAACACAACAGTGTAAAAATGTAAACTCAGCTTAAATTATTTACAATTTAGTGCCTTACCTGTAGCCGCCGACATTACAAGCAAATTTGGGCTGCTGTGCTCTGCTTCCCAAATCAACCCTGTAAATTTATAGAATGGAAACAGAAAGTAAAACACCAGTATCAGCAAGAAAATCTACACAACAAAACAGGGAAAGCCCAGAGTGAGACTGGAGACTGTGTTGAGCTGGTACTTGTGTGTGACACTTGCAGTGTCTGTTGGAGGGGGTTAGCGGCAGAGATGTTGGGGAGGTTTGTAGCCTGCCTAGACGGCAGATGAAAGAATGGGTAGAATAAAAGTTTTGAATTTTCCACTTCACTTCATTGCACAATCTGAGGCAGCCCCTGAAAACACGATGCCAAGAGCCCTAGGTAATAGCAGTGTCCACCAGGAAAATTGGGTTTGTTAAGGCAGCATGGCTCCAGAGTTCTGCTAATAACAACCTGAAACCAACAGAGTGGGAGAGGAATTATGTTTTTTAAAAAAATTCTTTCAACAGAACACAAAGACTGGAATGGAAGTAGACTAGGATATCAGAGTGAATCATGCATACTAAGGGTAGGTGTTAGTTCATAGAAATAAATATATATATTGCTACCTACATATATACTTAGAAGATATGTAAACCGTATTTCTTCAATTCAGAGAATAAATCATTTAGGACCAAAGGTTTGCCAAGTGTAGCTCTGGCTGGGGAGGAGCCCCCGTGGGAAGGTGTGCGTCTTCTCCCAGAGGTCACTATCATCGCGGGAGCTCCTGCCCTGCAGGGAGCACCTGGCCTGGCACCCGCAGCCATTCTCTACAAGGGGTGCAGATGCGCAGATGCGCAGATGCTCAGAGGTGACAGAAACAGAGCATCTCCCACCCATTCCTTCATCAAACAGCCAGGAGTGAGGAAGAGGACCCTCCTGAGTGAGGACTGAGGATCCACCCTCACCCACATAGTGGGACCACAGAATCCAGCTCAGCCCCTCTTGTCAGCCCTGGTACACACTGGCAATGATCTCACCCCGAGCACACCCCTCCCCCCAATGCCACTTCGGGCCGACTCAGAGTCAGAGACTTGGTCTGAGGGGAGCAAACACAATCGGCAGAGGATGGCGGTCCAGGCTCAGTCTGGCATCCAAGTCAGGACCTTGAGGGATGACCAAAGGCCCCTCCCACCCCCAACTCCCCCGACCCCACCAGGATCTACAGCCTCAGGATCCCCGTCCCAATCCCTACCCCTACACCAACACCATCTTCATGCTTACCCCCACCCCCCCATCCAGATCCCCATCCGGGCAGAATCCGGTTCCACCCTTGCCGTGAACCCAGGGAAGTCACGGGCCCGGATGTGACGCCACTGACTTGCGCATTGGAGGTCAGAGGACAGCGAGATTCTCGCCCTGAGCAACGGCCTGACGTCGGCGGAGGGAAGCAGGCGCAGGCTCCGTGAGGAGGCAAGGTAAGACGCCGAGGGAGGACTGAGGCGGGCCTCACCCCAGACAGAGGGCCCCCAATAATCCAGCGCTGCCTCTGCTGCCGGGCCTGGACCACCCTGCAGGGGAAGACTTCTCAGGCTGAGTCGCCACCACCTCACCCCGCCACCCCCCGCCGCTTTAACCGCAGGGAACTCTGGCGTAAGAGCTTTGTGTGACCAGGGCAGGGCTGGTTAGAAGTGCTCAGGGCCCAGACTCAGCCAGGAATCAAGGTCAGGACCCCAAGAGGGGACTGAGGGCAACCCACCCCCTACCCTCACTACCAATCCCATCCCCCAACACCAACCCCACCCCCATCCCTCAAACACCAACCCCACCCCCAAACCCCATTCCCATCTCCTCCCCCACCACCATCCTGGCAGAATCCGGGCTTTGCCCCTGCAATCAACCCACGGAAGCTCCGGGAATGGCGGCCAAGCACGCGGATCCTGACGTTCACATGTACGGCTAAGGGAGGGAAGGGGTTGGGTCTCGTGAGTATGGCCTTTGGGATGCAGAGGAAGGGCCCAGGCCCTCCTGGAAGACAGTGGAGTCCTTAGGGGACCCAGCATGCCAGGACAGGGGGCCCACTGTACCCCTGTCTCAAACTGAGCCACCTTTTCATTCAGCCGCGGGAATCCTAGGGATGCAGACCCACTTCAGCAGGGGGTTGGGGCCCAGCCCTGCGAGGAGTCAAGGGGAGGAAGAAGAGGGAGGACTGAGGGGACCTTGGAGTCCAGATCAGTGGCAACCTTGGGCTGGGGGATCCTGGGCACAGTGGCCGAATGTGCCCCGTGCTCATTGCACCTTCAGGGTGACAGAGAGTTGAGGGCTGTGGTCTGAGGGCTGGGACTTCAGGTCAGCAGAGGGAGGAATCCCAGGATCTGCCGGACCCAAGGTGTGCCCCCTTCATGAGGACTGGGGATACCCCCGGCCCAGAAAGAAGGGATGCCACAGAGTCTGGCCGTCCCTTGTTCTTAGCTCTGGGGGAACCTGATCAGGGATGGCCCTAAGTGACAATCTCATTTGTACCACAGGCAGGAGGTTGGGGAACCCTCAGGGAGATAAGGTGTTGGTGTAAAGAGGAGCTGTCTGCTCATTTCAGGGGGTTGGGGGTTGAGAAAGGGCAGTCCCTGGCAGGAGTAAAGATGAGTAACCCACAGGAGGCCATCATAACGTTCACCCTAGAACCAAAGGGGTCAGCCCTGGACAACGCACGTGGGGGTAACAGGATGTGGCCCCTCCTCACTTCTGTTTCCAGATCTCAGGGAGTTGATGACCTTGTTTTCAGAAGGTGACTCAGGTCAACACAGGGGCCCCCATCTGGTCGACAGATGCAGTGGTTCTAGGATCTGCCAAGCATCCAGGTGGAGAGCCTGAGGTAGGATTGAGGGTACTCCTGGGCCAGAATGCAGACAGGGGGCCCCATAGAAATCTGCCCTGCCCCTGCGGTTACTTCAGAGACCCTGGGCAGGGCTGTCAGCTGAAGTCCCTCCATTATCCTGGGATCTTTGATGTCAGGGAAGGGGAGGCCTTGGTCTGAAGGGGCTGGAGTCAGGTCAGTAGAGGGAGGGTCTCAGGCCCTGCCAGGAGTGGACGTGAGGACCAAGCGGACTCGTCACCCAGGACACCTGGACTCCAATGAATTTGGACATCTCTCGTTGTCCTTCGCGGGAGGACCTGGTCACGTATGGCCAGATGTGGGTCCCCTCATCTCCTTCTGTACCATATCAGGGATGTGAGTTCTTGACATGAGAGATTCTCAAGCCAGCAAAAGGGTGGGATTAGGCCCTACAAGGAGAAAGGTGAGGGCCCTGAGTGAGCACAGAGGGGACCCTCCACCCAAGTAGAGTGGGGACCTCACGGAGTCTGGCCAACCCTGCTGAGACTTCTGGGAATCCGTGGCTGTGCTTGCAGTCTGCACACTGAAGGCCCGTGCATTCCTCTCCCAGGAATCAGGAGCTCCAGGAACCAGGCAGTGAGGCCTTGGTCTGAGTCAGTGTCCTCAGGTCACAGAGCAGAGGGGACGCAGACAGTGCCAACACTGAAGGTTTGCCTGGAATGCACACCAAGGGCCCCACCCGCCCAGAACAAATGGGACTCCAGAGGGCCTGGCCTCACCCTCCCTATTCTCAGTCCTGCAGCCTGAGCATGTGCTGGCCGGCTGTACCCTGAGGTGCCCTCCCACTTCCTCCTTCAGGTTCTGAGGGGGACAGGCTGACAAGTAGGACCCGAGGCACTGGAGGAGCATTGAAGGAGAAGATCTGTAAGTAAGCCTTTGTCAGAGCCTCCAAGGTTCAGTTCAGTTCTCACCTAAGGCCTCACACACGCTCCTTCTCTCCCCAGGCCTGTGGGTCTTCATTGCCCAGCTCCTGCCCGCACTCCTGCCTGCTGCCCTGACCAGAGTCATCATGCCTCTTGAGCAGAGGAGTCAGCACTGCAAGCCTGAAGAAGGCCTTGAGGCCCGAGGAGAGGCCCTGGGCCTGGTGGGTGCGCAGGCTCCTGCTACTGAGGAGCAGCAGACCGCTTCTTCCTCTTCTACTCTAGTGGAAGTTACCCTGGGGGAGGTGCCTGCTGCCGACTCACCGAGTCCTCCCCACAGTCCTCAGGGAGCCTCCAGCTTCTCGACTACCATCAACTACACTCTTTGGAGACAATCCGATGAGGGCTCCAGCAACCAAGAAGAGGAGGGGCCAAGAATGTTTCCCGACCTGGAGTCCGAGTTCCAAGCAGCAATCAGTAGGAAGATGGTTGAGTTGGTTCATTTTCTGCTCCTCAAGTATCGAGCCAGGGAGCCGGTCACAAAGGCAGAAATGCTGGAGAGTGTCCTCAGAAATTGCCAGGACTTCTTTCCCGTGATCTTCAGCAAAGCCTCCGAGTACTTGCAGCTGGTCTTTGGCATCGAGGTGGTGGAAGTGGTCCCCATCAGCCACTTGTACATCCTTGTCACCTGCCTGGGCCTCTCCTACGATGGCCTGCTGGGCGACAATCAGGTCATGCCCAAGACAGGCCTCCTGATAATCGTCCTGGCCATAATCGCAATAGAGGGCGACTGTGCCCCTGAGGAGAAAATCTGGGAGGAGCTGAGTATGTTGGAGGTGTTTGAGGGGAGGGAGGACAGTGTCTTCGCACATCCCAGGAAGCTGCTCATGCAAGATCTGGTGCAGGAAAACTACCTGGAGTACCGGCAGGTGCCCGGCAGTGATCCTGCATGCTACGAGTTCCTGTGGGGTCCAAGGGCCCTCATTGAAACCAGCTATGTGAAAGTCCTGCACCATACACTAAAGATCGGTGGAGAACCTCACATTTCCTACCCACCCCTGCATGAACGGGCTTTGAGAGAGGGAGAAGAGTGAGTCTCAGCACATGTTGCAGCCAGGGCCAGTGGGAGGGGGTCTGGGCCAGTGCACCTTCCAGGGCCCCATCCATTAGCTTCCACTGCCTCGTGTGATATGAGGCCCATTCCTGCCTCTTTGAAGAGAGCAGTCAGCATTCTTAGCAGTGAGTTTCTGTTCTGTTGGATGACTTTGAGATTTATCTTTGTTTCCTGTTGGAATTGTTCAAATGTTCCTTTTAACAAATGGTTGGATGAACTTCAGCATCCAAGTTTATGAATGACAGTAGTCACACATAGTGCTGTTTATATAGTTTAGGGGTAAGAGTCCTGTTTTTTATTCAGATTGGGAAATCCATTCCATTTTGTGAGTTGTCACATAATAACAGCAGTGGAATATGTATTTGCCTATATTGTGAACGAATTAGCAGTAAAATACATGATACAAGGAACTCAAAAGATAGTTAATTCTTGCCTTATACCTCAGTCTATTATGTAAAATTAAAAATATGTGTATGTTTTTGCTTCTTTGAGAATGCAAAAGAAATTAAATCTGAATAAATAATTCTTCCTGTTCACTGGCTCATTTCTTTACCATTCACTCAGCATCTGCTCTGTGGAAGGCCCTGGTAGTAGTGGGGATTCTAAGGTAAGCCAGACTCACGTCTACCCATAGGGTCATAGAGTCTAGGAGCTGCAGTCATGTAATTAAGGTGGCGAGAAGTCCTCTAGGATGTAGTGGAAATGTAAGACAGGGGTGAGGGTGTGGGGTTCCAGGTGAGAGTGGTGAGTATAAATGCCCTGAGCTGGGGCAATTTGGGATCTGGGAACCTGCAGTTCCTTCTGAAGGAGCTGATTCTAATGATGCCCGGTGGGTCCAGGGCCAGATTCTCAGAGGGTGAGAGAAAAGCCTGGAATGGAATGCTACCCTGAGCAGTTTCTTTAGGATGGGGATGAAGAGAGAGGAATCTCCACCTGGGGCTGGAATGGAAGGTGTCCTGTGTTTTTGCCCAATGCTGTTGAACACAGCCCAAGATCTAGGTGATGGACACCCATCATCTGCAAGGGTTTCCTGAGCGATAAGGCTGAATTTCCCAGGAAGGGTGACCCAGAAGCCACTGGCCAGGTGCTTTTCTTTTTTTTTTTTTTTTTTTTTTTTTTTTTTTTTTTTTTTGAGACGGAGTCTCGCTCTGTCGCCCAGGCTGGAGTGCAGTGGCGGGATCTCGGCTCACTGCAAGCTCCGCCTCCCGGGTTCACGCCATTCTCCTGCCTCAGCCTCCCAAGTAGCTGGGACTACAGGCGCCCGCCACTACGCCCGGCTAATTTTTTTTGTATTTTTAGTAGAGACGGGGTTTCACCGTTTTAGCCGGGATGGTCTCGATCTCCTGACCTCGTGATCCGCCCGCCTCGGCCTCCCAAAGTGCTGGGATTACAGGCGTGAGCCACCGCGCCCGGCCGGCCAGGTGCTTTTCTGCCAGGCAGGGAGAGCCAGAGCTGACTCCATTAAAAAGGCATTCTAACTAGGTTATCTCAAGTGCAATTTGACCAATTGTAAGCACGGGCTAGATTCTGGATGGTAACAAAGTGGATGAATATAGTGGTTTGGATGGGAAAGCAGCTGGGAGAGAGGGAAGGAGTTGGTCTTTGACTCACATTCTAGGAGCTTTGAGCTGCACCTGGCTGGGCAAAACTCCCGCACAACCAAATTTTGAAGTGCATTCTCTAAGAGGAAATACTTAACTGAATTTTATGGAAGAAGCTTCTGTTTGGGGCTAATTATTCCATGTCCTATTGAGCTGTATGTTCTCTGATAAGTCCTGGAGAACAACGACAACAACAACAAAATCCCAGTGTTCGGGCCTCGGGTTAAAGCATATTGGAAATAACAGCCATCCGCCATTTGTGAAACTTCCAATTTACACCAGGCCCGGAGCCAGGTGGTTCACCTGCGTTGCATACACTCCGACTGTCCTACTAGACAGGCCTTATCACATCTGCTTACAGATGAAGAATCCAGGGCTTACAGAGCTTGTGAATTGGGATATAAGAACAGGGTATTTCCTGGGTATTTCTCAGTATCACGTGGCTAGTAAGGAACAGGGCTGGAACCAGACCCCTGGCATGAATTCCTTTAGAGCCCATGCTGTCCCCACTTCTCCGAGCCCGAGGCTGACCTCCTGACAGCGACTTCATTTTTCTTCTCAGCACTGCACCATGTCTCTCAGGTGACAAAAAGAAGGACCTTGAGGCCAGCATAATGAAGCAGGCCTGGAGAACGCGACAGTGAGAATCAAACACCATTTGGGGCTGGTGTGCGCTAGGTTCCTTGAGAGCTAACTCTGCCCAGTTGTGGGCATTTCTCTGCAGCCCCAGCACTTTCAGAATTACAGCACATTTCCCCGGGTCACTTCCATGTGTCCTGTCTGACTCTGGAACCTATAGGGCCTGCTGATCAGCTCCTCACTGATCCTCACAGAACAGCCCAGAATCCCCTGCTCACCTCCTGACAGGGAGCATTCCTTCTCATAGTAGAAGTCCTCTGGCTGTTCCGTCTCTCACCCAGGAAGCCATATGATGTCAAAAACCCTTTTGTATAAAAACTCACACGGGGACAGTGACGCTTAGACACTTGGTTACCACTCTGGTTGTCTTCAACACACTCTCTAATCGTTTTCTGAATGGGCTGAGGAGTCTGATTCGCCATATTATCTAAGGGTTCTTGTGTGATGTCACCCTGAAGTTAGAGGGATTTGGAACCACCTTGATACTTGAAATCGGACTTTCACAGGGCGTCCTTTTGGAATTCGCCTCTGAATACATGCACAGATAAATGATCAAAGAGCAAACCGTCTCTCATGAGTATTAGATGAGAAAAACCTTGGGAAACCCCAGTGGAACAAACATCTACTTACTGAGGCTGAATTCCTAAATTTCTGGAGTCCTCCAGGAGTTTAAAAACTATACCTTGAAAACACGTCAACTCTAATGAAAGAGGAATAATTAAGCAGCCTTCTGTTTCTTGTCTGTTTACCTGCTCCACAGGAAAATACTGGCCTTCAGCGTGCCTACCTCGACAGGTGTACAGGCGTGTGGAGGGTAGCAGAAATTCACAGGTTAACATTTTGACCAGGAATCAAATGGAGGAACAATTCTCAGCCTACTAAGGATTTAAAGGATATTACAAAGGAAAGCCTTCCTGCTGAGACTTTCAAGATTCTTGAACAGTTAGTTGTGATCGTATGTTTGAAAACATCAGTCACATATTTGACACTGGAAAACGCTGGAGAACTTCAAGGTAAATTTGGCCTTCTCAGAAACTCCTCCTAGAAATGAGAAGGGTAGTATAATACCAAATGATCATAGTTGCTTTTTGTTGAGCACCCACTATGTAACAGTTTATGGGGAAGGGTATAGTACTCACCCACATTTTGTCTCTGTCTCCTTCCTGGACACATGGGAACAGTAAAGTCCTTGCAGTTAGGATCATGTGACTTTTCCTTTACACCAATACAGGAGCAGAAGCATTGTTTGTCACATCCAGGCATTTGAGAGCCAGTGTGCCATTTCCATGCTTTCTCTCCGCTTTCAACAGCAAACATGGCAGCTTCATCTTGAGATGACGGAATCAAAAGGTGGAAGCAGCTTGGATCCCTGGGTCATGTGAGAGTGGAGAGCCCCTGCCAAACCGCATCAGAACTTATTTGCACATAAAATAAACTTCTGTTGTGTCAAGCCATTCATGGTTGTTCTGTTGCATCAGCTAGCAATTACTTAAACTGACACGGCTAGTATTTCTGTTGTCAGTATTAAATATTTTTTATTTAAAATGTAGTTTGGTATATATTCTTATTTCAAAAATGATAGAAATGTAGATAATTCACAATTTTTTTTTTACAAAGCTCCTCCACAGTTAACAACACCCCCCGCCCCCCCGCAGAGGTCACCACAATTAACAATGTTGTGTATTATTTTACTGCTGACTCTAGGCTTTTCACTGACAAACTATAACAATATATTATTTTTATTCAATATACAAGAACAATGACATACATACTGATCTGCTTTTATCACTTTATAAAATGCATGTAGGATCTTTCGACAACAGTATAGATGATAGATAGATAGATAGATAGATAGATAGATAGATAGATAGATAGATAGATAGAGACAGGTAGATCTTTCTCACTTTTGAAACCACTTTCTATAATTCTAAAGTAGACATGCACCAAAATTAATTAAACTCTTTCTTCCTAATGGACATATAAGTTGTTTCCCATTTGCTATATGATAAATAGAATAAAATAAACATCTCTGCCTATGAATTTTAGGCAAACATGGTTTTCTTATAAGAAGGCTATATTAACATGGACATTGGGTTAAAGTGAAAGGGTGAAAATAGTTTAACATTTAAAATATTTCTAAAATGTTATTACAAAAATGCTGTACCAATTCAAATTCTCATAAAAATCACAATTGATTTAAAATTCTGAAGTGTGGACAGGATATTTCTTCTCTGCTTTGAGAAGGATTTGGTGAGACTGAAGAGGAACCAGGGAAGGAGAGCAGACAGGAGACCCTCAGCCTGTGAGGGAGGATCCAGGGAGGATCCAGGAGAGAGCCATTGCTAGTGTCAATGACAGAGAGCACATGCAAAACCAAGTCCACTGAGACCCAGGCAGGCTGGCACTCCGAGCTCTAAATCCAGACTTCAGGCCGGTGGGGTCAGGAGCCTGAGGGAGAGAAGGGGGAAGGGAGGGGGCAGGACAGGACAATGAACAGGAATAGGCTTGGGAAATCCTGGCACCATCATCACCAGCTGGAGGAGGCCCTGTGATCTGAGTGGGTAAGCCTGTTGGCTGAATGCACCAGGGCTGTGCTGGTCAACCTTCCCGCCCTCAGAATCCCCTTCCCTCTCTCCGGAATAGTTTGGCTGGCTCCCTGCATCATTCTGGGCCAGCTACCTCTCTTGAACCCTCCAGTGGTCCTTTGCACCTTCGCCAGCATCCCAGATCTGGGAGAGGCCTTCATGCATGCTGGGGGCTGGTGTTTTATCCCCTGGGGGCCCTCCATAGAGGCTGGGCTATGTGAGTGTGTTGCTGACTGATGACCAACTGCCAAAACAGGCCAGGAATGCCCATGAGCAGTTGAAAGGGGCAGTGGGGCTGCATGGAGGAGAAATGGGAGGAAGAGTGCCCTGGGACTAGTCAGCTCAGACTCTGCAGATGAAGGATTGGCTGTGGACGTGCCTTGAAAATGAACCAGGTGGTGACTGCGTCTCAGATGGACTTCTGTGGCTTCTGAACTCTTGGCACACAAGAGGACTGGTGTCGTAGGGCAGTGATCGCTGGACTATGTTGCCAGCAGACACTGTCTGGCGTACAGGGCTGGCCCAAGGTGTGTACATGAGCAGGTTGTATGGCAAGGCGTTGGAGTTGGCAGCCTTCCTTGTTAAACTGATGGGGATGTGTGGGGTCCAATAAAGGAAACATCATGCACCATCCTGTTGGGAGCATCCTCACCTCCATGACGGTGTTTGGGCCTGGGGATAAGGCATCTGTAGTGACCCTCTCGTTGGTAGTTTCCACGGGTTTTTCTGAGCTCAAGTGAGCACAGGTGAAGGAACTGTGGGTTTCTTCATGCAGGTCGGAGGCCCAGGCCAGACCGACTCCATAATTTGAACCAAAGAATTCCCATGCCTGGTACTTTCATTCATTTCATGCACTTATTGATTCCTACAGAAAACTTTTATTCAATATATGCTGAGGAAACACCAAGTCAAAAAAACACAAGAAAGCAGCAGTGCCCTTAACTCAGTCTATGGGGGGCGTGAGGGAGATGGTGAGGTGGAAAGACACGGAAGAGTTTTAGGAAGTGAGGGACTGTGAACTGATGGAGAGAATCTCTATTGACCTGACTTCTGAGGTTGGTGATGTTGCTCCCTTAGTTGAGAGGGAGGGAGAAGGGTAAGAGTTGGTGGTGATTTGATGAAGAAGAGTGTGGAGGATGAGATCCGTGGGCAGCATTTTAAAGCTCAGTCTAGGATTTTTTTAGACATGGATGTTTTATGAAAATATATAGTGTTTTAACACCCACAGGTAGTGATGCACGTATTGATATGTCACATGCCTTTGCCACGTAATAAGATGAACGCAAGGTCTTCCCACAACTATACCTACAATCGACATCACTTTTGTAAGTATTCCCTAGAATTCTAAAGTAGGTGTGTGCCATAGTTAATTAAACCTTTCCTTTCCTGATAAACACATACGTTCATTCCCATTTGTTGCTATGATTAATAGAACTGAAATAAACATACGTTTTTGGACAGATATGCATGCTTTCCAATAAGAAAGATATAGTAACATGGACATTGGGTTAAAGTGGAAATGGTGTGAATAGTTTAACTTTTTAGAAGTATTGTCAAAATTTTATTCCAAAAATACTGTACCAATTAATTTTCTCACAAATTAATAGATGTGAATATCCTACACTCACAGAAAGATTTTGTGTTATCAATCTTCTCATTTTTGGTGAAAATTATGAATAAAATTTAGTGAAGAAATATTGTTTCACTGTTATTTTGTGTCTTTGCTTTCTCTAATTAGGTTAAGTACACACTAACTTAATCCCTCACCCATATGAAGTTGGATTTATACAGTGACATCCTGAGTAACATTTCTCTAGGCATGGTTTAACATTCTGAAATGGGGACAGGACATTTCTCTTGTGCTTTGAGAAGGAATTGGTCAGAATGAACAGGAGCCAGGGAAGGAGAGCAGACAGGACACCCTCAGCCCATGAGGGTAATCGGGAGGATCCAGCACTGATATGGTTTGATTGTTTCCCCACCCAAATCTCATCTTGAATTGTAGCTCCCATAACCTCCACGTGTCATGGGAGGGATCAGGTGGGAGGTAATTGAATCACAGGGATAAGTTTTTCCCATGCTGTTCTCGCCGTAGTAAATAAGTCTTAGGAGATCTGATGTTTTCACAAAGGGCAGTTCCCCTGCACATGCTCTCTTGCCTGCTGCCATGTGAGACATATCTTTGCTCCTCCTTCCCCTTCTGCCATGATTGTGAGGCCTTCCCAGCCATGTAGAACTGTCAGTCCATTAAACCTCTTTTTTTTATTATTATAAATTACCCAGTCTCAGGTATTTCTTCATAGCAGTATGAAAATGAACAAATACAAGGGGAGAGCAATGGCCAGAGTCCATGAGAGAGACCGTATATGAAACCAAGTCCACATTTCCCCAGGCAGGCTGGCATTCAGAGGTCTGAATCCAGAGTTCAGCCCGGTGGAGGCAGGGACCTGAGGGAGAGAAGGGGGAAGAGAGGAGGGAGGGCAGGACAATGAAAATGAATAGGCTTGGGAAATTCCAGCACCATCATCACTAGCTGGAGGGGGCCGTGTGATCTGAATGGGCAGGCCTGTTGATGGAATGCACCAGCGATGTGCTGGAGACCCAACCCTCCCTCAGAATCCCCTTCCCTCTCTCACGAAGAGTATGGCTGGCTCCCTGCATCATTCCGGGCAAGCTCCCTCTCTTGACCACTCCAGTGGTCGTGTGTACCATTTCCAGCGTCCCGGGGCAGGGAGTTGTCTCATGCCTGCTGGGGGCTGCTGTTTTATCCCCTGTGAACTCTCCATGGAGCCTGGACTATGTGAATGGGTTGCTAACTTTTGAGCAACAGCCAAGACAGGCCAGAAATATTTATGAGCAGTGGAAGGTGAGGGTGGCAGCAAGGCTGCATGGAGGGGAATTTGGAGGAAGAGTACCCTAGGACTAGTCAGCTCCGACTCTGCAGATGAAGGATTGGCTGTGGATGTGCAATGAGAATGATCCAGGTGGTGACCATGTCTCAGATGGACTTCTGAGGCTTCTGAGCTCTTGAGACAAAAGCAGACAGGTATCCTGGGGCTCTAATCACTGGCCTATGATGCCACCAGACAGTGCCTGGGGTAGAGGGCTGGTCCAAGGTGTGTATGTGAGCAGGTTGGATGGCAAGGCAGTGCAGATGGCACCCTTCCTTGTTAAACTGATGGGGACGTGTGGGGTCCAATACAGGAGGCATCATGCACAATACTGTTGGGAGCATCCTCACCTCCATGATAGTGTTTGGGCATGGGGAGTAGGCATCTGCAGTGATGCTCTCAATGATAGTTTCCAGGGGATTTCTAAACTCAAGTGAGCACAGGTGATGGAACTGTGGGTTTCTTCAGGTAGGCGGGAGGCCAAGGCAGGGGCAGCCTCCACGTTTTGAATCAATGAATTCCCATGCCTGGTAATTTCATTCATTCATGCACTTATTGATTCCTACAGAAAACTTTTATTGAATATATGCTGAGGAAACAGCAAGTCAACAAAACAAAAGAAAGTGGCAAGGCCCTTAATACTGTCTGTAAGGGGATGGGGGAGATGGAGAGGAGGTGTGAATCGCCCATCTGAGCCAGGGAGTCCAGGAAGGCAGAGCCAGACTTGGGGACAGGCAGTGTGCAACAAAGGGAGTGACAGCCTGTGTCCAGGCAAGCAAGCGCTCTTTCTATGACACTATCAATCTGGTTTTCCTCCTGGATGTTGCCTGTGTGTGAAAGCAACTGCTGTTCTCTGTGCCTGCCTGCCTCTGTTAATAGGGAAAATGCTAATGGTTGGCAGATGCTCACTTCTGCTCACCTTGGGTCACCTCTACTGAAGGGATGGTTTGACAGCAAAAGGACAGGAAGAAACTTTTGGGGAGTATGAATATATTTTGCACCTTCTATGTGGTTGTGATTTCATGGGACTACACATTTGTCAAAACTGTTTAAATTGTTTCTCAGTATTTAGGAGAAAAAGTAAGCAGAAAACCAGGAAGGATATAGATGACCTGAAAAGCACCATTAACTACTCTGACCAATTAAAATAATGAGAAAAGCACTGCATTCAACAACAGCAGAATAAACATTCCTCTCAAGTGTGCATGAAATATTTCCCAGGATAGATGGTATTCTGGGCCATCAAACAAAGCTTACAAATTGAAAAAAAAAATAGAAATAATAAAAAGCCTCTTCTTAGACCATAATATAATTAAATTCAAAACCAAACACCAAGATATCTGAAAAATGCCCAAATATTGGAAATTTTAAAATATGCTCCTAAATAACCTATGGGTCAAAGAGGGAGTCTCAGGAGAATTTTAAAAATACATTAAGTTGAATGAAAATAAAAATATACATACAAAAATGGGATTCAGCTAAAGTGTTTCCTTGAGGGAAATGTATAGCATATTTTATGTTTATATTAGAAAATGAAATCTAAAATCAATAACCAAAACTTTCACCCTAGGAATCCAAAGAACAAAGAGCAATTTGAATTTAAAGAAATTGTAGAGGATCCCCCCATCCCTTCCCACACTCCCACCTCTTCCCCTTAAGCCCTACCCCCAACCTTTGAGACACACAGACACACACATCATTTTACAACATGTTCATTTTATTTCCATCACCATGGGGCATACCCTTTGGGGTGTAAAACGTACTCTACACCCTGTTGGCTATTTATCTGGGGTTAGACTTCTGGAGACTTTTCAGATAGACTTGAAGTCTCTGGCCTTGCCTGGGAATTACTGGCTGCCCAAGGAAGCACTGGAGAAGGCGGTGGTCTCCTTGCCCTTGTGGTCCTGCTATGGCGCATTTTGATTGAGTTCCTCGTTCGGCTGGTCAGAGTGGCTGGATAGTGTTGGCCCACTCCATTCCTCAGGTTTTTTTGAAGCGGTGGTCTTTTAGGGAGAGCCTTTTGTTCCTGGAACTTCCTTGACGGGTCCCTTTTCCCTTCTGGGTTGTCTTGGGAACCTGGAAAGCCAACAGGGAGATCACAGGAGGGCACTGGTTTGGGGAAGAGGATGGAGGAGGGGTGAGAACAGGGGTTTCATAGAGAAATGGTACAGGCTGGGGTGGGGGTTGTGCCAGGGGAGGACAGGGTAGGAGTCAGAGCTTGGGTGGGCCATTCACTTTGATAGGGCTTCTGGGCCAGGGATGAGAGGATGCTTTCCCCTTCCTCGCCTCTTTGGTGTTGATGGGTGGTTGTTGGAAAATGGGCTGGAGGCTCGTGGTTTCCTGGACATCTTCACCAGACCAGTGTCTCTGTACAGTCTACTCCAGTCCACCTGGTCTCCCCGAGCTTCCCCCAGGACAGTGAAGGCAGGCCAGCAGGCTAGAAACTCACACGACATTATTATGTTAGTCTTGTGGTAGAATTCCTTTTCCAAGAAACCTTGGTCTTTTAACACCTTCAACTAATTGGATGAGGCCTATCCACATTATGGAAGTTAAATTGCTTTACTTAAAGTCAACTGATTGTAAATGTTGATCACATCTACAAAATACCTTCACAGCAACATCTAGACTACTGTTTGACCACACAGCTGAGCAGTATAGCCTAGACAAGTTGACACATAATACTAGCCACTGCAAATATCTTGCACCGTACAAAAATGTGACTCAAAATGAACCGCAATCTTAAATGCCAAAATTACGGGCTTTTTTTCTAGGAGGAAACAAAAAAAAATTGTGTTACCTGAGGTTATGTACTAGTCAGCTCAGGCTAGAATAACAAAATGTCATTGACTGAGTAGCTGGAACAACAGAAATTTATCTTTTTTCACAGTTTTGAAGTCTGGAAGTCCCAGATCAAGGACTGGCGGGGTTGGCTTCTGGTGATGGCCTTATTCCTGGCTTGTAGATGGCCCTTTCTCAATATGTCCATTCTTGGCCCTTCCTCTGTGCATGTGCAGAGAGCGCGCGAGAGAGACAGCGAGCTCATGCAGGCACAAAAATGCTATCTTCTGTCTCTTCTCCCTTCTTATAACCACACTAATTCTATGGGATCAAGGCCCCACCCTTATGACCTCTTTTAACATTAATCACTTCCTTAGAAGCCTCATCACCAAATACAGACACCCTGGGGCTGAGGGCTTCAAAATATGAATTTGGTGGAGGACATAAGCATTAGCAAAGAATAGACACATAGGTTAATAAAACAGAATAGAGCTCAGAAATAGACCTGCACACATATAGTCAGGTGATTCACAACAAAGGCAATAATGGTGAAAGTACAGGTTTTCCAACAAAAGGTGTCGGAACAATTAGACACCTATACACAAATTATAATAACCTGGACATATCCTTACATATTCCATGAAAACTAACTCAAGATACATCATAGGTCTAATGAAAAATGCAAAAACAATACAACCTCTATAAGAAAACATGAGAGAAATCCACATAACTTTGAGTTTGGAGATGAGTTTTTAAATTCAACACCAAAAGCATGATCAAGGAAAGAAAAATTTGCCAAGTTGATTTTATTAAAATAAACATCATGTGCTCTTCAAAAGACAATGTTAAGAGAATGAAAACAGAAGCCACAGACTAGCAGAAAACATCTGCGGTACACATATGTGATAAAGAACTTGTCTCTACAATATATGCGAATTCTTAAAGCTCAGCGATAGAAAAAAATGAAAATAGTCAAAGATCTGAACACACACTACACAAAAGAAGATACACACATGGCAAATAAGCATAATAAATGTACTAAGCGTGTTTTGTCATTAGATAATTGTGTACTAAAATGAGATACCACTACACACCTATTAGTATGTCCAAAATCCATAAAAAAGCAAAACAAAGCAAACAAAACCAAGACCAATTGCCAGGGAAGATGTGGAGCAACAGAAACTCTCATTCATAGCTCGTGGAAATGCAACATGGCACAGCCACTTTGGAAGACAATTTGGCGTTTTCTTAAAAAACGGAACATAGACTTAGCGTAAGATTCAGCAGCCATACTCAATCAATTTACCCAATTGATTTGAAAACTTATGTCTACATAAAAATTTGTATATGAATGTATACAATAGCTTATTTCACAATCACCAAAAATAGCAGCATCCAAAATGTATTTCATTTGGTGAATGGATTATATATATATATATATACACACATACACACACACACGCATTAAAATATGGTACACCCAATGATACTACTACTCCTCAATGAAAAGGAATAAGTTACAAGCTGCACAAAGTTTTACATGACTCTTCAGTTCATTATGCTAAACGAGTCTAAAGAAACGAGTCTAGAAAGAAACGAGTCTAAAAAGGCTACATAGTATACGAGTCTATTTATATGACATTCAGGAAAAGGCAAAATTATAAAGATGAAAAACCTATCAGTGGCAGCCAAGGGGGTTATCTGACAAGCACAGGGGATTTATCAGGGCAGTGAAACTAGTATGGTAATACTGTAATGGTGGTTCCGTGCTTGCTTTCATCTGAATATTTGTGTTCCCACAAACTTCATCTGCTGAAATACCAAGGTGATGGTATTAGGTAGAAGGTGGGGTATTTGGAGAATGACTAGTTCATGAGAGCAGAGACCTCATGAATGGGATCAGTGTTTTTATAAAATAGTCCCCACAGAGATCCCTTGCCCCTTCCTCCATGCGAGGACATAGGGAAAAGGCAGGTGTCTAGGAACTAGGGAGCAGGACTCCACCAGACATGAAATCTGCCAGCACCTTGATCTTGGACTTTCCAACCTCCAGAATGTGAGAAATAAAGTTGTGTTGTTTATAAGCCACCTAGTCTACACTATTTTTGTTATGGAAGCCCAAACGGACTAAGACAATGGCAAGAGGCATTTGTCAAAACCCATAGATCTTTACAGCACAAAGAGTGAAGCTTAATGTATGTAACGTCTAAAAGTAACTTAAGAGGTTGGAGAATCACAGAACAGAATGTAAAATGTTACACACACAGAAACCTAGCTGTATTATAGATGTATGAAACCACCACAGTGAAGCAAGTGGGGGGAAAGTTATCATATTTGGGTACTTCATCAAAGAAATATATATTTTATAAAGTATATGTCTTCCAGATAAGTTTGTAAAATAGTTGAACATTTGATAATCATTTATTTAATTTTTTAGATATCAATGCTATTGGGTTTTTGTTTAATAAAAAGTCCTTTTCCTTTAAAATGCATGTTAAATTGTTTAGAGATGAAATGGTCTAATGCCTTAGATTGGCTCCACGTTATTACAGAAGCTCATATGCAGGTAGGCAAGTGTCTAACTGGAACCAGCTTTGCTGTGTATTTAAAGTTGTTCATGCTCGGTATCAAGTATCCTGGGTTCATAATATTAGTTTCTGTTATTCTGTATGTGTGAAGGCTTTCCCTAATAAAACGTTTTTTATCACAAATATGCCATTAAAAGTGAAATCCTAAATGAAACTGACCACTTCATAGAAATAAAATACATCAGTAACCAAACTGATCCAAAAAGAAAAAGAAAACTTTAATTAAACTATACAAACTGAAACTGTACAATATTCAAAGCTCAAGCCACCCTCAAACATTCCAGGTTAGGCAGTTTTGGAGGCCAATTCTACCAAATGATCAGGGAAAACTAACCACCATCTTATATCAACTCTTCCAAAACATACAAAAGATTGACAATTGTTCAGTTCATTCTCCCAGACTAGCCCTCCTGGATTCAAAATCAGATGAGGACCACATCCCTCCCCGATGGAAAAAGAACACACCAAGTAAGCTCCCTTACCTAGCAGTAAATACCTTACCTAAATTAGTAGCATATTAAACAAATAGACAGGCTCTGCCCAAGGAAATAACATATGATTTAACATCAGAAAAAAAAAAACGGTTTCATTGTAATTCCTTACATACAAAATGGAGGAGAAAAAATTTGATCCTGTCAAAGGGTACAGAAAAAGCTTTTTAAAGACATTTAATGAGTTTATGGAAAAAAGAAAATATTTATTTAACCTATATTCAAAGAGCACTTCCATTTCCTAAAATCAACAGCAAACATACTTAAATGTCAAATGTTCGAAGAACTATCATTCCAGTCAGGAACGAGAAGTAGATGTAGCCTATTATCTCTACGTTTGAAATCAGGATTGAGACACAAAAAGCTATAAGTATCAAAATGAGTAAGTGGTATGAATATTGGAAAAACATGTAATGTTTAGTGATAATACCATTATCGATCTTGAAAATTCAAAGGAAAAGGCATGTGGAATATTCAAGTGCATCGGCCTTCAGAATGAGGTGTGCAACAGATTACTACAGCAAAATCAAAATCTTCACCTCACGAAAGCAATAACTAACTACAGCAATTAATAGACAATATGCCATTTGCAATAGCAATAAAATCCAAGAATTACCTGAATAGAAGTCTAATAAAAATGTATAAGCTGCTTATAGAGGCAACTATCGAAGTATACTGACATATTCAGGAAAAAATAGCTTGACATACATAGAGGAGTATAACATATTCATTCATGGGGAACACAACAGTGTAAAAATGTAAACTCAGCTTAAATTATTTACAATTTAGTGCCTTACCTGTAGTCGCCGACATTACAAGCAAATTTGGGCTGCTGTGCTCTGCTTCCCAAATCAACCCTGTAAATTTATAGAATGGAAACAGAAAGTAAAAAACCAGTATTAGCAAGAAAATCTACACAACAAAACAGGGCCAGTCCAGGGTGAGACTGAAGACCTTGTTGAGCTGGTACTTGTGTGTGACACTTGCCGTGTCGGTTAGAGGGGGTTAGCGGCAGGGATGTTGGGGAGGTTTGTAGCCTGCCTAGACGGCAGATAACAGAATGGGTAGAATAAAAGTTTTAAAATTTCCACTTCACTTCATTGCACAATCTGAGGCAGCTCCTGAAAACACGATGCCAAGAGCCCTAGGTAATAGCAGGACACCAGGAAAATTGGGTTTGTTAAGGCAGCATGGCTCCAGAGTTCTGCTAATAACAACCTGAAACCAACATAGTGGGAGAGGAATTACGTTTAAAAAAAAATTCCTTCAACAGAACACAAAGACTGGAATAGAAGTAGATTAGGATAGTAAGAGTGAACGATGCATACTAAGGGTAGGTGTTAGTTCGTAGAAATAAATATATATATCGCTACCTACATATATACTTGGAAGATATGTAAACCGTATTTCTTCAATTCAGTGAATAAATCATTTAGGACCAAAGGTTTGCCAAGTGTAGCTCTGGCTGGAGAGGAGCTCCCGTGGGAAAGTGTCTGTCTTCTTCCAGAGGTCAATACGATCGTGGGAGCTCCCGCCCTGCAGGGAGCTCCTGGCCTGGGACCCGCAGCCATTCTCTACAAGGGGTGCAGCTGTGCAAATGCACAGACGTTACAGAAACAGAGTATCTCCTGCCAATCACTTCATCCAACAGCCAGGAGTGAGGAAGAGGACCCTCTTGAGTGAGGACTGAGGGTCCACCCTCCCCCACGTAGTGGGACCACAGAATCCAGCTCAGTCCCTCTTGTCAGCCCTGGTAAACTTAGGCAATAATGTCACCCCGACCACACCCCTCCCCCAGTGCCACTTCAGGGGGACTCAGAGTCAGAGACTTGGTCTGAGGGGAGCAGACACAATCGGCAGAGGATGGCGGTCCAGGCTCAGCCTGGCATCCAAGTCAGGACCTTGAGGGATGACCAAAGGCCCCTCCCACCCCCAACTCCCCCAACCCCACCAGGATCTACAGCCTCAGGATCCCCGTCCCTATCCCTACCCCTACCCCCAACACCATCTTCATGCTTACCTCCACCTCCATCTGGATCCCCATCCAGGAAGAATCCAGTTCCACCCCTGCTGTGAACCCAGGGAAGTCACGGGGCCGGATGTGACGCCACTGACTTGCGCGTTGGAGGTCAGAGAACAGCGAGATTCTCGCCCTGAGCAACGGCCTGACGTCGGTGGAGGGAAGCAGGCGCAGGCTCCGTGAGGAGGCAAGGTAAGATGCCGAGGGAGGACTGAGGCGGGCCTCACCCCAGACAGAGGGCCCCCAATAATCCAGCGCTGCCTCTGCTGCCGGGCCTGGACCACCCTGCAGGGGAAGACTTCTCAGGCTGAGTCGCCACCACCTCACCCCGCCACCCCCCGCCGCTTTAACCGCAGGGAACTCTGGTGTAAGAGCTTTGTGTGACCAGGGCAGGGCTGGTTAGAAGTGCTCAGGGCCCAGACTCAGCCAGGAATCAAGGTCAGGACCCCAAGAGGGGACTGAGGGTAACCCCCCGCACCCCCACCACCATTCCCATCCCCCAACACCAACCCCACCCCCATCCCCCAACACCAAACCCACCACCATCGCTCAAACATCAACGGGACCCCCAAACCCCGATTCCCATCCCCACCCATCCTGGCAGAATCGGAGCTTTGCCCCTGCAATCAACCCACGGAAGCTCCGGGAATGGCGGCCAAGCACGCGGATCCTGACGTTCACATCTGTGGCTCAGGGAGGGAAGGGGGTCGGTATCGTGAGTACGGCCTTTGGGAAGCAGAGGATGGGCCCAAGCCCCTCCTGGAAGATAATGGAGTCCGGAGGGCTCCCAGCATGCCAGGACAGGGGCCCAAAGTACCCCTGTCTCAAACTGAGCCACCTTTTCATTCGGCCGCGGGAATCCTAGGGATACAGACCCACTTCAGCAGGGAGTTGGAGCCCAGCCCTGCGAGGAGTCAAGGGGAGGAAGAAGAGGGAGGACTGAGGGGACCTTGGAGTCCAGATCAGTGGCAACCTTGGGCTGGGGGATCCTGGGCACAGTGGCCTAATGTGCCCCATGCTCATTGCGACTTCAGGGTGACAGATTTGCGGGCTGTGGTCTGAGGAGTGGCACTTCAGGTCAGCAGAGGGAGGAATCCCAGGATCTGCCGGACCCAAGGTGTGCCCCCTTCATGAGGACTGGGGATACCCCCGGCCCAGAAAGAAGGGATGCCACAGAGTCTGGCTGTCCCTTATTCTTAGCTCTAAGGGAACCCGATCAGAGATAGCTCCAATTGGCAATGTCATTTGTACCACAGGCAAGAGGTTGGGGAACCCTCAGGGAGATAAGGTGTTGGTGTAAAGAGGAGCTGTCTGCTCATTTCAGGGGGTTGGGGGTTGAGGAAGGGCAGTCCCTGGCAGGAGTAAAGATGAGTAACCCACAGGAGGCCATCAGAAGCCTCACCCTAGAACCAAAGGGGTCAGCCCTGGACAACCTACCTGGGAGTGACAGGATGTGGCTCCTCCTCACTTCTGTTTCCAGATCTCAGGGAGTTGAGGACCTTTTCTTCAGAGGGTGACTCAGGTCAACACAGGGGCCCCCATGTAGTCGACAGACACAGTGGTCCTAAGATCTACCAAGCATCCAGGTGAGAAGCCTGAGGTAGGATTGAGGGTACCCCTGGGCCAGAACGCTGACAGAGGGCCCCACAGAAATCTGCCCTGCCCCTGCTATTCCCTCAGAGAGCCTGGGCAAGGCTACCTGCTGAGGTCCCTCCATTATCCTGGGATCTTTGATGTCAGGGAAAGGGAGGCCTTGGTCTGAAGGGGCTGCACTCAGGTCAGTAGAGGGAGGCTCTCAGGCCCTAGCAGGAGTAGTGGTGAGGACCAAGCAGGCTCGTCACCCAGGACACCTGGACTCCAATGAATTTGGACATCTCTCATTGTCCTTTGTGGGAGGATCTGGTTATGTATGGCCAGATGTTGGTCCCCTCATGTCCTTCTGTACCGTATCAGGGATGTGAATTCTTGCCATGAGAGTTTCTTTGGCCAGCAAAAGGGCGGTATTAGGCCCTGCAAGGAGAAAGGTGAGGGCCCTGAGTGAGCACAGAAGGGACCCTCCACCCCAGTAGAGTGGGGACCTCACAGAGTCTGGCCGACCCTCCTGACAATTTTGGGAATCTGTGGCTGTACTTGCAGTCTGCACCCTGAGGCCCATGGATTCCTCTCCCAGGAATCAGGAGTTCCAAGAACAAGGCAGTGAGGCCTTGGTCTGAGGCAGTGTCCTGAGGTCACAGAGCAGAGGGGGTGCAGACAGTGCCAACACTGAAGGTTTGCCTTGAATGCACACCAAGGGCCGCACCGGCCCCAGAACACATGGGACTCCAGAGCGCCTGGCCTCACCCTCCCTACTGTCATTCCTTCAGCCTCAGCATGTGCTGGCCGGCTGTACCCTGAGGCGCCCTCTCACTTGTTCCTTCAGGTTCTGAGGAGACAGGCCCCGGAGCAGCACTAGCTCCTGCCCACACTCCTACCTGCTGCCCTGACCAGAGTCATCATGCCACTTGAGCAGAGGAGTCAGCACTGCAAGCCTGAGGAAGGCCTTGAGGCCCAAGGAGAGGCCCTGGGCTTGGTGGGTGCGCAGGCTCCTGCTACTGAGGAGCAGGAGACTGCCTCCTCCTCCTCTACTCTAGTGGAAGTCACCCTGCGGGAGGTGCCTGCTGCCGAGTCACCAAGTCCTCCCCACAGTCCTCAGGGAGCCTCCACCCTCCCCACTACCATCAACTATACTCTCTGGAGTCAATCCGATGAGGGCTCCAGCAACGAAGAACAGGAAGGGCCAAGCACCTTTCCTGACCTGGAGACGAGCTTCCAAGTAGCACTCAGTAGGAAGATGGCTGAGTTGGTTCATTTTCTGCTCCTCAAGTATCGAGCCAGGGAGCCATTCACAAAGGCAGAAATGCTGGGGAGTGTCATCAGAAATTTCCAGGACTTCTTTCCTGTGATCTTCAGCAAAGCCTCCGAGTACTTGCAGCTGGTCTTTGGCATCGAGGTGGTGGAAGTGGTCCGCATCGGCCACTTGTACATCCTTGTCACCTGCCTGGGCCTCTCCTACGATGGCCTGCTGGGCGACAATCAGATCGTGCCCAAGACAGGCCTCCTGATAATCGTCCTGGCCATAATCGCAAAAGAGGGCGACTGTGCCCCTGAGGAGAAAATCTGGGAGGAGCTGAGTGTGTTGGAGGCATCTGATGGGAGGGAGGACAGTGTCTTTGCGCATCCCAGGAAGCTGCTCACCCAAGATTTGGTGCAGGAAAACTACCTGGAGTACCGGCAGGTCCCCGGCAGTGATCCTGCATGCTACGAGTTCCTGTGGGGTCCAAGGGCCCTCGTTGAAACCAGCTATGTGAAAGTCCTGCACCATTTGCTAAAGATCAGTGGAGGACCTCACATTTCCTACCCACCCCTGCATGAATGGGCTTTTAGAGAGGGGGAAGAGTGAGTCTGAGCACGAGTTGCAGCCAGGGCCAGTGGGAGGGGGTCTGGGCCAGTGCACCTTCCAAGGCCCCATCCATTAGTTTCCACTGCCTCGTGTGACATGAGGCCCATTCTTCACTCTTTGAAGAGAGCAGTCAGTATTGTTAGTAGTGAGTTTCTGTTCTATTGGATGACTTTGAGATTTATCTTTGTTTCCTGTTGGAATTGTTCAAATGTTCCTTTTAACGGATGGTTGAATGAACTTCAGCATCCAAGTTTATGAATGACAGTAGTCACACATAGTGCTGTTTATATAGTTTAGGAGTAAGAGTGTTGTTTTTTATTCAGATTGGGAAATCCATTCCATTTTGTGAATTGTGACAAATAACAGCAGTGGAAAAAGTATGTGCTTAGAATTGTGAAAGAATTAGCAGTAAAATACATGAGATAAAGACCTCAAGAAGTTAAAAGATACTTAATTCTTGCCTTATACCTCACTCTATTCTGTAAATTTGAAAAAAAAGCATGGATACCTGGATATCCTTGGCTTCTTTGAGAATTTAAGAGAAATTAAATCTGAATAAATAATTCTTCCTGTTCACTGGCTCATTTATTTTCCATTCACTCAGCATCTGCTCTGTGGAAGGCTCTGCGTTAGTAGTGCGGATGCTAAGGTAAGCAAGACTCACGCCTACCCGTAGGGTTGTAGAGCCTAGGACCTGCAGTCATATAATTAAGGTGGCAAGAAGTCCTGTAAGATGTAGAGGAAATATAAGAGAAGGGTGAGGGTGTGGGGTTCCAGGAGGGAGTTGTGGAGTGTAAATGCCCTGAGCTGGGGCATTTTGGACTTTGGGAACCTGCAGTTCCTTCTGAAGGAGCTGACTCTGATGAAGCTGGGTGGGTCCAGGGCCCACAGATTCTCAGTGAATGAGAGAAAAGCCTGGAATGGAAAGCAACTCTGAGTAGTTTATTTCGGATGGGGGATGAACAGAGAGGAATCTCCACCTGGGGCTGGAATAGAAGGTGTCCTGTGCTTTTGTCCCACTGCTATTGAACACAACCCAAGATCTAGGTGATGAAAATCTATCATCTGCAAGGGTTTCCTGAGCGATAAGGCTGAATTTCCCAGGAAGGGTGACCCAGAAGCCACTGGCCAGGTGCTTTTCTGCCAGGCAGGGAGAGCCAGAGCTGACTCCATTAAAAAGGCATTCTAACTAGGTTATCTCAAGTGCAATTTGACCAATTGTAGGCGTGGGCCAGATTTTGGATGGTAACAAAATGGATGAAAATAGTGGTTTGGGTGGGAAAGCAGCTGGGAGAGATGGAAGGAATTGGTCTTTGACACACATTCTAGGAGTTTTGGGTTGCACCTGGCTGGGCAAAACTCCCGCACACACAAAGTTTGAAGTGCATTCTCTAAGAGGAAATACTTAACTGAATTTTACAGGTGAAGCTTCCTTTTTGGCCTAATTATCCCATGTCCTGTTGAGCTGTATATTTTCTGATGACTCCTGGAGAACAACGACAACAACAACAAAGTCCCAGAGTGTTAATGCCTAGGCTTTAAAAATATTAGAAATAACAGCCATCGGCCATTTGTTAAACTTCTAATTTCCACCACGCCCGGAGTTTCTGTTGCTCCACATCTTCACTGGCAATTGGTCTTGGTTTTGTTTTGCTTTTTTATGGGTTTTAGACATTCTAATAGGTGTGTAGTAGTATCTCACTTTAGTACACAATTATCTAATGCCAAAGGACACTCAGTATTTTATTATGCTTATTTGCCCTGTGTGTATCTTCTTTTGTGTAGATTGTGTTCAGATCTTTGACTATTTTCATTTTTTCTATCATTGAGCTTTAAGAATTCGTATATATTGTAGAGACAAGTTCTTTATCACATATGTGTACCACAGATTTTTTCTGCTAGACTGTGGCTTGTTTTCATTCTCTTAACATTGTCCTTTGAAGAGCATAAAATTTTTATTTTAATAAAATCAACTTGGCAAATTTTTCTTTCCTTGATCATGCTTTTGGTGTTGAATTTAAAAACTCATCACCAAACTCAAAGTTATGTGGATTTTCTCTTACGTTTTCTTTTAGAGGTTGTATAGTTCTTGTATTTTTCATCAGGTCTATGATGTATTGAGTTAATTTTCGTGCAATATGTAAGGATATGTCTAGGTTATTATAATTTGTGTATAGGTGTCTAATTGTTCAGGCACCTTTTGTTGGAAAACCTGTACTTTCACCATTATTGCCTTTGTTGTGAATCACCTGACTATGTGTGTGCAGGTCTATTTCTGAGCTCTATTCTGTTTTATTAATCTATGTGTCTATTCTTTGCTAATGCTTATGTCCTCCACCAAATTCATATTTTGAAACCCTCAGCCCCAGGGTGTCAGTATTTGGAGATGAGGCTTCTAAGGTAGTAATTAATGTTAAAAGAGGCCATAAGGGTGGGAGCTTGATCCCACAGAATTAGTGTGATTGTAAGAAGGGAGAAGAAACAGAAGAAAGTACTTTTGTGCCTGCATGACTTCTCTCTCTCTCTCTCTTTCTTTCTCTCTCTCTCTTCCTCTCTCTCTCTCTGCACATACACAGAGGAAAGGCCAAGAACTGACAAATTAATAAAGGGCCATCTACAAGCCAGGAATAAGGCCATCACCAGAAGACAACCCCGCCAGTCCTTGATCTGGGACTTCCACATTTCAAAACTGAAAAAAGATAAATTTCTGTTGTTTCAGCTACTCAGTCAATGGCATTTTGTTATGGCAGCCTAAGCTAAGACATAACCTCAGGTAACACAATTTTTTTTGTTTTGTCCTAGAAAAAAAAAGCAATGTAATTGTGACATATAAAGTCTGTGGCTCATTTTGAGTTACATTTTTGTATGGTGCAAGATATGTGCAACGGCTAGTATTATGTGTCAACTTGTCTAGGCTATACTGCTCAGCTGTGTGGTCAAACAGTAGTCTAGATGTTGCTGTGAAGGTATTTTGTAGATGTGATCAACATTTACAATCAGTTGACTTTAAGTAAAGCAGTTTAACTTCCATAATGTGGATAGGCCTCATCCAATTAGTTGAAGGTGTTAAGAGAAAAGACCAAGGTTTCCTGGAAAAGGAATTCTACCACAAGACTAACATAAAAATGCGCTGTGAGTTTCTAGCCTGCTGGCCTGCCTTCACTGTCCTGGGGGAGGCATGGAGAGACCAGGTGGACTGGAGTAGACTGTTGAGAGACACTGGTCTGGTGAAGATGTCCAGGAAACCACGAGCCTCCAGCCCATTGTCCAACAACCACCCACCAACACCAAAGAGGTGAGGAAGTGGAAAGCATCCTCTCAACCCTAGCCCAGAAGCCCTATCAAAGTGAACGGCCCACCGAAGCTCTAAATCCTACCCTGTCCTCCCCTGGCACAACCCCCACCCCACCCTGCCCCATTTCTCTATGAAGCCCCTGTTCTCACCCCTTCTCCATCCTCTTCCCCAAACCAGTGCCCTTCTTTGATCTCCTGGTTGGTTTTCCAGGTTGCCAAGACAACCTGGAAGGGAACAGGGACCCGTCAAGGAAGTTCCAGGAACAAAAGGCTCTCCCTAAAAGACCACCGCTTCAAAAAAACCTGAGGAATGGAGTGGGCCAACACTATCCAGCCACTCCGACCAGCCAAAAGAACTCAATCAAAATGAGACACAGTAGGACCACAAGGGCAAGGAGACCACCACCTTCTCCAGTCTCTCTTTGGGCAGCCAGTAATTCCCGGGCAAGGCCAGAAACCTCAAGGCTACCTGAAAAGTCTCCAGAGGTCTAACCCCAGAAAAATAGCCAACAGGGTGTAGAGTACATTTTATACCCCAAAGGGTATACCCCATGGTGACGAAAATAAAATGAACATGTTGTAAAATGATGTGTGTGTCTGTGTGTCTCAAATGGTAGGGGTAGGGAGTAAGGGGGAAGAGGTGGGAGTGTGAGAAGGGAGGGAGGTGGGATCTTCTACAATTTCTTTAAATTCAACTTGCTCTTCGTTCTTTGGTTTCCTAGAGTGAAAGTTATGGTTATTGATTTTAGATTTCATTTTCTAATATAAACATTTAAAATATGCTATATATTTCCCTCAAGGACACACTTTAGCAGAATCCCACTTTTTGTATGTACATTTTTATTTTCATTCAACTTAATGTATTTTTAAAATTCTCCTGGGACTCCCTCTTTGACCCATAGGTTATATAGGAGCTTATTTTAAAATTTCCAATATTTGGGCATTTTTCAGATATCTTGGTGTTTGGTTTTGAGTTTTATTATATTATGGTCTAAGAAGAGGCTTTCTATTATTTCTATTCTTTTCAATTTGTAAGCTTTGTTTGATGGCCCAGAATACCATCTATCTTGGGAGATATTTCATGCACACTTGAGAGGATTGTTTATTCTGCTATTGTTGAATGCGGTGCTTTTCTTATTGTTTTATTTAGTCAGAGTAGTTAATGGTGCTTTTCAGGTCATCTATATCCTTCCTGGTTTTCTGCTTACTTTTTCTCCTAAGTACTGAGAAACAAATCAAAGAGTTTTGACAAACATTTAGTCCCATCAAACCACAACCACAGTGAAGGTGAAAAATATATTCATCCTCCCCAAAAGTTTCTTCCTGTCTGCTTGCTGTCAAACCATCTCTTCAGTAGAAGTGATCCAAGGTGAGCAGAAGTGAGCATCCGCTGACCATGACCATTTTCCCTGTTAACAAAGGCAGGTAGGCACAGAGAGCAGCAGTTGCTTTCAGACACAGGCAGTATCCAGGAGGAAAACCAGACCAATACTGTCATAGAAGGAGAGCTTTCTGGCCTGGACACAGGCTGTCTCTCCTTTTCTTGCACACTGCCAGTCCCCAAGTCTGGCTCTGCCTTCCTGGCCTCCCTGGCTCAGATGGGCGATTCACACCTCCTCACCATCTCCCCCCACTCCCTACAGACTGAATTAAGGGCTTTGCCACTTTCTATTGTTTTGTTGACTTGGTGTTTCCTCAGCATATATTGAATAAAAGTTTTCTGTAGGAATCAATAAGTGCATGGAATGAATGAAATCACCTGGCATGGGAATTCTTTGATTCAAATTATGGAGTCTGCCCTTCCTGGGCCTCCTGCCTACATGAAGAAACCCACAGTTCTTTCACTTGTGCTCACTTGAGTTCAGAAATTCCATGGCAACTACCACGGAGAGGGTCACTGCAGACACCTTCTCCCCAGGCTCAAACACTTATCATGGAGGTAAGGATGCTTCCAACAGGATGGTGCATGACGCTTCCTCTATTGGACCAAACACATCCCCATCAGTTTAACAGGGAAGGGTGCCAACTCCACTGCCTTGCCATCCAACCTGCTCACATACACAGCTTGGGCCAACCCTCTACCCCAGACCCTGTCTGGTGGCAACACAGGCCTGTGATCAGTGCCCCAGTACACCTGTCTCCTCATGTGCCGAGAGCTCAGAAGCCTCACGAGTCCATCTGAGACATGGTCACCACCTGGATCATTTTCATTGCATGTCCACAGCCAATCCTTCATCTACAGAGTAGGAGCTTACTAGTCTCAGGGCACTCTTCCTCCAACTTCCCCTCCATGCAGCCTTGCTGCCACCTTTTACACCTCATAAATATTCCTGGCCTGTCTTGGTTGTTGCTCATCAATCAGCAACCCATTCACATAGTCCAGGCTCTATGGAGGGTCCACAGGAGATAAAACAGGAGCCCGCAGCAGGCTTGAAGACAACTTCCTGCCCTGGGACGCTGGCAAAAGTGCACACGACCACTGGAGTGGTGGAGAGAGGGAGCTCACCCAGAATGATGCAGGGAGCCAGCCATACTCTTCGTGAGAGAGGGAAAGGGATTCTGAGGGAGGGTTGGGTGTCTAGCACAACCGTGGTGTATTCAGTCAACAGGCCTGCCCATTCAGATCACACGGCCCCCTCCAGCTGGTGACGATGGTGCTGGAATTTCCTAAGCCTATTCCTTTTCATTGTCCTGCCCTCCCTCCTCTCTTCCCCCTTCTCTCCCTCAGGTCCCTGCCCCCACCGGGCTGAACTCTGGATTCAGACCTCTGAATGCCAGCCTGCCTGGGGAAATGTGGACTTGGTTTCATATACGGTCTCTCTCATGGACTCTGGCCATTGCTCTCCCCTTGTATTTGTTCATTTTCATACTGCTATGAAGAAATACCTGAGACTGGGTAATTTATAATAATAAAAAAAAGAGGTTTAATGGACTGACAGTTCTACATGGCTGGGAAGGCCTCACAATCATGGCAGAAGGGGAAGGAGGAGCAAAGATATGTCTCACATGGCAGCAGGCAAGAGAGCATGTGCAGGGGAACTGCCCTTTGTGAAAACATCAGATCTCCTAAGACTTATTTACTACGGCGAGAACAGCATGGGAAAAACTTATCCCTGTGATTCAATTACCTCCCACCTGATCCCTCCCATGACACGTGGAGGTTATGGGAGCTACAATTCAAGATGAGATTTGGGTGGGGAAACAATCAAACCATATCAGTGCTGGATCCTCCCGATTACCCTCATGGGCTGAGGGTGTCCTGTCTGCTCTCCTTCCCTGGCTCCTGTTCATTCTGACCAATTCCTTCTCAAAGCACAAGAGAAATGTCCTGTCCCCATTTCAGAATGTTAAACCATGCCTAGAGAAATGTTACTCAGGATGTCACTGTATAAATCCAACTTCATATGGGTGAGGGATTAAGTTAGTGTGTACTTAACCTAATTAGAGAAAGCAAAGACACAAAATAACAGTGAAACAATATTTCTTCACTAAATTTTATTCATAATTTTCACCAAAAATGAGAAGATTGATAACACAAAATCTTTCTGTGAGTGTAGGATATTCACATCTATTAATTTGTGAGAAAATTAATTGGTACAGTATTTTTGGAATAAAATTTTGACAATACTTCTAAAAAGTTAAACTATTCACACCATTTCCACTTTAACCCAATGTCCATGTTACTATATCTTTCTTATTGGAAAGCATGCATATCTGTCCAAAAATGTATGTTTATTTCAGTTCTATTAATCATAGCAACAAATGGGAATGAACGTATGTGTTTATCAGGAAAGGAAAGGTTTAATTAACTATGGCACACACCTACTTTAGAATTCTAGGGAATACTTACAAAAGTGATGTCGATTGTAGGTATAGTTGTGGGAAGACCTTGCGTTCATCTTATTACGTGGCAAAGGCATGTGACATATCAATACGTGCATCACTACCTGTGGGTGTTAAAACACTATATATTTTCATAAAACATCCATGTCTAAAAAAATCCTAGACTGAGCTTTAAAATGCTGCCCACGGATCTCATCCTCCACACTCTTCTTCATCAAATCACCACCAACTCTTACCCTTCTCCCTCCCTCTCAACTAAGGGAGCAACGTCACCAACCTCAGAAGTCAGGTCAATAGAGATTCTCTCCATCAGTTCACAGTCCCTCACTTCCTAAAACTCTTCCGTGTCTTTCCACCTCACCATCTCCCTCACGCCCCCCATAGACTGAGTTAAGGGCACTGCTGCTTTCTTGTGTTTTTTTGACTTGGTGTTTCCTCAGCATATATTGAATAAAAGTTTTCTGTAGGAATCAATAAGTGCATGAAATGAATGAAAGTACCAGGCATGGGAATTCTTTGGTTCAAATTATGGAGTCGGTCTGGCCTGGGCCTCCGACCTGCATGAAGAAACCCACAGTTCCTTCACCTGTGCTCACTTGAGCTCAGAAAAACCCGTGGAAACTACCAACGAGAGGGTCACTACAGATGCCTTATCCCCAGGCCCAAACACCGTCATGGAGGTGAGGATGCTCCCAACAGGATGGTGCATGATGTTTCCTTTATTGGACCCCACACATCCCCATCAGTTTAACAAGGAAGGCTGCCAACTCCAACGCCTTGCCATACAACCTGCTCATGTACACACCTTGGGCCAGCCCTGTACGCCAGACAGTGTCTGCTGGCAACATAGTCCAGCGATCACTGCCCTACGACACCAGTCCTCTTGTGTGCCAAGAGTTCAGAAGCCACAGAAGTCCATCTGAGACGCAGTCACCACCTGGTTCATTTTCAAGGCACGTCCACAGCCAATCCTTCATCTGCAGAGTCTGAGCTGACTAGTCCCAGGGCACTCTTCCTCCCATTTCTCCTCCATGCAGCCCCACTGCCCCTTTCAACTGCTCATGGGCATTCCTGGCCTGTTTTGGCAGTTGGTCATCAGTCAGCAACACACTCACATAGCCCAGCCTCTATGGAGGGCCCCCAGGGGATAAAACACCAGCCCCCAGCATGCATGAAGGCCTCTCCCAGATCTGGGATGCTGGCGAAGGTGCAAAGGACCACTGGAGGGTTCAAGAGAGGTAGCTGGCCCAGAATGATGCAGGGAGCCAGCCAAACTATTCCGGAGAGAGGGAAGGGGATTCTGAGGGCGGGAAGGTTGACCAGCACAGCCCTGGTGCATTCAGCCAACAGGCTTACCCACTCAGATCACAGGGCCTCCTCCAGCTGGTGATGATGGTGCCAGGATTTCCCAAGCCTATTCCTGTTCATTGTCCTGTCCTGCCCCCTCCCTTCCCCCTTCTCTCCCTCAGGCTCCTGACCCCACCGGCCTGAAGTCTGGATTTAGAGCTCGGAGTGCCAGCCTGCCTGGGTCTCAGTGGACTTGGTTTTGCATGTGCTCTCTGTCATTGACACTAGCAATGGCTCTCTCCTGGATCCTCCCTGGATCCTCCCTCACAGGCTGAGGGTCTCCTGTCTGCTCTCCTTCCCTGGTTCCTCTTCAGTCTCACCAAATCCTTCTCAAAGCAGAGAAGAAATATCCTGTCCACACTTCAGAATTTTAAATCAATTGTGATTTTTATGAGAATTTGAATTGGTACAGCATTTTTGTAATAACATTTTAGAAATATTTTAAATGTTAAACTATTTTCACCCTTTCACTTTAACCCAATGTCCATGTTAATATAGCCTTCTTATAAGAAAACCATGTTTGCCTAAAATTCATAGGCAGAGATGTTTATTTTATTCTATTTATCATATAGCAAATGGGAAACAACTTATATGTCCATTAGGAAGAAAGAGTTTAATTAATTTTGGTGCATGTCTACTTTAGAATTATAGAAAGTGGTTTCAAAAGTGAGAAAGATCTACCTGTCTCTATCTATCTATCTATCTATCTATCTATCTATCTATCTATCTATCTATCATCTATACTGTTGTCGAAAGATCCTACATGCATTTTATAAAGTGATAAAAGCAGATCAGTATGTATGTCATTGTTCTTGTATATTGAATAAAAATAATATATTGTTATAGTTTGTCAGTGAAAAGCCTAGAGTCAGCAGTAAAATAATACACAACATTGTTAATTGTGGTGACCTCTGCGGGGGGGCGGGGGGTGTTGTTAACTGTGGAGGAGCTTTGTAAAAAAAAAATTGTGAATTATCTACATTTCTATCATTTTTGAAATAAGAATATATACCAAACTACATTTTAAATAAAAAATATTTAATACTGACAACAGAAATACTAGCCGTGTCAGTTTAAGTAATTGCTAGCTGATGCAACAGAACAACCATGAATGGCTTGACACAACAGAAGTTTATTTTATGTGCAAATAAGTTCTGATGCGGTTTGGCAGGGGCTCTCCACTCTCACATGACCCAGGGATCCAAGCTGCTTCCACCTTTTGATTCCGTCATCTCAAGATGAAGCTGCCATGTTTGCTGTTGAAAGCGGAGAGAAAGCATGGAAATGGCACACTGGCTCTCAAATGCCTGGATGTGACAAACAATGCTTCTGCTCCTGTATTGGTGTAAAGGAAAAGTCACATGATCCTAACTGCAAGGACTTTACTGTTCCCATGTGTCCAGGAAGGAGACAGAGACAAAATGTGGGTGAGTACTATACCCTTCCCCATAAACTGTTACATAGTGGGTGCTCAACAAAAAGCAACTATGATCATTTGGTATTATACTACCCTTCTCATTTCTAGGAGGAGTTTCTGAGAAGGCCAAATTTACCTTGAAGTTCTCCAGCGTTTTCCAGTGTCAAATATGTGACTGATGTTTTCAAACATACGATCACAACTAACTGTTCAAGAATCTTGAAAGTCTCAGCAGGAAGGCTTTCCTTTGTAATATCCTTTAAATCCTTAGTAGGCTGAGAATTGTTCCTCCATTTGATTCCCGGTCAAAATGTTAACCTGTGAATTTCTGCTACCCTCCACACGCCTGTACACCTGTCGAGGTAGGCACGCTGAAGGCCAGTATTTTCCTGTGGAGCAGGTAAACAGACAAGAAACAGAAGGCTGCTTAATTATTCCTCTTTCATTAGAGTTGACATGTTTTCAAGGTATAGTTTTTAAACTCCTGGAGGACTCCAGAAATTTAGGAATTCAGCCTCAGTAAGTAGATGTTTGTTCCACTGGGGTTTCCCAAGGTTTTTCTCATCTAATACTCATGAGAGACGGTTTGCTCTTTGATCATTTATCTGTGCATGTATTCAGAGGCGAATTCCAAAAGGACGCCCTGTGAAAGTCCGATTTCAAGTATCAAGGTGGTTCCAAATCCCTCTAACTTCAGGGTGACATCACACAAGAACCCTTAGATAATATGGCGAATCAGACTCCTCAGCCCATTCAGAAAACGATTAGAGAGTGTGTTGAAGACAACCAGAGTGGTAACCAAGTGTCTAAGCGTCACTGTCCCCGTGTGAGTTTTTATACAAAAGGGTTTTTGACATCATATGGCTTCCTGGGTGAGAGACGGAACAGCCAGAGGACTTCTACTATGAGAAGGAATGCTCCCTGTCAGGAGGTGAGCAGGGGATTCTGGGCTGTTCTGTGAGGATCAGTGAGGAGCTGATCAGCAGGCCCTATAGGTTCCAGAGTCAGACAGGACACATGGAAGTGACCCGGGGAAATGTGCTGTAATTCTGAAAGTGCTGGGGCTGCAGAGAAATGCCCACAACTGGGCAGAGTTAGCTCTCAAGGAACCTAGCGCACACCAGCCCCAAATGGTGTTTGATTCTCACTGTCGCGTTCTCCAGGCCTGCTTCATTATGCTGGCCTCAAGGTCCTTCTTTTTGTCACCTGAGAGACATGGTGCAGTGCTGAGAAGAAAAATGAAGTCGCTGTCAGGAGGTCAGCCTCGGGCTCGGAGAAGTGGGGACAGCATGGGCTCTAAAGGAATTCATGCCAGGGGTCTGGTTCCAGCCCTGTTCCTTACTAGCCACGTGATACTGAGAAATACCCAGGAAATACCCTGTTCTTATATCCCAATTCACAAGCTCTGTAAGCCCTGGATTCTTCATCTGTAAGCAGATGTGATAAGGCCTGTCTAGTAGGACAGTCGGAGTGTATGCAACGCAGGTGAACCACCTGGCTCCGGGCCTGGTGTAAATTGGAAGTTTCACAAATGGCGGATGGCTGTTATTTCCAATATGCTTTAACCCGAGGCCCGAACACTGGGATTTTGTTGTTGTTGTCGTTGTTCTCCAGGACTTATCAGAGAACATACAGCTCAATAGGACATGGAATAATTAGCCCCAAACAGAAGCTTCTTCCATAAAATTCAGTTAAGTATTTCCTCTTAGAGAATGCACTTCAAAATTTGGTTGTGCGGGAGTTTTGCCCAGCCAGGTGCAGCTCAAAGCTCCTAGAATGTGAGTCAAAGACCAACTCCTTCCCTCTCTCCCAGCTGCTTTCCCATCCAAACCACTATATTCATCCACTTTGTTACCATCCAGAATCTAGCCCGTGCTTACAATTGGTCAAATTGCACTTGAGATAACCTAGTTAGAATGCCTTTTTAATGGAGTCAGCTCTGGCTCTCCCTGCCTGGCAGAAAAGCACCTGGCCGGCCGGGCGCGGTGGCTCACGCCTGTAATCCCAGCACTTTGGGAGGCCGAGGCGGGCGGATCACGAGGTCAGGAGATCGAGACCATCCCGGCTAAAACGGTGAAACCCCGTCTCTACTAAAAATACAAAAAAAATTAGCCGGGCGTAGTGGCGGGCGCCTGTAGTCCCAGCTACTTGGGAGGCTGAGGCAGGAGAATGGCGTGAACCCGGGAGGCGGAGCTTGCAGTGAGCCGAGATCCCGCCACTGCACTCCAGCCTGGGCGACAGAGCGAGACTCCGTCTCAAAAAAAAAAAAAAAAAAAAAAAAAAAAAAAAAAAAAAAAAGAAAAGCACCTGGCCAGTGGCTTCTGGGTCACCCTTCCTGGGAAATTCAGCCTTATCGCTCAGGAAACCCTTGCAGATGATGGGTGTCCATCACCTAGATCTTGGGCTGTGTTCAACAGCATTGGGCAAAAACACAGGACACCTTCCATTCCAGCCCCAGGTGGAGATTCCTCTCTCTTCATCCCCATCCTAAAGAAACTGCTCAGGGTAGCATTCCATTCCAGGCTTTTCTCTCACCCTCTGAGAATCTGGCCCTGGACCCACCGGGCATCATTAGAATCAGCTCCTTCAGAAGGAACTGCAGGTTCCCAGATCCCAAATTGCCCCAGCTCAGGGCATTTATACTCACCACTCTCACCTGGAACCCCACACCCTCACCCCTGTCTTACATTTCCACTACATCCTAGAGGACTTCTCGCCACCTTAATTACATGACTGCAGCTCCTAGACTCTATGACCCTATGGGTAGACGTGAGTCTGGCTTACCTTAGAATCCCCACTACTACCAGGGCCTTCCACAGAGCAGATGCTGAGTGAATGGTAAAGAAATGAGCCAGTGAACAGGAAGAATTATTTATTCAGATTTAATTTCTTTTGCATTCTCAAAGAAGCAAAAACATACACATATTTTTAATTTTACATAATAGACTGAGGTATAAGGCAAGAATTAACTATCTTTTGAGTTCCTTGTATCATGTATTTTACTGCTAATTCGTTCACAATATAGGCAAATACATATTCCACTGCTGTTATTATGTGACAACTCACAAAATGGAATGGATTTCCCAATCTGAATAAAAAACAGGACTCTTACCCCTAAACTATATAAACAGCACTATGTGTGACTACTGTCATTCATAAACTTGGATGCTGAAGTTCATCCAACCATTTGTTAAAAGGAACATTTGAACAATTCCAACAGGAAACAAAGATAAATCTCAAAGTCATCCAACAGAACAGAAACTCACTGCTAAGAATGCTGACTGCTCTCTTCAAAGAGGCAGGAATGGGCCTCATATCACACGAGGCAGTGGAAGCTAATGGATGGGGCCCTGGAAGGTGCACTGGCCCAGACCCCCTCCCACTGGCCCTGGCTGCAACATGTGCTGAGACTCACTCTTCTCCCTCTCTCAAAGCCCGTTCATGCAGGGGTGGGTAGGAAATGTGAGGTTCTCCACCGATCTTTAGTGTATGGTGCAGGACTTTCACATAGCTGGTTTCAATGAGGGCCCTTGGACCCCACAGGAACTCGTAGCATGCAGGATCACTGCCGGGCACCTGCCGGTACTCCAGGTAGTTTTCCTGCACCAGATCTTGCATGAGCAGCTTCCTGGGATGTGCGAAGACACTGTCCTCCCTCCCCTCAAACACCTCCAACATACTCAGCTCCTCCCAGATTTTCTCCTCAGGGGCACAGTCGCCCTCTATTGCGATTATGGCCAGGACGATTATCAGGAGGCCTGTCTTGGGCATGACCTGATTGTCGCCCAGCAGGCCATCGTAGGAGAGGCCCAGGCAGGTGACAAGGATGTACAAGTGGCTGATGGGGACCACTTCCACCACCTCGATGCCAAAGACCAGCTGCAAGTACTCGGAGGCTTTGCTGAAGATCACGGGAAAGAAGTCCTGGCAATTTCTGAGGACACTCTCCAGCATTTCTGCCTTTGTGACCGGCTCCCTGGCTCGATACTTGAGGAGCAGAAAATGAACCAACTCAACCATCTTCCTACTGATTGCTGCTTGGAACTCGGACTCCAGGTCGGGAAACATTCTTGGCCCCTCCTCTTCTTGGTTGCTGGAGCCCTCATCGGATTGTCTCCAAAGAGTGTAGTTGATGGTAGTCGAGAAGCTGGAGGCTCCCTGAGGACTGTGGGGAGGACTCGGTGAGTCGGCAGCAGGCACCTCCCCCAGGGTAACTTCCACTAGAGTAGAAGAGGAAGAAGCGGTCTGCTGCTCCTCAGTAGCAGGAGCCTGCGCACCCACCAGGCCCAGGGCCTCTCCTCGGGCCTCAAGGCCTTCTTCAGGCTTGCAGTGCTGACTCCTCTGCTCAAGAGGCATGATGACTCTGGTCAGGGCAGCAGGCAGGAGTGCGGGCAGGAGCTGGGCAATGAAGACCCACAGGCCTGGGGAGAGAAGGAGCGTGTGTGAGGCCTTAGGTGAGAACTGAACTGAACCTTGGAGGCTCTGACAAAGGCTTACTTACAGATCTTCTCCTTCAATGCTCCTCCAGTGCCTCGGGTCCTACTTGTCAGCCTGTCCCCCTCAGAACCTGAAGGAGGAAGTGGGAGGGCACCTCAGGGTACAGCCGGCCAGCACATGCTCAGGCTGCAGGACTGAGAATAGGGAGGGTGAGGCCAGGCCCTCTGGAGTCCCATTTGTTCTGGGCGGGTGGGGCCCTTGGTGTGCATTCCAGGCAAACCTTCAGTGTTGGCACTGTCTGCGTCCCCTCTGCTCTGTGACCTGAGGACACTGACTCAGACCAAGGCCTCACTGCCTGGTTCCTGGAGCTCCTGATTCCTGGGAGAGGAATGCACGGGCCTTCAGTGTGCAGACTGCAAGCACAGCCACGGATTCCCAGAAGTCTCAGCAGGGTTGGCCAGACTCCGTGAGGTCCCCACTCTACTTGGGTGGAGGGTCCCCTCTGTGCTCACTCAGGGCCCTCACCTTTCTCCTTGTAGGGCCTAATCCCACCCTTTTGCTGGCTTGAGAATCTCTCATGTCAAGAACTCACATCCCTGATATGGTACAGAAGGAGATGAGGGGACCCACATCTGGCCATACGTGACCAGGTCCTCCCGCGAAGGACAACGAGAGATGTCCAAATTCATTGGAGTCCAGGTGTCCTGGGTGACGAGTCCGCTTGGTCCTCACGTCCACTCCTGGCAGGGCCTGAGACCCTCCCTCTACTGACCTGACTCCAGCCCCTTCAGACCAAGGCCTCCCCTTCCCTGACATCAAAGATCCCAGGATAATGGAGGGACTTCAGCTGACAGCCCTGCCCAGGGTCTCTGAAGTAACCGCAGGGGCAGGGCAGATTTCTATGGGGCCCCCTGTCTGCATTCTGGCCCAGGAGTACCCTCAATCCTACCTCAGGCTCTCCACCTGGATGCTTGGCAGATCCTAGAACCACTGCATCTGTCGACCAGATGGGGGCCCCTGTGTTGACCTGAGTCACCTTCTGAAAACAAGGTCATCAACTCCCTGAGATCTGGAAACAGAAGTGAGGAGGGGCCACATCCTGTTACCCCCACGTGCGTTGTCCAGGGCTGACCCCTTTGGTTCTAGGGTGAACGTTATGATGGCCTCCTGTGGGTTACTCATCTTTACTCCTGCCAGGGACTGCCCTTTCTCAACCCCCAACCCCCTGAAATGAGCAGACAGCTCCTCTTTACACCAACACCTTATCTCCCTGAGGGTTCCCCAACCTCCTGCCTGTGGTACAAATGAGATTGTCACTTAGGGCCATCCCTGATCAGGTTCCCCCAGAGCTAAGAACAAGGGACGGCCAGACTCTGTGGCATCCCTTCTTTCTGGGCCGGGGGTATCCCCAGTCCTCATGAAGGGGGCACACCTTGGGTCCGGCAGATCCTGGGATTCCTCCCTCTGCTGACCTGAAGTCCCAGCCCTCAGACCACAGCCCTCAACTCTCTGTCACCCTGAAGGTGCAATGAGCACGGGGCACATTCGGCCACTGTGCCCAGGATCCCCCAGCCCAAGGTTGCCACTGATCTGGACTCCAAGGTCCCCTCAGTCCTCCCTCTTCTTCCTCCCCTTGACTCCTCGCAGGGCTGGGCCCCAACCCCCTGCTGAAGTGGGTCTGCATCCCTAGGATTCCCGCGGCTGAATGAAAAGGTGGCTCAGTTTGAGACAGGGGTACAGTGGGCCCCCTGTCCTGGCATGCTGGGTCCCCTAAGGACTCCACTGTCTTCCAGGAGGGCCTGGGCCCTTCCTCTGCATCCCAAAGGCCATACTCACGAGACCCAACCCCTTCCCTCCCTTAGCCGTACATGTGAACGTCAGGATCCGCGTGCTTGGCCGCCATTCCCGGAGCTTCCGTGGGTTGATTGCAGGGGCAAAGCCCGGATTCTGCCAGGATGGTGGTGGGGGAGGAGATGGGAATGGGGTTTGGGGGTGGGGTTGGTGTTTGAGGGATGGGGGTGGGGTTGGTGTTGGGGGATGGGATTGGTAGTGAGGGTAGGGGGTGGGTTGCCCTCAGTCCCCTCTTGGGGTCCTGACCTTGATTCCTGGCTGAGTCTGGGCCCTGAGCACTTCTAACCAGCCCTGCCCTGGTCACACAAAGCTCTTACGCCAGAGTTCCCTGCGGTTAAAGCGGCGGGGGGTGGCGGGGTGAGGTGGTGGCGACTCAGCCTGAGAAGTCTTCCCCTGCAGGGTGGTCCAGGCCCGGCAGCAGAGGCAGCGCTGGATTATTGGGGGCCCTCTGTCTGGGGTGAGGCCCGCCTCAGTCCTCCCTCGGCGTCTTACCTTGCCTCCTCACGGAGCCTGCGCCTGCTTCCCTCCGCCGACGTCAGGCCGTTGCTCAGGGCGAGAATCTCGCTGTCCTCTGACCTCCAATGCGCAAGTCAGTGGCGTCACATCCGGGCCCGTGACTTCCCTGGGTTCACGGCAAGGGTGGAACCGGATTCTGCCCGGATGGGGATCTGGATGGGGGGGTGGGGGTAAGCATGAAGATGGTGTTGGTGTAGGGGTAGGGATTGGGACGGGGATCCTGAGGCTGTAGATCCTGGTGGGGTCGGGGGAGTTGGGGGTGGGAGGGGCCTTTGGTCATCCCTCAAGGTCCTGACTTGGATGCCAGACTGAGCCTGGACCGCCATCCTCTGCCGATTGTGTTTGCTCCCCTCAGACCAAGTCTCTGACTCTGAGTCGGCCCGAAGTGGCATTGGGGGGAGGGGTGTGCTCGGGGTGAGATCATTGCCAGTGTGTACCAGGGCTGACAAGAGGGGCTGAGCTGGATTCTGTGGTCCCACTATGTGGGTGAGGGTGGATCCTCAGTCCTCACTCAGGAGGGTCCTCTTCCTCACTCCTGGCTGTTTGATGAAGGAATGGGTGGGAGATGCTCTGTTTCTGTCACCTCTGAGCATCTGCGCATCTGCGCATCTGCACCCCTTGTAGAGAATGGCTGCGGGTGCCAGGCCAGGTGCTCCCTGCAGGGCAGGAGCTCCCGCGATGATAGTGACCTCTGGGAGAAGACGCACACCTTCCCACGGGGGCTCCTCCCCAGCCAGAGCTACACTTGGCAAACCTTTGGTCCTAAATGATTTATTCTCTGAATTGAAGAAATACGGTTTACATATCTTCTAAGTATATATGTAGGTAGCAATATATATATTTATTTCTATGAACTAACACCTACCCTTAGTATGCATGATTCACTCTGATATCCTAGTCTACTTCCATTCCAGTCTTTGTGTTCTGTTGAAAGAATTTTTTTAAAAAACATAATTCCTCTCCCACTCTGTTGGTTTCAGGTTGTTATTAGCAGAACTCTGGAGCCATGCTGCCTTAACAAACCCAATTTTCCTGGTGGACACTGCTATTACCTAGGGCTCTTGGCATCGTGTTTTCAGGGGCTGCCTCAGATTGTGCAATGAAGTGAAGTGGAAAATTCAAAACTTTTATTCTACCCATTCTTTCATCTGCCGTCTAGGCAGGCTACAAACCTCCCCAACATCTCTGCCGCTAACCCCCTCCAACAGACACTGCAAGTGTCACACACAAGTACCAGCTCAACACAGTCTCCAGTCTCACTCTGGGCTTTCCCTGTTTTGTTGTGTAGATTTTCTTGCTGATACTGGTGTTTTACTTTCTGTTTCCATTCTATAAATTTACAGGGTTGATTTGGGAAGCAGAGCACAGCAGCCCAAATTTGCTTGTAATGTCGGCGGCTACAGGTAAGGCACTAAATTGTAAATAATTTAAGCTGAGTTTACATTTTTACACTGTTGTGTTCCCCGTGAATGAATATGTTATACTCCTCTATGGATTTCAAGCTCTTTTTTCCTGAATATGTCAGTATACTTCGGTAGTTGCCTCTATAAACAACTTATACATTTTTATTAGGCTTCTATTCAGGTAATTCTTGGATTTTGTTGCTATTGCAAGTGGCATATTGTCTATCAATTGTTGTAGTTAGTTATTGCTTTCGTGAGGTGAAGATTTTGATTTTGCTGTAGTAATCTGTTGCACACCTCGTTCTGAAGGCCGATGCACTTGAATATTCCGCATACCTTTTCCTTTGAATTTTCAAGATCGATAATGGTATTATCACTAAACACTACATGTTTTTCCAATGTTCATACCACTCACTCATTTCGGTACTTACAGCTCTTTGTGTCTCAATCCTGATTTCAAATGTAGAGATAATAGGCTACATCTACTTCTCGTTCCTGACTTGAATGATAATTCTTCGAACATTTGACATTTAAGTATGTTTGCTGTTGATTTTAGGAAATGGAAGTTCTCTTTCAGTATAGGTTGCCTAAATATTTTCTTTTTTACCATGAATTCATATTAAATTTATTTAAAAAGCTTTTTCTGTACCCGTTGGCAGGATCAAATTTTTTTCTCTTCCATTTTGTATGTAAGGAATCACAATGAAACAGATGTTTTTTCTAATGTTAAATCATATTTTATTTCCTTGGGCAGAGCCTGTTTATTCGTTTAATGTACTACTAATTTATGTAGGATATTTACTGCTGTGTAAGAGAGCTTACTTGATGTGTTCTTTTTCCATCAGGGGAGGTATGTGGTCCTCATCTGGTTTTTAAATCCAGGAGGGCTAGCCTGGGAGAATGAACTGAACAATTGTCAGTCTTTTGTATGTTCTGGAAGAGTTGATATAAGGCGGTGGTTAGTTTTCCCTGATCATTTGGTAAAATTGGCCTCCAAAGCTGTCTAACCTGGAATGTTTGAGGGTGGCTTGAGCTTTGAATATTGTACAGTTTCTGTTGTATAGTTAAAGTTTTCTTTTCCTCTTTGGATCAGTTTGGTTACTGATTTATTTTATTTCTACAAAGTGGTCAGTTTCATTTAGGATTTCACTTTTAATGGCATATTTATGATAAAAAAGTTTTATTAGGGAAAGCCTTCACACATACAGAATAACAGGAACGAATATAATGAACCCAGGATACTTGATACCGAGCATGAACATCTTTAAATACACAGCAAATCTGGTTCCAGTTAAACACTCGCCTACCTGCATATGAGCTGCTGGAATAACGTGGAGTAAATCTAAGGCATTAGACCATTTCATCTCTAAATAACTTAATATGCATTTTTAAAAGATAAGGATTTTTTTAAAACAAAAAGCCGATAGTTTTCATATCTAAAAAATTAAATAAATGATTATCAAATGTTCAACTATGTTACACACTTATCTGGCCAACTTAAACTTTATAAAATATATATTTCTTTGATGGAGTACAAAATGTGTTAACTTTTCCCCCCACTTGCTTCATTGTGGTGGTTTCATATATCTATTATACAACTAGGTGTGTGTGTGTGTGTGTGTGTGTGTGGAACATTCTACCTGCCGTCCCGTGATTCTCCAACCTCTTAAGTTACTTTTAAACTTTACATACATTAAGCTTCACTCTTTGTGCTGTAAAGATCTATGGGTTTTGACAAATGCCTCGTGCCATTGTCTTAGTCCGTTTGGGCTTCCATAACAAAAATAGTGATAGACTGGGTGGCTTATAGACAACGCAACTTTATTTCTCACATTCTGGAGGTTGGGAAGTCCAAGATCAAGGTGCTGGCAGATTTCATGTCTGGTGGAGTCCTGCTCCCTAGTTCATAGACAGCTGCCTTTTCCCTAGATCCTCACATGCAAGAAGGGATAAGGGATCTCCGTGGAGTCTGTTTTATAAAAACACTAATCCCATTCATGAGGACTCTGCTCTCATGATCTAGTCATTCTCCAAATACCCCACCTTCTGCCTAATACCATCACCTTGGTAATTCAGCAGATGAATTTTGTGGCAACACAAATATTCAGACCAAAGCAAGCACGGAACCACCATTGCAGTATTATGCATACCAGTTTCACTGCCCTGATAAATTCCCTTGTGCTTGTCGGATAAACCCCATGGCCACCACTGATAGGTTTTTCATCTTTATAATTTTGCATTTTCCAGAATGTCATATAAATAGAATCTTATACTATGTAGCCTTTTTAGACTGGTTTCTTTCACTTAGCATAATGAACTGAAGAGTCATGTATAACTTTGTGTGGCTTGGAACTTATTCCTTTTCATTGAGGAGTAGTATCAATGTCTGGTTATATATATATATATATATGTATATATATATATATCCATTCACCAAATGAAATACATTTTGGATGCTTCTATTTTTGGTGATTATGAAATAAGCTATTGTATACATTCATATACAAATTTTTATGTAGACATAAGTTTTCAAATCAATTGGGTAAATTGATTGAGTATGGCTGCTGAATCTTGTGCTAAGTCTATTTTCATTTTTTTAAGAAAACGCCAAACTGCCTTCCAAAGTGGCTGTGCCATTTTGCATTTCTACCAGCAATGAAGGAGAGTTTCCGTTGCTCCACATCTTCGCTGGCAATTGTTCTTGGTCTTGTATTCTTTGTTTTGGTTTTCTATGGATTTTGGACATTCTGATAGGTGTGCAGTGGTATCCCATTTTAGTACACAATTATCTAATGCCAAAGGGTGCTCAGTACTTTTATTATGCTTATTTGCCATGTGTATATCTTCTTTTGTGTAGTGTGTGTTCAGATCTTTGACTATTTTCATTTTTTCTATCATTGAGCTTTAAGAATTCGCATATATTGTAGAGACAAGTTCTTTATCACATATGTGTACCGCAGATGTTTTCTGCTAGTCTGTGGCTTCTGTTTTCATTCTCTTAACATTGTCCTTTGAAGAGCATAAGATTTTTATTTTAATAAAATCAACTTGGCAAATTTTTCTTTCCTTGATCATGCTTTTGGTGTTGAATTTAAAAACTCATCACCAAACTCAAAGTTATGTGGATTTTCTCTTATGTTTTCTTATAGAGGTTGTATTGTTTTTGCATTTTTCATTAGACCTATGATGTATCTTGAGTTAGTTTTCATGGAATATGTAAGGATATGTCCAGGTTATTATAATTTGTGTATAGGTGTCTAATTGTTCCGACACCTTTTGTTGGAAAACCTGTACTTTCACCATTATTGCCTTTGTTGTGAATCACCTGACTATATGCGTGCAGGTCTATTTCTGAGCTCTATTCTGTTTTATTAATCTGTGTGTCTATTCTTTGCTAATGCTTATGTCCTCCACCAAATTCATATTTTGAAGCCCTCAGCCCCAGGGTGTCTGTATTTGGAGATGAGGCTTCTAGGGAAGTGATTAATGTTAAAAGAGGCCATAAGGGTGGGACCTTGATCCCATAGAATTAGTTTGGTTATAAGAAGGGAGAAGAGACAGAAGAAAGTACTTTTGTGCCTACATGACCTTTCTCTCTCTCTCTCTCTCTCTCTTTCTCTCTCTCTCTCTCTCTCTCTCTCTCTCTCTCTCTCTCTCTCTCTTTCTTTCTCTCTCTCTCTGCACATGCACAGAGGAAAGGCCAAGAATGGACAGATTAATAAAGGGCCATCTACAAGCCACGAATAAGGCCATCACCAGAAGCCAACCCCGCCAGTCCTTGATCTAGGACTTCCAGACTTCAAAACTGTGAGAAAAAAAATAAATTTCTGTTGTTTTAGCTACTCACTCAATGGCATTTTGTTATGGCAGCCTGAGCTGACTTAAGACATAACTTCAGGTGACACAATTTTTTTTTTGTTTCCTCCTAGAAAAAAAAAAAGTAATTTTGACATTTAAAGTCTGTAGTTCATTTTGAGTTACATTTCTGTATGGTGCAAGATATGTGCAATGGCTAGTACTATGTGTCAACTTGTCTAGGCTATACTGCTCAGCTGTGTGGTCAAACAGTAGTCTAGATGTTGCTGTGAAGGTATTTTGTAGATGTGATCAACATTTACAATCAGTTGATTTTAAGTAAAGCAGTTTAACTTCCATAATGTGGATGGGCCTCATCCAATTAGTTGAAGGTGTTAAGAGAAAAGACCAAGGTTTCCTGGAAAAGGAATTCTACCACAAGACTAACATAAAAATGCGCTGTGAGTTTCTAGCCTGCTGGCCTGCCTTCACTGTCCTGGGGGAGGCTTGGAGAGACCAGGTGGACTGGAGTAGACTGTTGAGAGACGCTGGTCTGGTGAAGATGTCCAGGAAACCACGAGCCTCCAGCCCATTGTCCAACAACCACCCACCAACACCAAAGAGGCGAGGAAGTGGAAGGCATCCTCTCAACCCTGGCCCAGAAGCCCTATCAAAGTGAACGGCCCACCCAAGCTCTGACTCCTACCCTGTCCTCCCCTGGCACAACCCCCACCCCAGCCTGCACCATTTCTCTATGAAGCCCCTGTTCTCACCCCTCCTCCATCCTCTTCCCCAAACCAGTGCCCTTCTTTGATCTCCCTGTTTCCTTCCAGGTTCCCAAGACAACCCGGAAGGGAAAAGGGACCCATCAAGGAAGTTCCAGGAACAAAAGGCTCTCCCTAAAAGACCGCCGCTTCAAAAAAACCTGAGGAATGGAGTGGGCCAACACTATCCAGCCACTCTGACCAGCCGAACGAGGAACTCAATCAAAATGAGCCATAGCGGGACCACAAGGGCAAGGAGACCACCACCTTCTCCAGTCTCTCTTCGGACAGCCAGTAATTCCCGGGCAAGGCCAGAGACTTCAAGTCTATCTGAAAAGTCTCCAGAGGTCTAACCCCAGATAAATAGCCAACAGGGTGTAGAGTACATTTTACACCCCAAAGAGTGTGCCCCATGGTGATGAAAATAAAGTGAACATGTTGCAAAATGATGTGTGTGTCTGTGTGTCTCAAATGGTAGGGGTAGGGAGTAAGGGGAAAGAGGTAGGAGTGTGGGAAGGGAGGGGGGCATCCTCTACAATTTCTCTAATTCAACTTGCTCTTCGTTCTTTGGTTTCCTAGGGTGAAACTTTTGGTTATTGATTTTAGATTTCATTTTCTAATATAAACATTTAAAATATGCTATATATTTCCCTCAAGGACACACTTTAGCAGAATCCCACTTTTTGTATGTACATTTTTACTTTCATTCAACTTAATGTATTTTTAAAATTCTCCTGAGACTCCCTCTTTGACCCATAGGTTATATAGGAGCTTATTTTAAAATTTCCAATATTTGGGCGTTTTTCAGATATCTTGGTGTTTGGTTTTGAGTTTAATTATATTATGGCCTAAGAAGAGGCTATCTATTATTTCTATTCTTTTCAATTTGTAAGCTTTGTTTGATGGCCCAGAATACCATCTATCTTGGGAGATATTTCATGCACACTTGAGAGGATTGTTTATTCTGCTATTGTTGAATGCGGTGCTTTTCTTATTGTTTTATTTAGTCAGAGTAGTTAATGGTGCTTTTCAGGTCATCTATATCCTTCCTGGTTTTCTGCTTACTTTTTCTCCTAAGTACTGAGAAACAAATCAAAGAGTTTTGAGAAATGTTTAGTCCCATGAAACCACAACCACAGTGAAGGTGAAAAATATATTCATCCTCCCCAAAAGTTTCTTCCTGTCTTCTTGTTGTCAAACCATCCCTTCAGTAGAAGTGATCCAAGGTGAGCAGAAGTGAGCATCCGCTGACCATGACCATTTTCCCTACTAACAGAGGCAGGTAGGCACAGAGAGCAGCAGTTGCTTTCACACACAGGCAGCATCCAGGAAGAAAACCAGATCGATAGTGTAATAGAAGGAGAGCTTTCTGGCCCGGACACAGGCTGTCTCTCCTTTTCTTGCACACTGCCAGTCCCCAAGTCTGGCTCTGCCTTCCTGGCTTCCCTGGCTCAGATGGGCGATTCACACCACCTCTTCATCTCCCCCGACTCCCTACAGACTGAATTAAGGGCCTTGCCACTTTCTATTGTTTTGTTGACTTGGTGTTTCCTCAGCATATATTGAATAAAAGTTTTCTGTAGGAATCAATACGTGCATGGAATGAATGAAATCACCTGGCATGGGAATTCTTTGATTCAAATTATGGAGTCTGCCCTTCCTGGGCCTCCTGCCTACATGAAGAAACCCACAGTTCCTTCACCTGTGCTCACTTGGGTTCAGAAACCCTGTGGAAACTACCACGGAGAGGGTCACTGCAGATGCCTTCTCCCCAGGCCCAAACACTGTCATGGAGGTGAGGATGCTCCCAACAGGATGCTTCCTGTATTGGACCCCACACGTCCCCATCAGTTTAACAAGGAAAGCTGCCACCTGCACTGCCTTGCCATACAACCTGCTCACGTACACACCTTGGTCCAGCCCCCTACCCCAGACACTGTCATCTGGCAACATACGCCAGCGGTCACTGCCCTAGGACTCCTGTCCCGTTCTGTGCCAAGGGTTCAGAAGCCACAGAAGGCTATCTGAGACACAGTGGCCAACTGGAACATTTTCAAGGCACGTCCACAGCCAATCCTTCATCTGCAGAGTCTGAGCTGACTAGTCCCAGGGCACTCCTCCTCCCATTTCTCCTCCATGCAGCCCCACTGCCCCTTTCAACTGCTCATGGGCATTCCTGGCCTGTCTCGGCAGTTGGTCATCAGTCAGCAACCCACTCACATAGCCCAGCCTCTATAGAAGGTCCCCGGGGGATAAAACACCAGCCCCCAGCAGGCATGAAGACAGTTCCCACATCTGGGACGCTGGTGAAGGTACAAAGGACCACTGGAGTGTTCAAGAGAGGTAGCTGGCCCAGAATGACGCAGGGAGTCAGCCAAGCTCTTCCTGAGAGAGGGAAGGGGATTCTGAGGGCGGGAAGGTTGACCAGCACAGCCCTGGTGCATTCAGCCAACACTCAGATCACAGGGCTCCCTCCAGCTGGTGATGATGTTGCCGGGATTTCCCAACTCTATTCCTATTCATTGTCCTGTCCTCCCTCCTCCCTTCCCCCTTCTCTCCCTCAGGCCCCTGACCCCACCGGCCTGAAGTCTGGATTTAGAGCTCGGAGTGACAGCCTGCCTGGGGCTCTGTGGACTTGGTTTCGCATGTGGTCTCTCTCATGGACGCTAGCAACGGCTCTCCCCAGGATCCTCCCTGGATCCTCCCTCACGGGCTGAGGGTCTCCTGTCTGCTCTCATTACCTGGCTCCTCTTCAGTCTCACCAAATCCTTCTCAAAGCAGAGAAGAAATGTCCTGTCCACATTTCAGAATTTTAAATCAATTGTGATTTTTATGAGAATTTGAATTGGTACAGCACTTTTGTAATAACATTTTAGAAATATTTTAAATGTTAAACTATTTTCACCCTTTCACTTTAACCCAGTGTCCATGTTAATATATCCTTCTTATAAGAAAACCATGTTTGCCTAAAAATTCATATTCAGAGATGTTGATTTTATTGTAGTTATCATACAGCAAATGGGAAACAACTTATATGTCCACTAGGAAGAAAGAGTTTAATTAATTGTGGTGCATGTCTACTTTAGAATTATAGAAAGTGGTTTCAAAAGTGAGAAAGATCTATCTATCTATCTATCTATCTACCGTTGTGGAAAGATCCTACATCCATTTTATAAAGTGATAAAAGAATATCAGTATGTATATCATTGTTCTTGTATATTAAATAAAAACAACATATTGTTATAGTTTATCTGTCAGTGAGAAGCCTAGAGTCAGCAGTAAAATAATATACAACACCGTTAATTGTGGTGACCTCTGAGGGGGCGGTGGGGGTGGTGGGCGTTGTTAAATGTGGAGGAGATTTGTAAAGGGGAAAATTGTGAATTATCTACATTTCTATAAGTTTTGCAATAAGAATATGTACAATACTACATTTTAAATAAAAAAAAATTAAACCTGACAAACAGAAATACTAGCCATGTCAGTTTAAGTAACTGCTAGCCATTGCAACAGAACAACCACGAATGGCTTGCCACAACACAAGTTTATTTTATGTGCAAATAAGTTCTGATGCAGTTTGCCAGGGGCTCTCCACTCTCACGGGACCCAGGAATCCAAGCTGCTTCCACCTTGTGATTCCGTCATCTCAAGATGAAGCTGCCATGTTTGCTAGTGAAAGCGGAGAGAAAGCTTGGAAATGGCACACTGGCTCCCACATGCCTGGATGTGACAAACAATGCTTCTGCTCCTATATTGGTATAAAGGAAATGTCACATGACCCATCCTAACTGCAAGGACTTTACTGTTCCCATGTGTCCAGGAAGGAGACAGAGACAAAATGTGTGTGAGTACTATACCCTCCCCCATAAACTGTTACATAGTAGGTGCTCAACAAAAACAACTGTGATTCTTTGGTATTACACTACCCTTCTCATTTCTAGGAGGAGTTTCTGAGAAGGCCAAATTTGCCGTGACATTCTCCAACTTTTTCCAGTGTCAAATATGTAACTGATGTTTTCAAATATACGATCACAACTAACTGCCCAAGAATCTTGGAAGTCTCGGCGAGAAGGCTTCCCTTTGCAATACCCTTTAATCCTTAGTAGGCTGAGCATTTTTCCTCCATTTGATTCCCGGTCAAAATGTTAACCTGTGAATTTCTGCTACCCTCCACAAGCCTGAACACCTCTCGAGTGCCTGTAGGCACAATAAAGGCCAGTATTTTCCCGTGGAGCAGGTAAACAGACAAGAAACAGAAGGCTGCTTAATTATTCCTCTTTCATTAGAGTTGACATGTTTTCAAGGAATCGTTTTTAGACTCCTGGAGGACTCCAGAAATTTAGGAATTCAGCCTCAGTAAGTAGATGTTTGTTCCACTGGGATTTCCCAAGGTTTTTCTCATCTAGTACTCATGAGGGATGGTTTGCTCTTTGACCATTTATCTGTGCATGTATTCAGAGGCGAATTCCAAAAGGACGCCCTGTGAAAGTCTGATTTCAGGTATCAAGGTGGTTCCAAATTCCTCTCACTTCAGGGTGACATCACACAAGAACCCTTAGATAATATGGAGAAACAGACTACTCAGCCCTTTCAGAAAACAATTAGAGAGTGTGTTGAAGACAACCGGAGTGGTAACCAGGTGTCTAAACGTCACTGTCCCCATGTGAATTTTTATATCAAAAGGATTGTTGATATCATATGGCTTCCTGGGTGAGAGACGGGACAGCCAGAGGACTTCTACTGTGAGAAGGAATGCTCCCTGTCAGGAGGTGAGCAGGGGATTCTGGGCTGTTCTGTGGGGACCAGTGAGGAGCTGATCAGCAGGCCCTATAGGTTCCGGAGTCAGACAGGACACATGGAAGTGACCCGGGGAAATGTGCTGTAATTCTGAAAGTGCTGGGGCTGGACAGAAATGAACACATCTTGCCAGTGTCAGCTCTCAGGGAACCCAGCGCACACCAGCCCCAAATGGTGTTTGATTCTCATTGTCGCGTTCTCCAGGCCTGCTTTATTACGCTGGCCTCGAGGTCCTTCTTTTTGTCACCTGAGAGACATGGTGCAGTGCTGAGAAGAAAAATGAAGTCGCTGTCAGGAGGTCAGCCTCGGGCTGGGAGAAGTGGGAACAGCATGGGCTCTAAAGGAATTCAGAACAGGGGTCGGGTTCTGCCCTGTTCCTCACTAGCCACGTGATCCTGGGAAATACCCAGGAAATACCCTGTTTTTATATCCCAATTCACACACCCTGTGAGCCTTGGATTCTTCATCTGTAAGCAGATGTGATAAGGACTGTCTAGTAGGACAGTTGGAGTGTATGCAACGCAGGTGAAGCACCTGACTCCGGGCCTGGTATAAATTAGAAGTTTAACAAATGGCGGATGGCTGTTATTTCCAATATTTTTTAACCCGAGGCCCTAACACTCCGGGATTTTGTTGTTGCTGTCGTTGTTCTCCAGGACTTACCAGAGAATATACAGCTCAATAGGACATGGAATAATTAGCCCCAAACAGAAGCTTCTTCCATAAAATTCAGTTAAGTATTTCCTCTCAGAGAATGCACTTCAAAATTTGGGTGTGCAGGAGTTTCGCCCAGCCAGGTGCAGCTCGGAGCTCCTACAATCTGCGTCAAAAGACCAACTGCTTCTCTCTCTCCCAGCTGCTTTCCCACCCAAACCACCATTTTCATCCATTTTGTTACCATCCAAAATCTAGCCCGTGCTTACAATTGGTCAAATTGCACTTGAGATAACCTAGTTGGAATGCCTTTTTTAATGGAGTCAGCTCTGCCTCTCCCTGCCCGGCAGAAAAGCACCTGGCCAGGGGCTTCTGGGCCACCCTTCCTGGGAAATTCAGCCTTATCGCTCAGGAAACCCTTGCAGATGATGGGTGTCCATCACCTAGATCTTGGGCTGCGTTCAACAGCAGTGGGACAAAAGCAGACGACACCTTCCATTCCTGCCTGAGGTAGAGATTCCTCTCTGTTCATCCCCCATTCGAAAGAAACTGCTCAGAGTTGCTTTCCATTCCAGGCTTTTCTCCCACACTCTGAGAATCTGGCTCTGGGCCCACCCAACTTCATTAGAGTCAGCTCCTTCAGAAGGAACTGAAGTTTCCCAAAGCCCAAAATGCCCCAGCTCAGGGCACTGACACTCCACTACTCTCACCCGGAGCGCCACACCCTCACCCCTCTCTTACATTTCCTCTACATCTTACAGGACTTCTCACCACCTTAATTATATGACTGCAGGTCCTAGGCTCTACAGCCCTATGGGTAGGCGTGAGTCTGGCTTACCTTAGCATCCCCACTACTAACCCAGGGCCTCCCACAGAGCAGATGCTGAGTGAACGGAAAAGAAACGAGCCAGTGAAGAGGAAGAATTATTTATTCAGATTTAATTTCGCTTGCATTCTCAAAGAAGTCAAGGAAATCCTGGTTTGCATATTTGTTTAATTTTACAGAATAGATTGAGGTACAAGGCAAGAATCAACTATCTTTTGATTTCTTGAGTTATCTCATGTATGTTATTGCTAATTCGCTCACAATTTTAAGCAAATACTTTTACCACTGCTATTATTATGTCACAATTCACAAAATGGAATGGATTTCCCAATCTGAATAAAAAACAAGACTCTTACTCCTAAACTATATAAACAGCACTATGTGTGACTACTGTCATTCATAAACCTGGATGCTGACGCTCATTCAACCATCCGTTAAAAGGAACATTTGAACAACTCCAACAGGAAACAAAGAATAATCTCAAAGTCATCCAACAGAACAGAAACCCACTACTAAGAATGCTGACTGCTCGCTTCAAAGAGTGAAGAATGGGCCTCACGTCACAGGAGGCAGTGGAAACTAAGGGATGGGGCCCCGGAAGGTGCACTGGCCCAAACCCCCTCCCACTGGCCCTGGCTGCAACTCGTGCTCAGACTCACTCTTCCCCCTCTCTCAAAGCCCACTCATGCAGGAGTGGGTAGGAAATGCGAGGTCCTCCACTGATCTTTACCATATGGTGCAGGACTTTCACATAGCTGGTTTCAATGAGGGCCCTTGGACCCCACAGGAACTCATAGCATGCAGGATCACTGCCGGGGACCTGCCGGTACTCCAGGTAGTTTTCCTGCACGAAATATTGGGTGAGCAGCTTCTTGGGATCCCCGAAGATACTGTCTTCCCTCCCCTCAAACACCTCTAACACACTCAGCTCCTCCCAGATTTTCTCCTCAGGGGCACAGTCGCCCTCTTTTGCGATTATGGCCAGGATGATTATCAGGAAGCCTGTCTTGGGCATGATCTGATTGTCACCCAGCAGGCCATCGTAGGAGAGGCCCAGGCAGGTGGCAAAGATGTACACGTGGCCGATGGGGTCCACTTCCATCAGCTCGATGCCAAAGACCAGCTGCAAGGAATCGGAAGCTTTGCTGAAGATCACAGGAAAGAAGTACTGCCAATTTCCGACGACACTCCCCAGCATTTCTGCCTTTGTGACCGGCTCCCTGGCTCGATACTTGAGGAGCAGAAAATGAACCAACTTGGCCACCTTCCTACTGAGTGCTGCTTGGAACTCAGACTCCAGGTCAGGGAAGGTGCTTGGCCCCTCCTCTTCTTGGTTGCTGGAGTCCTCATAGGATTGGCTCCAGAGAGGGTAGTTCATGGTAGTGGGGAGGCTGGAGGCTCCCTGAGGACTCTGGGGAGGATCTGGTGACTCGGCAGCAGGCACCTCCCCCAGGGTGACTTCAACTAGAGTAGAAGAGGAGGAGGCAGCCTCCTGCTCCTCAGTAGCAGGAGCCTGCGCACCCACCAGGCCCAGGGCCTCTCCTCGGGCCTCAAGGCCTTCTTCAGGCTTGCAGTGCTGACTCCTCTGCTCAAGAGGCATGATGACTCTGGTCAGGGCAACAGGCGGGAGTGTGGGCAGGAGCTGGGCAATGGAGACCCACTGGCCTGGGGAGAGAGGGAGCATGTGAGAGACCTCAGCTGAGTACTGAATGGAACCTTGGAGGCTCTAACAAAGGCTTACTTACAGATCTTCTCCTTCAGTGCTCCTCCGGGGGCCTCTGTTCCTCCACGTCAGCCTGTCCCCTCAGAACCTGAAGGAGGAAGTGAGAGGGCACCTCAGGGTACATCCGGCCAGCACATGCTGAGGCTGCAGGACTGAAAGTATTGAGGGTGAGGCCAGGCGCTCTGGAGTCCATGTGTTCTGGGGCAGGTGGGGCCCTTGGTTTGAATCCAAGGCAAACCTTCACCGTTGGCACTATCTGAGCCCCCTCTACTCTGTGACCTGAGGACACTGCCTCAGACCAAGTCCTCACTGCCTTGTTCCTGGAGCTCCTGATTCCTGGGAGAGGAATCCACGGGCCCCCAATGTGCAGACAGCAAACGCAGCCACGGATTCCCAGAACTGTCAGGAGGGTTGGCCAGACTCTGTGAGGTCCCCACTCTACTGGGGTGGAGGATCCCCTCTGTGCTCACTCAGGGCCCTCACCTTTCTCCTTATAGGACCTAATCCCTCCCTTCTGCTGGCCTGAGAATCTCTCATGTCAAGAACTCACATACCTGATATGGTACAGAAAAACATGAGGGGACCCACATCTGGCCATACATTCCCAGGTCCTCCCGGAAAGGACAACGAGAGATGTCCAAATTTATTGAAGTCCATGTACCCTGGGTGAGGAGACTGCTTGGTCCTCACCTCCACTCCTAGTAGGGTCTGAGAGCCTCCCTCTACTGCCCTGAGTGCAGTCCCCTCAGACCAAGGCTTCCCCTTCCCTGACATCAGTGATCCTAGGATAATGGAGGGACCTCAGCTGACAGCCCTGCCCAGGCTCTCTGAGGTAACAGCAGGAGCAGGGCAGATTTTTATGGGGCCCCCAGTCCGCATTCTGTCCCAGGGGTACCCTCAATCCTCCCTCAGTCTCTTCACCTGGATGCTTGGCAGATCCTAGGACCACTGCATCTGTCCACCACATAGGGGCCCCTTGGGGGTACACCTTGGGCCCTGCAGATCCTGGGATTCCTCCCTCTGCTGACCTGAAGTCCCACTCTTCAGACCACAGCCCTCAACTCTCTGGTCACCCTGAAGGCGCAATGAGCACAGAGCACATTTGGCCACTGTGCCCAGCATCCCCCAGCCCAAGGTTGCCACTGATCTGGACTCCAAGGTCCCCTCAGTCCTCCCTCTTCTTCCTCCCCATGACTCCTCGCAGGGCTGGGCCCCAACCCCCTGCTGAAGTGGGTCTGCATCCCTAGGATTCCCGTAGCCGAATGAAAAGGTGCCTCGGTTTGAGACAGGGGTACAGTGGGCCCCCTGTCCTGGCATGCTGGGTCCCCTCAGGACTCCACTGTCTTCCAGGAGGGCCTGGGCCCTTTCGCTGCCTCCCAACGGCCATACTCGCGATACCGAACCCCTTCCCTCCCTTAGCCGTAGATGTGAACCTCAGGACTCACGTGCCTGGCCGCCATTCCCGGAGCTTCCGTGACTTGATACCAGGGGCAAAGCCCGGATTCTGCCAGGATAGGGGTGGGGGTGGGGATGGGAATGGGGAATGGGGGATGGGGGTGGGGTTGGTGTTGGGGGACGGGAATGGTGGTGAGGGTGGTGGTTAGGCTGCCCTCAGTTCCCTCTCGGGGTCCTGACCTTGATTCCTGCCACAGCGTGGGCCCTGACCTCTTCTAACCAGCCCTGCCCTGGCCACATTAAGCTCTGTCCCCAGAGTTCCCCGTGGCTAAAGCGGCGGGGGTCGGCGGGGTGAGGTAGTGGCGACCCAGCCTGGAAGTCTTCCCCTGCGGGGTGGCCCAGGCCCGGCAGCAGAGGCAGCACTGGATTATTTGAGGCCCTCTGTCTGAGGTGAGGCCCGCCTCAGTCCTCCCTCAGCGTCTTACCTTGCCTCCTCACCGAGCCTGGGCCGGCTTCCCTCCGCCGACGTCAGGCCGTCGCTCGTTGCTCAGGGCGAGAATCTCGCGGTCTTCTGACCTCCAATGCGCAAGTCAGTGGCGTCACATCCTGGCAACGGTACTACCCTGGGTTCCGGGCAGGGGTGGAACTGGATTCTGCCTGGATGGGGATCGGATGGGGGTGGAGGTAAGCATGAAGATGGTGATGGGGCAAGGGGTAAGGATTGGGACGGGGGTCCTGAGGCTGTAGATCCTGGTGGGGTCGGGGGAGTTGGGGGTGGGTGGGCGGGGCCTTCGGTCATCCCTCAGGGTCCTGAAGTTGATGCCTGGCTGAGCCTGGACCGCCATCCTCTGCAGATTGCTTCTGCTCCCCTCAGACCAAGTCTCTGACTCTGAGTCCCCCTGAAGTGGCATTGGGGGAAGGGGTGTGGTCTGGGTGACATCACTGCCTGCGTTTACCAGGGCTGACAAGAGGGGCTGAGCTGGATTCTGTGGTCCCTCTATGGTGTGTGGGGTGGGGGGGCGGTGTGGACCCTCAGTCCTCACTCAGGAGGGTCGTTTTCGTCACCTCTGGCTGTTGGATGAAGTGATGGGCAGGAGATGCTCTGTTTCTGTCACCTGTGAGCATTTGCACAGCTGCACCCCTTGTAGAGAATGCCTGCGGGTCCCAGGCCAGGTGCTCCCTGCAGGGCGGGGCGGCAGCTCCCGCGGTTGTAGTGACCTCCTATTTCAGTCTTTGTGTTCTGTTGAAAGAATTTTTTTTTTTAAAAAATGTAATTCCTCTCCCACTATGGTGGTTTCAGGTTGTTATTAGCAGAACTCTGGAGTCATACTGCCTTAACCAACCAAATTTTCCTGGTGTCCTGCTATTACCTAGGGCTCTTGGCATCGTGTTTTCAGAGGCTGCCTCAGATTGTGCAAAGAAGTGAAGTGGAAAATTTCAAACTTTTATTCTACCCATTCTGTCATCTACCGTGTAGGCCGGCTACAAACCTCCCCAACATCCCTGCTGCTAACCCCCTCCAACCAACACTGCAAGTGTCAAACACAAGTACCAGCTCAACACAGCCTTGAGTCTCACCCTGGGCTTTCCCTGTTTTGTTGCTGATACTGGTTTTTTATTTACTGTTTCCATTCTGTAATTTTCCAGGTTTGATTTGGGAAGCAGAGCACAGCAGCCCAAATTTGTTGTAATGGCGGCGGCTACAGGTAAGGCACTAAATTGTAAATAATTTAAGCTGAGTTTACATTTTTACAGTGTTGTGCTCCCCATGAATGAATATATTATACTCCTCTATGTATTTCAAGGTTTTTTTTACCTGAATATGTCAGTATACTTCGACAGTTGTCTCTATAAAGACCTTATACATTTTTATTAGACTTCTTTTCAGGCAATTCATGAATTTTGTTGCTATTGCAAATGGCATATTGTCTATTAATTGTTGTAGTTAGTTATTGCTTTCGTGAGGTGAAGATTTTGATTTTGCTGTAGTAATCTGTTGCACACCTCGTTCTGAAGGCCGATGCACTTGAATATTCCACATACCTTTTCCTTTGAATTTTCAAGATCGATAATGGTATTATCACTAAACATTACATATTCTTCCAGTATTCATACCACTTACTCATTTTGGTACTTATAGCTCTTTGTGTCTCAATCCTGATTTCAATCGTAGAGATAATAGCCTACATCTACTTCTCGTTCCTGACGTGAATGATAATTATTCGAACGTTTTGCATTTAAGTATGTTTGCTGTTGATTTTAGGAAGTGCAATTTCTCTTTGAATATAGGTTAAATACTTTTTTTTTTTTTTTTACCATGAACTCATATTAAATTTCTTTAAAAAGCTTTTTCTGTACCCGTTGACGCAATCAAATTTTTTTCTCCTCCATTTTGTATGTAAGGAATTACAATGAAACCGTTTTTTTTTTTCCCCTAATGTTAAACCGTATGTTATTTCCTTGGGCAGAGCCTGTTTATTTAATATGCTAGTAATTTACGTAGGATATTTGCTGCTATGTAAGGGAGCTTACTTAATGTGTGCTTTTTTTCCCATCAAGGGTGGGATGTGGTCCTCATCTGGTTTTTGAATCCAGGAGGGCTAGTCTGGAAGAATGAATTGAACAATTGTAAATATTTTGTATGTTCTAGAAGAGATGAGATAAGATGGTGGTTAGTTTTCCCTGATCATTTGGTAGAATTGGCCTCCAATACTGCCTAACCTGGAATGTTTGAAGGTGGCTTGAGCTTTGAACATTGTACAGTTTCAGTTTTTATAGTTTAATTAAAGTTTTCTTTTTCTTTTTGGATCAGTTTGGTTACTGGTTTATTTTATTTCTACAAAGTGGTCAGTTTCATTTAGGATTTCACTTTTAATGGCATATTTATTATAAAAAAAGTTTTACTAGGGAAAGCCTTCACACATACAGAATAATAGGAACTAATGTAATGAACCCAGGATACTAGATACCCAGCATGAACAACTTTAAATACACAGCAAATCTGGTTCCAGTTAGACACTTGCCTACCTGCACATCAGCTTCTGGAATAACGTGGAGCGAATCTAAGGCATTAGACCATTTCATCTCGAAATAACTCAATATGCATTTTTAAAAGATAAGGACGTTTTATTAAACAGAATCCCAATAGTTTTCATATCTGAAAAATTATATAAATGATTATCAAATATTCAACTATTTTACATGCTTATCTGGCCGACTTATACTTTATAAAAAACATATTTCTTTGATGGAGTACCCAAATATGGTAACTTTCCCGCCACTTGCTTCACTGTAGTGGTTTCATACATGTATAATACAGCTAGGTTTGTGTGTGTGTGTAACATTCTACATTCTGTCCCATGATTCTCCAACTTCTTAAGTTACTTTTAGACTTTACATACATTAAGCTTCACTCTTTGTGCTGTAAAGATCTATGGGTTTTGACAAATGCCTCGTGCCGTTGTCTTAGTCCCTTTGGGCTTCCATAACAAAAATAGTGTAGACTGGGTGGCTTATAAACAACACAACTTTATTTCTCACATTCTAGAGGTTGGGAAGTCCAAGATCAAGGTGCTGGCAGATTTCATGTCTGATGGAGACCTGCTCCCTAGTTCATAGACAGTTGCCTTTCCCCTATGTCCTCACATGGAAGAAGGGGCAAGGGATCTCTGTGGAGTCTATTTTATAAAAACACTGATCCCATTCATGAGGACTCTGCTCTCATGAACTAGTCATTCTCCAAATACCCCACCTTCTACCTAATACCATCACCTTGGTATTTCAGCAGATGAAGTTTGTGGGAACACAAATATTCAGATGAAAGCAAGCATGCATCCACCATTACAGTATTACCATACTAGTTTCACTGCCCTGATAAATCCCCTGTGCTTGTCAGATAACCCCCTTGGCTGCCACTGATAGGTGTTTCATCTTTATAATTTTGCCTTTTCCTGAATGTCATATAAATAGACTCGCATACTATGTAGCCTTTTTAGACTGGTTTCTTTCACCTAGCATAATGAACTGAAGAGTCATGTATAACTTTGTGTGGCTCAGAACTTATTCCTTTTCATTGAGGAGTAGTAGTATCATTGTCTGGTTGTACCATAGTGCGTGTGTATATATATATCCATCCACCAAATGAAATACATTTTGGATGCTTCTATTTTTGGTGATTATGAAATAATCTTTTGTATACAATCGTATACAAATTTTTATGTAGACGTAAGTTTTCACGTCAATTGGGTAAATTGATTATGACTGCTGAATCTTATGCTGTGTTCAGTTTTTTAAGAAAACGCCAAATTGTCTTCCAAAGTGGCTGTACCATGTTGCATTTCCACCAGCAATGAATGAGAGTTTCTGTTGCTCCACATCTTCCCTGGCAATTGATCTTGGTTTTCTTTTCTTTTTTTTTTTTTTTTTGCTTTTTTATGGATTTTGGACATTCTAATAGGTGTGTAGTGGTATCTCATTTTAGTACACAGTTATCTAATGAGAACGGATTCTCAGTACTTTTTTATGCTTATTTGCCATGTGTATATCTTCTTTTGTGAGGAGTGTGTTCAGATCTTTGCCTATTTTCATGTTTTTTCTGTCGTTGAACTTTAAGAATTCGTGTATGTTGTAGAGATATGTTCTTTATCACATATGTGTACCACCGATGTTTTCTGCTAGTCTGTGGCTTCTGTTTTCATTCTCTTAACATTGTCCTTTGAAGAGCACATGATGTTTATTTTAATAAAATCTACTTGGTAAATTTTTCTTTCATTGATCATGCTTTTGGTGTTGAATTTAAAAACTCACCACTGAACTCAAAGTTATGTGAATTTTCTCTTATGTTTTCTTATAGAGGGTTGTATAGTTTTTGCATTTTGCATTAGGTCTGTGATTTATATCGAGTTAATTTTTCTGGAATATGTAAGGATGTTTCTAGGTTATTATAATTTGCCTGTAGATGTCTAATTGTTCAGGCACCTTTTGCTGGAAAAACTGTACTTTCACCATTATTGCCTTTGTTGTGAATCACCTGACTATAAGTGTGCAGGTCTATTTCTGAGCTCTATTCTGTTTTATTAATCTATGTGTGCATTCTTTGCTAATGCTTATGTCCTCCACCAAATTCATACTTTGAAGCCCTCAGCCCCGGGGTGTCTGCATTTGGAGATGAGGCCTCTAAGGAAGTAATTAATATTAAAAGAGGTCATAAGGGTGGGGCCTTGATCCCATAGGATTAGTATGGTTATAAGCAGTTAGAAGAGACAGAAGAAATTACTTGTGTGCCTGCACTAGCTCTCTCTCTCTCTCTCTCTCTGCACATGCACAGAGGAAAGGCCAAGAACGGATATATTGAGAAAGGGCTATCTACAAGCCAGGAATAAGGCCGTCACCAGAAACCAACCCTGCCAGTCCTTGATCTGGGACTTCCATACTTCAAAACTGTGAAAAAAAATAAATTTGTTTTGTTTCAGCTACTCAGTCCATGGCATTTTGTTAGGGCAGCCTGAGCTTACTAAGACATAACCTCAGGTAACACAATTTTTTTTTGTTTTCTCCTACAGAAAAAAAAAAAACCCATAATTTTGACATTTAAGTCTGTGGTTCATTTTGAGTTACATTTTTGTATGGTGTAAGATATGTGCGATGGTTAGTATTATGTGTCAACTTGTCTAGGCTATAGTGCTCAGCCGTGTGGTCAAACAGTAGTCTAGATGTTGTTGTGAAGGTATTTTGTAGTTGTGATTGACATTTACCATCAGTTGACTTTAAGGGAAGCAGTTTAATCTCCATAATGTGGATGGGCCTCATCCAGTTAGTTGAAGGTGTTAAGAGAAAAGACTAAGGTTTCCTGGAAAAGGAATTCTACCGCAAGACTAACATAAAAATGTTGTGTGAGTTTCTAGCCTGCTGGCCTGCCTCACAGATTTGGGATATACAAGACCTCATAATCACATGAGATAATTCCTTATGAAACCTTTATCTTTCTTTCTCTCCCTCCCTTTTTACATAGATAGATATGTAGGTAGGTAGCTAGATAGATAGATAGACAGGAAGAAAGCAATTACGGATTGAAATTCAGTTTTGCATATAGATATCCAGTTGTTCTAGACCCAGTTGAATACACTATCATTTCTCTCCTCGAATCTTCATTTGTATCTTTATCAATATTTGACTTATATATATATGCATATACATGTGGATCCATTCCTGGACTTTACTCTCTTCTTTTTATGTGTTTCTAAATTTAGGACAATTCCACACTATACTGATTATTGTTAGTTAATAAACCTTCAAATGAAGTAGGGGAACCCCTCTGTATTTATTCCTTTTCACACAGCTGATAAAGCATACCAGAGACTGGGAATGTTACAAAAGAAAGATGTTTATTGGACTTGCAGTTCCACGTGGCTGGGTAGGCCTCACAATCATGGTGGAAGGCAAGGAGGAGCAAGTCACGTCTTACATGGATGGCGGCAGACAAAGAGAGAGAGAGCTTGTACAGGGAAACTGCCGTTTTTAAAACCATCAGATCTCTTGAGACTTATTCACTATCACGAGAACAGTATGGGAAAGACCCAACCCCATGATTCAATTATCTCCCACTGGGTCCCTCCCACAACATGTGGGAATATTGGGAGCTACAAGATGAGATTTGTGTGGGGACACAGAGCCAAACAATATCATTCCACATGTGGCCCCTCCCAAATCTCATGTCTTCACCTTTCAAAACCAATCCTGCCTTCCCAACAGTCCCCCAAAGTCTTAACTCATTTCAGCGTTAACGCAAAAGCCCACAGTCCAAATCTTGAGAAGTTGTCAAAGGACACTCAGTTTTCTTCAGTTAATAATGTAAAAGGACTGCACTGACGTGGTTAAATTCCCAGGACTCTCAGTTCTTTAGGAATGGACTAAATATCTGGTATCGTCACTTACAAAAGTGTCTTGAACTTGATATAGTTTATGTTCAGAAATTGGTTCATATTTTTTATTTTTATCTTTTAATTCAATTTTTTTTCATGAGCTTTTTGAAGGCCCCCGGATATGCACCCTGTATAAAGGAGAAAAATTCTCGGGACTACTAATTTTGACCGAAATTATTGTTGATTTAATTTATACAAACACAAAAGGTGATACAAACATTTTTATAGCACCTAATGAACATATTTGTGAAATAAATGCATTCAAAAACAAACTAAAACAGAAAAGAATAAAAATATACAATAAAATAGTACACAGCAGGTTGCTGATTGTGGTGACCTCTGAGGTGCGGGCTGAATTGTGGAGGAACTTTATACAGAGAAGAATTGTGAATTATCTGTATTTTAGATTTCTTTTGCAACAAGAATATAGGCACAATTATCTTTTAAATTACAATATCTAAATAAGCCTAACAGCAAAAATAGTAGCTGTGTATTAGTCAGTTAAAGTAACTGAAGTAACTGCTAGCTGATGCAATAGGCAAACCCTGGAATTTGAGTGACATGACAAAACACAAGTTTATTTAATGTGCACATGAGTCCTGATGTGGTTTGACAGGGCCTCTCCACTCTCCCGTGACCCAGGTATCCAGGCAGCTTCCACCTCGGGATTCCACCACCTCAACATGAGGCTGCCATGTTTACTATTAGATGGAGGGAGAAAGCATGGAAATGGCACACTGGCTCTCAGATGTCTAGATGTGACAAACAATGCTTCTGCTCATGTTTCAGTGGTAAGGGGTTGTCACATGACCCTTCCTAACTACAAGTGGACTGTACTGTTCCCATGTATCCAGGAAAGAGAGGAAGATGAGATGTGGGTGAGCACTATAGTCTCTCCCATAAACTGTTGCATAGTAGGTGCTCAACAAAAAGGAACTATTATTATTTGCTATGACAACAGCCCTCTTCATTGCTGGGAGGAGTTTCGGAGAAAACCAGATTTTCTTTACGTTCTCCAACTTTTTTTAAGTGTGTACTGTATGACAGATGCTTTCAAATACAGGATCACATGTAGTTTTCTAAGGATCCAGTATACCTCAGCACCTCGTGTGATATACTAACTTCTTCACTCACTAGTATAGTTAGATATACTAACTATCTTCACTTACTAACACTTTTCTGCACTGTCATTTGCAATAATGTCTGAAACCTTAGTAGGCTGAGAATTTCTCATTCTTTTAATTCATGGGTAAAACCTCAACCTGTGGGTCTCTGCTACCCTCCTGTTACCTGAACGTCTGTTCAGATGCCATTAGACACATTGAAAGCTATGTCTTTCCTGTGGGGCAGATCCACAGACCAGAAGTAGTGCCAAGAGAGTTCTTTTTTTCATTTCTGATTTTTTTTCCATTTCTAATCAGAGCTAGCATGCCTACCGAGGAACCACTTTTCGTCTCCTAGGAGAACTTTAGGGTTTTAGGAATTCAGCTTCAGTAGATATTTGCCCCACAGTGATTTTGACAGTCCTTCCTCATCTGTCACTTATGAAGGAGATGCTGTGAACTGAACTGTGCCCCCACCCCCACCAAAACTCATATGTTGAAACCCTAAGACCCAGTGTGATGTATCTGTAGATGAGGCCTTTGGACGTAATTAGAGTTAGATGAGGTCATTAAGGTGGAACCTTCGTGATGGGATTACCGCTCTTATAAGAGACATCAGAGAGCTTGCTCGCATTCTCTCCTTCTGCCATGTGCAGACACACAGAGAAGGTAGCTGTCTACAAGCCAGGAAGAGACCCTCACCAGGCATCAAACCTGCTAGAACCTTGATCTCAAACTTCCCAGCCTCCAGAAATGCGAGAAACATCTACCTATTTGTTTAAGCCACCCAGTGGTACTTTGTTATGGTACTTTGTTATGGCAGCCTGAGCTAATACAAGAGGCTTTGGCTTTTGACCATCTATGTATGTGCTCTGTGGCCAGTTTCCAATGAGACAGCTTATTAAAGTCCTATTGTAAATATAGGATGGTTTCAAACACTTTCTAACTTCAGGGTTGTATCCCAGGAACTGATATATTATAAGTCAAAATCAGACGCTACTCACCAGCTGACTTGGAAAACATTTTAAGAATGTGTTGAAGACATCCAACAGGATGATCAGATGTCTAAAGGTCTCTATTCAAAGTCAAATGTATTTTTGCTATTAGAGGGGCCCCAGTGTGAGGAACAGGGACAGTCAGGGGACTTCTCCAGAAAGTAGAACTGTTCTATGTTAGGAGAAGGGCAGGTGACTCTTGGCTGTCCCACTGGAAGTAGGGCACAGCCTTTAAAGGATGCAACCATGAAGAGCTTAGCAGCAAGCTCGATTCCAGAATTGGACAGGCAGGCACATGGGGCAAGACCATTGTGGAAGGGTGCTATAATTCGGGAAAGTGCTGGGAATGCACAGAAATGCTGGCACCTGGACAGAGTTGGCTCTCAAGGAACCACAGACGATTCCTAAATTGTGTTGGTTCTCATTGTCACCTTCCTTCATGTCTTAGTCATTTCATGCTGCTGTAACAAAATGCTATAGACTGGGGGTCTTACACAACAGATGCTTATTTTCTCCCAGTTCTGGAGGCTGGGAAGCCAAAAGTCAGAATGCCAGTATGGTGGGTGTCTGGTGAGGGTCTTCTTTCTGGCTTATGGATGCCCACCTTCTCTGTGAGTCCTCACATGGCAGAGAGAGAAAGAGAAAAATGTGCAAGCTCTCTGGCATTTCTTCCTATAAGGACACTGATATGGTCTGGATCAGTGTCCCCACCAAATCTCACGCTGAATTGTAATCCACAGTGTTGGAGGTGGGGCCTGGTGGGAGGTGATTGGATCATGGGGGCAGATTTCTCATTAATAGTTTAGTACCATCACCTTGGTACTGTGCTCATGATAGTGAGTGATTTCTCACGACATACGGTCATATAATAGTGTGTGGCAATGCCCCCCCCGTCTCTCTTGCTCCTGCTTTCACCAAGTGAAGAGCCTGCTCCTTCTTTGCCTACTGCCATAAGTAAAAGCTCCCTAAGGCCTCTCCAGAAGCAGATGCTGCCACGCTTCCTGTACATCCTGCAAACCGTAAGCCAATTAAACCTATTTTTTTTTAATAAATTACCCAGTCTCAGGTATTTCTTTATAGCAACGCAAGAATGAACGAATACAGACATTAATCCAATCATGAGGGCCTACGCTCTCAGGAGCTCATCTAACCCTAATTACCTCCCAAAGGCCCCATCTCCAGACCATCACATTGGGACTTAGAGCTTCAACATATACATTTTTTTTTTTTTTGGAGGGGAGCACATTTCAGTCCATAGCACTTCTTTAGGCATACTTTTTGTAGCTTGACCACAGGGTCCTTCTTTTGGTTGCCTGAGAGACGTGGATTCCTGAGAAGTAAATAGCAAGACGAAGGTCTGCTTCAGGTTGGGACGCGAAGGAATGACATACACTCAGATGAATTCGGACCATGTGTATTAGTTTGCTTTGGCTATCATAACAAGGTACCACAGACTGGGGGAGCTTAAGCGTCAGAAATGTATTTTCCCAGTCCCGGAGGCTACAAGTTCAGGCTCAAGGTGTGGGCAGGGTTGAGTTGTCCTGAGGCCTGTCTCCTTGACTTGTAGATGGCCATTCTCTTCCTGTGTCTTCACATGGTCTTTCCTCTGTGTGTGTCTGTGTCCTAATGTCCTCTTCTTATAAGGACACCAGTCATATTGGATTGGGGCCCATCCTAATCTAGCAGGGATGCAATCCCAACCGTGTTGCTTATTAGCCATGTAATTATGGGGAAATCATCAAGCCGCATGAGCATCAGGTTCTTCATCTGTGAAGCAGGTTTGATAAAGTCTGTCTTATAGGACTTTTGGAGTGTGTGCAATGTAAGTAAAGCACTTGGCTCAGGGCCTGGCATATATTAGATCGTTAATGTTTGGCAGTTATTTGTGTTACTATTTGGAACTCAGATCCTACCATAGTTGCCTCTGGGAATTTTGTTGTTGCTGTTGTTATTGTTATCTAGGAAACCTCAGAGTACGTAGCACAACAGTACAGAGAATAGAATACCAACTCAGCCCAAAGTGTTGCTTCATAGACAAAACACAGTAGAATTTCCCTCCTAGAGGATCTATTGTTTAATTTGTGTGTGGAGGAGTCTTCTTCAGCTGGATTGCAGCTCAGTGTTCCTGGAACGTGAGTCCAGGACCAACTCTTTTCCTCCCTCTCAGCTGCTTTTCCATCTCAACCACTATTTTCATTCATATAATCACCACGCAAAATCTAGCCCATGCTCAGGAATGGCCAAATTACACTTGAGATAACCTAATTAGAATGCCATTTGACTAGAGTCAGCTCTAGCTCTCCCACTAAGGCAGAAGAGTACCTTGCCAGTGGCTTCTGGGCCTCCCTTCCTGAGAGATTCACCCTTACCTCCCAGGAAACCCTTGCAGATGATGAGTATCCATCACCTAGCTCTTGGGCTGTATTCAACCGCACTGGGATAAGAGCACAGGATGCCTTCCATTCCTGCCCCAGGTGGAAACTCGTCTATGTTCATCCACCAACCATAATGAACTGCTCAGAGCAGTTTTCCATTCCAGGCTTTTCTCTCCCTGAGAATCTGACCCTGGACCCACCAGCTTCATTAGAATCAGCTTCCTCCGAAGGAACTGCAGTTTCCCAAAGCCCAAAAGGCCCTGGCTCAGGGCATTTACACTCCACCACTCTCACCGGGAGCACCACACATTCTGCCCTCTCTTACTTTTCCTCTAGGTCTTAGAGGAAATCTCACCAACTTAATTTTATGACTATAGCTCCTAGACCCTACCACCCTTCGGGTAGGGGTGGGTCTGACTTATGCCAGTATCTCCAGTAACACAGTGCTTTCCAAAGAGCAGATGCTCAGTGAGTGTTTGAGAAAGAATGAGCCAGTGACCAGGACTTCCATTTAAGATATAATTTCTCCTACATCCTTGAATAAGCCAAGAAAATCCAGGTACACATATATGGCTTAATTTTATAGAACAGCACATGAATAAAAAGCTGAGAATTAACTGTCTTTTCCTTTTATTTCTATTTTTTAGAGTAAAGTGAGAGCAAGTTTATTAAGAAAGTAAAGAAATAAAAGAATGGCTACTCCATAGCCCTGAGGGCTGCTGGTCGCCTTCTTATTTTTATTTTTATTTTTATTTTTATTTTTTTTTTGAGACAGAGTCTCACTCTGTCGCCCAGGCTGCAGTGCAGTGGCGTGATCTCGGCTCACTGCAAGCTCCGCCTCCCTGGTTCATGCCATTCTCCTGCCCCATTCTCCCAAGTAGCTGGACTGCAGGTGCCTGCCACCATGCCCGGCAAATTTTTTGTATTTTTAGTAGAGACAGAGTTTCACTGTGGTAGCCAGGATGCTGTCGATCTCCTGACCTCGTGATCCACCCCCTTTGGCCTCCCAAAGTGCTGGGATTACAGGCGTGAGCCATGGCGCCCGGCTGGTTGCCCATTTTTATGGTTATTTCTTGATTATATGCTAAACAAGGGGTGGACTATTCATGAGTTTTCCAGGAAAAAAGTGGGGAATTCTTGGAACTGAGGGCTCCTCCCCTTTTTCAGCCATATAGGGTAACTTCCAAACGTTGCCATGGCATCTGTAAACTGTCGTGGTGCCGGTGGGAGTGTCTTTTAGCATGCTAATGCATATAATGAGCAGTGAGGATGACCAGAGGTCACTCTCATTGCCATCTTGGCTTTGGTGGGTTTTGGCTGGCTTCTTTACTGCAACCCGTTTTATCAGCAAGGTCTTTATGACCTGTATCTTGTGCCGACATACTGTCTCATCCTGTGACTAAGAATGCCTTACCTCCTGGGAATGTAGCCCAGTAGGTCTCAGCCCTATTTTACCCAGACCCTGTTCAAGATGGAGTTGCTCTGGTTCAAACACCTCTGACATTTCCCTCCTCCCTTTTATCTGAGAACCTTTATTCCTAAGGGTTGTAGAGGGATGAAGATCCATCTTCTGTAACTTCTTCAGGCTGAATAGGGGTGATGATATTACTGCCTAATTATGAGAGTCTTTTGAATTCAGGACAGAGAGGAGCTCAGTCAGAAAGCGTCAGTTTGGTGAGGGTCATACACAACTCTGAGTTCTGACAAAACATGTTATCTGGAAGATTAATAAGTGTTCAGTTTAAGAAAACATTGAGTAAGCTTATCCTGCACTCCTGCACCAAGAATACAACACCAGTGTATTCCACAACAGTAAAGCAAAATAAGTAAAATTATCCCAAGGTAAACTAAGTAAGAAGGCTTTCCTTGAACTGGGCAACTGTTAGAACCAGGCTGATACGGGGTCACTATCTGATTTCAATATGTGCCCAGAACTAGAATATTGATCCAGATTTTTACATTACCCATCCCTCTTGCTTCTTCTAAATAGCAGTCAGGGATCACTGATTGGTTCACAGGAATAAGAAAAGTGAGTCTAAATTGCAGAAAAAAACTTTAAAACAACGAATGAAACTAGAATCTAATAACAGGTGCACCATAGTTTTTGCAACATCATATTTTTTTCTCTCTCCAGTCTCCCATTTTTACTAAAGACAAATCATGGTAAGACTGGTTTGTTTTATTATACTTGGCCTGATCATTTGTATAAAGTGCAGCAAGAATAATTATTTTTCACATACGCTCTTTATATTTTTATTTTTATTTTATGTTTTAATAGAGGCAGTCTCCCAATGTTGCCCAGTCTGGTCTCGAACTCCTGGGCTCAAGCAGTCCTCCTGCCTCAGCCTCCCAAAGTGCTGGGACTGCAGGCATGAGCCACCACGCCCAGCCTCACATAAGCTCTTTTAAAACTGGCTTTGATGGGCCGGGCATGGTGGCTCACGCCTGTAATCCCAGCACTTTGGGAGGCTGAGGTGGGCGGATCACCTGAGGTCAGGAGTTCAAGACCAGCCAGGCCAACATGTTGAAACCCCATCTCTACTAAAAGAAAAAAAAAATTATATATATATATATACACACACACACACACACACACACACACACAGACACACACACACACATATATACACATATATATGTGTGTATATATATATATGTGTGTGTGTGTATATATATATATATATATATATAAGATTAGCCGAGCGTAGTGGTGGGTGCCTGTAATCCCAGCTACTCGGGAGGCTGAGGCAAGAGAATCGCTTGAACCCAGGAGGCGGAGGTTGCAGTGAGCCAAGATCACCCTCCTGCACTCCAGCCTGGGCAGCAAGAGCAAAACTCGGTCTCGAAAATAAATAAATAAATAAATAAATAAATAAATAAATAAATAAATAAATGAAAATAAAAAATAAAAATAAATGGCTTTCATGGAGCTCTGTTCCATAGAAGGAATCTCAGATAAGACCTTTTTAAAGCTGAGTCCAGCCTGGGGTGGGTGCCGTCAAATACCTCTGAGTTGGGTAAAATCCTCTCCTCTTGAGGTCCCAAGATAACTTGGGGCTCCTGGGCCTGTCAGATAATGACATTCTTTACTTACCACAGGTCAGTAACCCTGCACAGGGACTGTGTAGACAAGTTATGAGGCTAGTTTTCCCAAGGGGTTTTTATTGGCTCTATAAGTCAAGTTTGATCCCTTAAAGGAAAGAACACCATTCCAGTCAAAGCCTTGGTAAAATAACCAGTTTCTCCAATTGTGTCTTGTTGCAAAAGAAAACAGATTCTTATTGCACTTATGCAAATAACTATATTGCTATAAGTTAAGAATATTCACAAGCAGTTTCCAAATTCTAGAGAAATTAGGTAGAGAGAAACAAATATGCTCTGAATTTTGTTCACAGAAGTATACTTTACTGAATTGTTAAAAGCTGTCAATAGCCCAGAAGAAAAGTTTTCCTGACTCCAAAGTCTGCCAGTCAGTGCTGCCGTCTATTTCCTTTGGGTCAGGGGGTTTCCTCAGTATTGTCCCTTCAGGGTTCACCGGAAAGATGTTACTGGAATGGGGTCCCAGTGCAGACTCCAAAAGAGGGTTCTTGGAGCTCGTGCAAGAAAGAATTCGAGGTGAATCCATAGAGTAAAGTGAGAGCAAGTTTATTAAGAAAGTAAATAAAAGAATAGCTACTCTACGGGCAGAGCAGCCTATCTTTTCCTTTTATTTCTCTGTTTCATGACCCCATCAATTTTTTTGCTAATGTATTTCATTCTCCAAGGAAACACCTATTCCAATGCCATGGCATCTTGTTCCAAACCGCAAAACCAGATGAAGGGCTTCCCAATATGTTTTACAAAATAGCAAACTCATCCAAATAGAACAGAACACAAAGACATTATACACTGAGTTCCCTTCCACCCACCGTGCCTTTCACTAGTGAGAACGCTGACTGCTCTCTTTAGAGTGAAGAATGGGCCTCATGTCACACAGGGTGGGGAAGCTGCTGGATGTAGCCCTGGAACGTGCACTAGTCCACCCCACCCTCCACTGGCCCTGGCTGCATCGCCTGCTGAAACTCTCTCTTCCTCATAGCATGCAGGATCACTTCTGGGCACCTGCCAGTACTCCAGGTAATTTTCCTGCACCCAATCCCGGGTGAGCAGCTTCCTGGGCTCCCCATAGATGAAGTGCTCCCTCCCAGCATACACCTCTATCACATTCAGGGCTTCCCACATAACCTCCTCTGGGGCGCAGTTGCCCTCCGTGAAGATCACACACAGGACAATTATTAGGAGGCCCGTCTTGGGCTTGCTCGGGTCATCAACCAGCATGCCATCATAGGAGAGGCCCAGAGAGGTGACAAGGACATAGGAATGGCCGGTGGGGACCACTTCCTTCACGTCGATGCCAAAGATCAGCTGCATGTACTCGGAGGATTCCTTGAAAATGAAAGCGAAGTAGTCTTCGTGATTTTTGATGACACTATCCACCATTTCTGCCTTTGTGACTGACTCCTTAATTCGAAACTTGTGGAGCAGGACACTAACTAAATCAGACACCTTGTCAGAGTGCCTCTCGGAGGAAGGACTCCATGACACTTGGGATGGGCAAGGTGATTGGCTCCTCCTTTTCTTGGCTGCTGGAGCCCTCATCGGATTGGTTCCATAGAGTGTTATCGATGGTAGTGGGGGAGGAGGAGGCTCCCTGCATACTCTGGGGAGGACTCAGTGCCTCAGCAGCACACAACTCCTCCAGGGTGCCCATGATCAGACTAGAGGAGGAAGAGGCAGCCTCCTCCTCCTCAGGCACAGGACCCTGCCCACCCACCAGGCCAGGGACCTCTCCTTGGGCCTCAAGGCCTTCCTCAGGCATGTAGTGCTGACTCCTCTGTCCAAGAGGCATGATGACTCTGGTCAAGGCAGCAAGCGGGAGTGTGGGCAGGAGCTGGGTAATGGGGATGCACAGGCCTGGGGAGAGAGGGAGCGTGTGAGAGGCCTCAGCTAAGAACCAGACTTTGGAGGAGGCTCTAACAAAGGCCTACTTACGGATCTTCTCCTTCAGTGCTCCTCTGGGGCCTCCTGGGGCTCCTGTCCTCCTGGTCAGCCTGTCCCCTGAGAATCTGAAGAAAGAAGTGACACAGCTTCTCAGGTTACAGCCAGCCAGCAGAGGCCAAGGCCCCAAGGCTGAGGGTAGGGCAGGTGGGGCTGGGCGCTCTGGGGTCCCATCCATTATGGGTGGGTGGGACCCTTGGTATACATTCAGGGTGAACACCTCACCTTGACTGCTGGCACTGCCTGGGTCTCCTCTGCTCTGTGGCTTGAGGACACTGACTCAGACTAAAGCCTCACCTCCAAGTTCCTGGAGCTCCTGGAAGAGGGATCAAGGGGCCCTCAGGGTGCAGGCTGCAAGCACAGCCTCAGTCCCCCGAGTGCTGTCAGGAGGGTGGGCTGGACTCTGTCAGTTCCCTCACTCTTTTGCATAGATGGCCCCTTCTATGCTCACTCAGGACCTTCACGTTTCTCCTAGCAGGGCCTGAATCCTGCCCCTTTGCTGGCCTGAGAAACTCTCAGATCAAGAGCTCATATCCCTGATATGGAACAGAAGGACATGAGGGGACCCACATCTGGCCACACCTGCTCAGGGCTTCCAGGCAAGGACAGTAAGAGGTGGCCATATTCAGCTGGGTCCATGTGTCCTGAGATGAGGAACCTGCTTGGTCCACATCTTGATGCCTGCAGATCCTGGGACTCTCCCTGTTTACCTGAGGCCACCACCTTAAATCAAATCCCTATCTCCAAGAGACACCAGTAAAGGAAGTGAGGGGATTCCATCCACCCACTGTTCCCTGCAGTTTCCCATGCCTGACAGAAAAGGCAGGGCAGGGCTGGGTCATGTGCATTCGCCGTGTGGGGTCCACTTAGTCCTCACCTTGACTCCTGGCTGAGCCTGGGACCCTCCCTCTGACCTAAATGCAGCCCCTCCAACCAAGGCCTCCCCCTCCCTGAGACCACTGATCCTGGTATAAGAGAGGGGGCCTCAACTGACAGCTCTGGCCATGCTCTCTGCGGAAACAGCAGGGGCAAGGCAGATTTCTGTGGGGCCTCCATCTGCCTTCTGGTCCAGCGGTACCCTTAATCCTCCCTCAGGTTCCTCACCTGGGGTCTTAGCAGATCCTGGGTCCGCTCTGTCTGTTAATCAGATGGGGGTCCCTGTGTTGGCCTGAGTAACCCACTGAGAACTAGGTCCTCACCTCCCTGAGATCCCAAAGCCGACATGAGGAGGACTCACATCCCGTCACCCCTCCATGGGGTGTCCAGGGCTGACACCAGGGGCTGCCCCCTTCTGTTCTGGGGTGGAAGTTCCAAAGTTCTCCTGTGGGTTATTCATCTTTACTCCTGCCGGGACCTGCCGTTCCTCAACCCTCAGCCCCCTGAGATGAGCAGACATCTCCCCTTTACACCAAGACCACATCTCCCTGAGGGTTCTCCAACTTCCTGCCCGTGGCACAAGTGAGATTGCCACTTAGGGCCACCCTGGATCAGGTCCCCCCAGAGCTAAGAACAAGGACAGCAGACTCTGCGGGGTCTCTTCTTTCTGGGCTGGGGGTACCTCCAGTCCTCATGAAAGGTGCACACCGTGGGTCCTGCAGATGCTGGGACTCCTCCCTCTGCTGACCAGGTGTGGCTCCCTCTACTGGCCTGTCAGTGTCACTGGGACCAAGGTCCTCACCTCCCTGAGACCTCCCACCTCCAACCACATGGCAGAAATGAGAGCATGCCACATGCCATCCCTGCCTGTGGCCTCCCAGGGCTGAGAACAGGGGAAGCTGGGCGGCTCTGCAAGTTCCCTTCTTCTTTATGATGTGGAGGTAACTTCTTACCTTCAGTCCTTACCAAACTTCCTCCCCTTCACTCCTGGAAGACCCTGGACTCTATCCGGTGCTGACCAGGTGTGGCTACCTCTGCTGAGCGGAGGACGCCCCTCAGACCAAGGCCCCCACCTCACTGAGACCCGGGAGGTAGAGGTGAGGGGGCACCACACGGTCACCCCTGCGTGGGATTCCCAAAGCTGACAGAAGGTGCAAGTTTCAGGGGGCCCTCCGCTGTCTGGGTGTCTTCCAGGTGTTCAGATTGAGTCCCGACAGGGCCCGGCTCTTTCCCTCCTGCTGAACTGTATGCCAAGGCCACCATGTCCCTGATACCCTCAGGGAGAAAGTGGTGGGACAGCATCCCTTCCCCACAGTCCTGCCCAGGCCTCCCAGGACTGACAGTAGGGGCAGGTTTCCTAAGTCTGGGAAGAAAGGTCTTCTGAGTCATCCTTCAGAGCTCTGGGACTCCTCTCTCTGCTGACCTGAGGCCCCACTCCCCAGACCACAGTCCTCTCCTCCCTGACACCCCAAAGGCACAGCGAGTCCAGGCCACATGTGGCCACTGTGCCTGGGACCTCCCAGGGTCGAGGTCCCCACTGATCTGGACTCCAAGTTCCCGTCAGTCCTCCCTCTTCTTCCTGCCCTTGACTCCCGGCAGGCTTGGGCCCCACCCCAGCCTGCTGACCTGAGTCTTCATCCCTCAGATTCCCAAGGCCAAATGAGGAGGCACCTCAGTCTCAAACAGGGGGTGGGTGGGCCCCCTGTCCTGGGGTCCTGGGTGCCCTCGGGCCTCTCTCAGGCCTCCCTTGTCTCCCAGCAGGGCCTGGGCCCTCCCTCTGCTCCCCGCAATCCGTGCTCATGATATGAAGCCCCTTCCCTCCGTCAGCCCTGGATGCCCATGCCAGGATCCACATGCCTGGCCACCATGCCTGGAAATTCCCAGGGCTGACAGCAAGGACAGAGCCCCGCTCTGTGGAGCCCTCAACCCTCTCTGAGGGTCCTGAACGTGATGGCTGGCAGAGCCTGGCTGCTGCCCTCTCCTAGGCAGCCCTGCCCTGATCACACCAACCTCTGACTCCAGAGTCCCCTGAGGCTTAAGTGGCAGAGAGTTGGGGGCGGCCCAGCCTGAGAAGTCCGCCCCCGGGTGGTCCTGGGTTGGCAGCAGGGGTGGTGCTGGATTTTTTAGGGTCCTCTATCTTGGGTTGCAACGGGGTGTCCCTAGTCCTCCCTCAACGCCTCACCTTTCCTTCACACACAGCCCGGGCCCGCTTTCCTCCGCCGATCTTAAGCCACCCCTCAAAACCAGGCCCTCGCTTCCCTCTGATCCCTGAGGCGCAAATCAGTGGCATCACATCCGGGCACCCGGGGCTTCCCTGCGTTGACAGCAGGGGCAAAACCTGATTCTGTCGGGGTGGGGGTGGGGATGGGAATGGGAATGGAGGAGGGGTGGGGGCGAGGATGGGGGTGAAGATGGGGATGGGGATGGGGATCCTGAGGCTGTAGGTCGTGGCGGTGACGGTGGGCTTGGGGGTGAGGGAGGCCCTCAGTCGTTCCTCAGGGTCCTCACCTTGAAACCTGGCAGAACCTGGGCCCTGCCCTCTCCTAACCACCCCTGCCTTGGTCACACCAAGCTCTGACTCCAGAGTCCCCTGTGGCATAAGCGGCGGGGGTTGGCAGGGCGCCGGGGGGTGGCCCAGACTGAGAAGTACTCCCCTAGGTGGTCCAGGGCTGGCAGCAGGGGTGACGCTGAATTATTTGGGGTCCTCTATCTGGGGTGGAGGCGTCCTCAGTCCTCCCTCAGCCTCTCACCTTGTCTTCTCACAGAGCCTGGGTCCACTTCCCTCTGCCAATCTCAAGCCGCCCCTCAGACCGAGACCCTCGCTTCTCTGACCCCCTAGCCGTCACATCCGGCCACCAAGCCTGGGGCTTCCTTGGGTTGACTGCTGGTGTCATAGCGGATTCTGCTATGAGTGGGGGTGGAAATGGGGGTGGGGGTGGGGGGTCGAGGTCGAGGGGGTGGGCACTCTCAGTCATCCTCAAGGTCCTGACCTTGATGCCTGGCAGAGCCTGGATCCCATCCTGTGTGGATGGTGTCTGCTCCCCTCAGACCAAAGCACTGACTCCGAGTCCCCTGAGGTGGCAGTGGAGGGAGGGATATGGTCGGGGCGACAACATTGTCAGGGTCTTCCAGGGCTGACAGGAGGGGCTGAACTGGATTCTGTGGTCCCTCTATGTGGGGTGAGTGGACCCTCAATCCTTACTCAGGAGGGTTCTCCTCTTGGCTCCTGGCTCTTTGATGAAGTGATGGGTGGGGGATGCTCTGTTTCTGTCACCTCTGAGTATTCGCCCAGCTGTACCCCTTGCAGAGAATGGCTGCGGGTCCCAGGCCAGGTGCTCCCTGGGGAGCTGCAGTGCCTGCGATTGTAGTGGCCTCTGGGAGAAGACACACACCTTCCCACGGGGGCTCCTCCCCAGCCAGAAGTCGACTTGTCAAACCTTTTGTCCTAAAGCATTTATTTTTACACTGAAGAGGCTGAGCAGCAGCAAGAGAATTGAGGAGTCCTGCATTTGGAATTTTTGTGACATTTAATTGTACTGTTTAGTGACGTGCATATTTTAATCCGCATTCACACAGTAAGAAATAAATTTTACATTTCTGCTAATTGTATGTGTACATTATATGTCATATATGTAGACTATGCTTATGTTTAGATACATAAACATGTATGTATATAAGTTTGTTATATATGAATAATTTTATGTATTCACACTATATATCTTTACAGATATATATGTACATATATTACATATACTTATTTCATTAAACAATATCTACTCATACTATGTATGATTCACTCATGCTATTCCATTTCTAGTTCATTCTTTATATTCTATTTAAATTACATTTTTGGAAGGCCAGGCCTCACCTACTAAGTTGGTGTCAAGTGGGTATTAACAGAACTCTGGAGCCATCATGTCTCAATCACACCAAGATTCCTGGTGTCCTGATATTACCCCAGGGCTACTGGCATCACATTGTGAGATGCTGCCTCATATTAGGCAATAATATGGGGTGGGAGTTTAAAATAATTTTTCCTTCTACCCATTCTGTAGTGTGCTGTCAGCGCAGGCTACAGACCTCCCCAACTTCTCTGCCACTACCCCATGCCCCAAACACAAGTAGCAGTTCAATGCAGTCTTAGTCTCCCCAGGGATTTCTCTGTTTTGTGGTTTAGATTTTATTGCTAATCCTTTTTTTTTCTTTTTCCATTCTATACTTTTCCAGAATTGATTTTGGGAACAGAACACAGCAGCCTGAACTTGATTGTTATTTTGGCAGCTACAGGTAAGGCACTAGCTCTGTATATAATTTAAGCAGAATTGACATCCTTGCAGTATTCTGTTTTCCATCAATGAATTTATGACACTCCTCCATTTATTTGGAAAATTTTTTCCAGAATCTATCAGTAAACTTATACAGTTGCCTCCGTGAAGATCTTATATATTTTTGTGAGGCTTCTGTTTAATTTTGGATTTTATTGCTTTTTTGAATGCTATATTTTCTGTTTCATATGTTCTAAGTTGCTTTTGTGTGGCAAGCCTCTTGATTTTGCTGTAGTGAACTACTATTTGCTGGTTTCTGAAGCCTCTTATTTATTTGAATATTCCATGTGTCTTTTCCTTTGAATTTTCTTGATAGATAATCATATTCTCAACAAATATTATCTTTCTTTTCAATCTTCATACCTCTTTTTCATTTTGATATCCATAGCTCTGACTCTTTTGCATTTTTGCTACCCACTGCAGCTATGGACAGTAGCCATGACAGCATATGTCAACGACTTGTGTCTGACATGAATGTGAATGCTTCTTCTAAAAGTTCATATTTAAATATGGTTGCTGCCAATTTTAGGAAAGGGAAGTTCCTTTTCATCTTAGTTTGCTGAAAGTTGTCAATTTGAAATCACATAGTATTTCTTTCAGAGGCTTTTTCTGTACTCATCGAAATGACCAAATGTTTTTTCTACTCTATCTTGTATGTACAGAATTACAATTGAATTGTTTCTAATGTGAAATAATTCTTTTGGCTTGAAGGCAGAACAAGAAGGCCAAACAGAAGCCTCCACCAATTGTCCTCCCTGCAGGAAGATCAAATTGAACAACTATCCACACAAAGAAGCACTTTAATGAGAATGAAAAATCAGGTGAATGATCATAGTACCTGGTTCTAACTTCATACCACTGAAAGGGGCACTGAAGATGGTAGGAGAGACAGTCTTGAATTGCTAACACCATCCCTGCCCCATCTCCCAGTAGTTGCTGTGTGGCACGGAAAGAGAATCTGTGTGTTTAAGGGAGAGAGAGGGCAGTGATTGTGGGACTTTGCGTTGGAACTCACTACTGCCCTGTTACAGCAGAAAGCAACACCAGGCATAACTCAGCCGGTACCCACAGAGGGAGCATTTAGACCAGCCCTAACCAGTGGTCAGAACCTGAGTTCCACAAGCCTCACCACTGTGGACTAAAGTGGTCCGTGGTGCTAAATGAAAGGCAGTCTAGGCCACAAGGATTACAATTCTTGGGCAAGTCCTGGTGCTGGGCTAAGCTCAGAGCCAGTGGACTTAGGGGGCATGCACCCTAGTGAGATACCAACTGGGGTGGCCAAGCGGGTGCTCGTACCACCCCTCCCTCAACTGCAGGTAGTACAGCTTGCAGCTTGCCTGTAGTCTCAGCTACTCGGGATGCTGAGGCAGGAGAATGGCGTCAACCTGGGAGGCGGAGCTTGCAGTGAGCCGAGATCGTGCGACTGCACTCCAGCCTGAGCAACAGAGCGAGACTCCATCTCAAAAAAATAAAATAAAAAATAAAAATAAATAAATAAAGTAGTTGATCCATGGGTAGATATATACATACATACAAATACGTATATGTGTGTGTATGTATATATATGCACAGTAGAACCAGAACTGTTAACCCCCATCCTTGTGGGAAACAGACTTATCAACTAGACTGCAGTGCTTTTCACTATAGTGCTTCTTTCACTTAACGCTAAGCTCATGTGTTTCTGTTGCTTGATAGCTCATTTCTTTTTTTCACGAATAATGTTCTATTATTGTTGGACCACAGTTTGTTTATCCGTTCACCTACTGAAGAACATCCTGGTTGTTTCCAGTTTTTAGTAATTATGAAATAAGTTGCCATACACCCTTGTATGCAAGTTTTTTGTGTGGAAGCAAGTTTGCAAACTAGTTGGATGCATACCTAGGAATAGCAAGACTTGTGTTCAGCTTTGTTGAAAACAAACAAACAAACAAAAAACTGACAAACCATCTTTGAAAGTGGCTGTACCAGTTTGCATTCCCAGAAGCAATGAGTAAGAGTGTCTGTTGCTCCTTAGTGTTGCCAGCAAGTGGTATTGTTAGACATTCTAATAGCTGTGTATCTCATTGTTATTTAATTCACAATTCACTAACGAAGAATGATGTTGATGGTCTTGTCTTATGCTTATTTCCCATCTGTATATCTTCTTTGGCGATGTGTCTGTTCAGAGTTTCTGCCCATTGATTGAGTTTTTATAAATTTGTTTTCTTATTGTTCAGTTGTAAGCCTCCTTTGTAGATTTTGGATACAGATCTTCTATCCGATATATGTTTTGCAAACACTTGGTCATAGTCTGTGGCTTCTCTTTTCTTTTTCCTAACAATGTCTTTCAAAGAGCTTTCGAGGTTTCTTTTTTATTTTTAGAAAGTCTAACTTATCAATTTTGCCTTTCATAGACCACCCTTTTGATGTTGTATCTAAAAAATTTATCACCAAAACCCAGGTCATGTAGATCTTCCCCTATTTTCTTCAAGAAGTTTTATAATATTGCATTTTAAATTTGAGTCTATAATATACTTTGAGGTTATTTTTTGTGAAAGATATAAAGTTTTATCTAGGTTCATTTCTTTGCATATTGAGATCCATTTGTTCAGGTGCCCTTTGTTGAAAAGACTATCATTTCTCTATAGGATTATCTTTGCATCTTTGTCAAAAAATCAGTAAACTATATTTTTATGGATCTATTTCTATTTTGTTCCATTGATGTGTGTCCATTCTTTTGGCAATATCATACTTTGTAGATTGCTGTACCTTTACAGAACAAGTGGTGTACCGAAGCTGACATCAACCATGAGAAATCATATTTCTAATAGGTTCCTTTTACATGATGTGAAGAGAATGGCATTTTACCTCTGAGATCTTCCCCCTGGAAGTTCATACTCTCATTCTAATCATGACAGACGTATAAGACAAATCCCAGTAGAAGGGCTTTATGCACAATAGCTGACCAATGCTACTCGAAACTGTGAAGATCAAAGTCATCAAACGTAGGGAAAGTCTAAGACCTGCCACAGCTAAGAGGAGCCTATGGAGACATGACGAGTAAATGTGAAACGATGGTCCTACATGAAACTCTGGAACAGAAAAAAAAATGCATTAGGTAAAAACAAAGGAAATCTGAATAAAGTATGTGCTCTGGTTAATAGCAATGTGTTAATATAGGTTCAATAGTTGTAACAAATGTACCATACTAATGGAAAATGTTAATAATAGAGGAAACGGTGTAGAGCATAAGGCACTCAATACTAGGTTTTCTATTTTTCTCTAAGTCTAAAGCTACAGGTTGATTAACAATGAAAAACTGTTAGCAAACTACTTAAAGAGTATTTACCAAAAAACTACAGCAAACATCAAAAAGTTGAAAGTTACTTTTACTTTGAAATTGTAAAAGACAATGATTCTTGCTATCACCATTTCTATTCAATACTGTAATAGAGGTACTAGCCAGTGCAGTAATGCTAAGCAGATGAAATCAAAGGGCTAGAGATAAAAAATAAACAAAATTTGCCTAATTAACAGATGGTTTTTAGATTGTGTATAAAGAAAATTCAAAATAAGAGTAAATTATTCATTTAATAAAATATATATAAAAGTTGCAGGACAAATATCAATTTACAAAAAAATTAAGTTTCTGCAGTAACAGTATGAAAATGAGAATAAACAAAATATACCTTGTAAAATGAATCTAACCAAAGAAAGCCTAAGAACTTCATGGAAATTAAATTAATGAACTAATTAAGGCTTTAAATATAAAATAAATGGATGTGAGTATTCAATATTGTAGACATGTTAATTATTTCCAGAAGTAATGTACAGATGATTGCAATCCCAATTTAAAAATTAAAGTCTTTATGTGTGAATGTGTGTGCTTACATACATGTGTGTGTAAAATATTGCAAGATGACTCTGAAATTTAAATTGACATGTGATATAGTTTCTATATGTGTCCCCACCCAAATCTCATTTTGAATTGTAATCTCCATTGTTGGAGGTGGGGCCTGGTGGGAAGTGATTGGATCATGGGGCTGGATTTCTCATGAATGGTTTAGCGCCACCCCCTTGGTGCTGTTATCGTGATAGTGAGTGAGTTCTCGTGAGATCTGGTTGTTTAAAAGTGTGTGGCATCTCCCCTGCCTCTCTCTTATTCCTGCTCTGGCCATGTGACGTACCTGCTTCCGCTTCACCTTCTGCCATGATTGTTTCATGAGGCCTCCCCAGAAGCTGAGCAGATGCCAGCATCATGTTTCCTGTACAGCCTGCAGAACCGTGAGCCAATTAAGCTTCTTTTCTTTATAAATTATCCAGTCTCAAATATTTCTTTATAGCAATGTGAGAACAGATTAACACAACATGCAATAGGCTAAGCATGGCCAAGACATTCTTGAGATAAAAGAAGATAAAAGGAGTTCCTCCACCAGATAGTAAGAATGACTAGAAAGCTCTAGTGATAAAGAATTTGTAGTATGGGTACAAGGTGTAACAAATAGAACAATGGAGCTGAATAGAGATTCCTGAAACACACCCACTTAATACATGGACTTTTGATTTATATATTTAAAAAGAGCAGGAGAGATAGGGCAATAATAAAACTATAACTTTTAATAAATGACAGTGAAACAACTAAATATCCATGTAGAAAACAAAATGTAACAAGAACCCTCCTTGGAATTACACACAAAAATTAATTCCAGGAGGATTAAAGAACTACTTTTTAAAGGTTTCCTGTAACTTTTTTCAAATATACATAAAATACATGGAATGGTAAAAATGAGCCTTCATATGTTTCTATCATCTAGAGAGCAAGCAGTATGGGTCAAGGAGAGCATCGATAATGCTGGAGGGGAAAGGACTGAAAGAGGCTAGGGACATTGGTCAGTACCAGAAGGGTTGGAGATGATACAAGTCAAGGAGGAAGGGGGAAATGGCAGCTCCTTCTGCCCCTTGTCTCCAACACAGATGACCTTCCCACCCTCAGGGGTCTTCGTTTTCAAAGAGCTAGACCTGGTGGCTAGACAGGAGGAGGCTTAGGAGAAGGCTGCCTGGACCAGTGATTTGTTCATTCCATCTCTCACCACAGCCCCTGCTGATCTCTAGAGCCCTGGAGCTCAGAGAAGTGTGACCTGACAGTATGATTCCTGAGACTTCTGACAAGGCTTGTTGGGCTAACACCCTGACCAGGCCCAGGAGGTCTCTATCAACTTAGAGGCAGTGCCAGGTTGTCCACATGTGATGGGAGTAAAGTGCTACCTCCTCCTCATCTGGGTGAGAGCCATTGGTGGGAAGAGGGGTTTTGGGGCCTTGGCTTCTCTCCTTTTTTGCTCATTGCAAGGTGTCCTCCAGATCCTGTTCCTTGACAGAAAACCCTCGCTGTAGACCCCCACTAGTGGGACTTGGAGTACTTAATGGAGCAAGGAAGGGGGTCTCCCTCCTTCCTGAGATCAGAGGTACTCTAAGTGTGGAGAAGACAGGTATCATGGGATGAGCCTGAACTAATTACATAGTGGCCAGAGGGCCTCCAGGAATGAAGGGCTTTCCCCATCAGCACATGAACTACCACCGGTATGGGCAGGATTTTCCTAACAGTGTTTTTTAGAGAGTAGTTATTAATTTTAATAATGTCTAAGTTATCCATTTTTTCTTTCATGAGTCATGCTTTTGGTGTTGTGTCTAAGAAGTCACAGCTAAACCCAAGTTCACCTTGATTTTCTTCCATGGATGGGGAGCCACCAGTGATGCTGGTTGGAGGGCCTTTCCTCCAGCATGTGAACTACCACTAGTCTGGGGAGTTGGGTCATGGAAGAATCTTAATGAAGACTCTCCACCATCAAAATGGGATTTGGAGCTTCTGGTTGGAAATGCTTCAGGCTGACAAACAGCCTCTGAATGAGAATAGGGTCACCCAAAATGAGCCCCAGGGTGATGGACTAAGAGGGCCTTATAGGAGGAAGGGCGCCATCTTGATCATCTCATCTACCCATGATTAACACCCACCCAGATCAATGCCTGCCCCACCTCTGCTCCATGTACTTTCTTTTAGCTGCCCTCGCTCTTGACAGGGCCCTCAGCAGTATTCGGGAACCCTGAGATTCTAAAAGAGGTTGATTTGTGTTTTTGTGAACGAGTTCACTGAAGGTATGAGTCATCTCCAGATTTACTGTGCCCAGGCCCAACTCAACTGTTGCGGAGTTTGCTTTCTTCCTCAGCTTTGGCTTCAGCGTCTCAGGTGCCGTTAGCCTATCTTGTAGCCAGAATGGGGTATATAACCTCAGAGGTGAAGGTGGAAAATCTTGGGCATTTCTTTTACAATGATTTATCTTTGCCTCCCAGTGTCAGATCCACAAGGCCAACTTTTCTCAGATCTTCACTGCGAGAATATGGTGGGGTTCCTGGAGATAAAGCCTGTAATGTTTGCCCCTTAAGACTGCAGCCCCAGGTAGTTTATCACTTACATTACCCCACACTCAGCTTTCAGAAAGTCATCAAAATCACCATTTAGATGTTCTTACCAGTTTATGGCTCCAGCAGCTTCTGCTACAGGTAAGCAGATCTTACCTGCTCCTCTTTGTGTGAACCAGTCGCTCCACATTTTCAGTCAGTGGTTTGCCCTGCAATCTCAGTTCTCTGATGGGTGTAAGAAAAAGTTTTCAGTTTGTCAAGCATTTTCTTGTAAGAATGGGAGTGCCAACTTACAACTGTATATCCTTTTTACTGGTTGCTTTAGTTATTATATATACCTAGCTTATCTCACTCTACTGTTGTCAACATTTTACCAGTTCAAGTAAAGTGTAGAAACCTCACCTTCCTTCATATCCCTTTACCCTTCTCCATTTATGATGTGATTGTCTTAAGTATTTCTTATACATACATTTAAAGACATATTAGGCCATTCTATAATTTTTGCCTCGACTGTCAAACATAACTTAGAAAACTCAAAGAAGAAAGAAAGTCTATTGTATTTATCTACATTTTGTTTACCATGTTCTTTCTTCCTTCCCAATGTTCCAATTCCCCATTACCCTTTTTATCATTTCCTTTCTGTTTAGGGAACTTCCTCTAGCCATTCTTCTAGGGTAAATCTCCTGGTGACAAAGTCTATTAGTTTTCCTTAATTTGGGAATATCTTGATTTTCCCTTCATTCCTGAAAGATATTTTTGCTATATGTAGGGTTGTGTTGACTGTTCTTTTCTTTCAGCTCTTGAGAGATGTTGTGCTTCTTTCTTCTGGGCTTCATGGTTTCTGTTGCAAACCTCACTGTCATTTGAATTATTTTCCCTCTAAACTGAGATGTCATTTCTCTCTCGCTGCTTTCAAGATTTTTTTTTGTCTCTAATTTTCAGAAGTTTGACTATGACGTATCTTGACTTGGATTTATTCTCCTTGGATTCATTCAGCTTCTCGAATTTATAGGTTTATGAGTGTTGCTAAACTTGGAAAGCATTAAGCCATTATTTCTTTGAGTACCTCTTCAGCCCTATTCTCTTTCTCTTTTCTTTCTGGTATTCTAGTGACATGAATGTTCAATCTTTCGTTATGGTCCCTCAGGTCTCTGAGGCTCTGCTCATTTTTATATTGATGTATTTTTTCCCTGTTGTTCAGACTGAGAAATTTCTATTGTTCTATCTTTCAGTTCACTGATTGTTTCCTCCGTCATCTCCATTCTGCTTTTTAGCCCATCCATTAAGTTTTTCATTTCAGTTATTGCTTTTTTCAGTTCTAAAAACATCAATTGATTTTTCTTTATATGTGCTACTTCTTTGCTGAGATATTCTATTTTTTCCAATTGTTTCAGATGTGTTTATAATTGCATTTTGAAGCATTTTTATAATGGCTGATTTAAAATCTTTGTCAGATAATTCTCAATGTCCATCATCTTGGTGTTGATGTGTACTGACTGAGTTTTTATTCAGTTCAAGATCTTCCTGTTTCTGTTATGTGAATGGTTTTTGATTGAGCTATTGATATTTTGGTTGTTATGTCATATTATTCTGGATCTTATTTAAACCTTGTGTTTTAGCTGGCTTTCTCAGACATCACTCTAGCAAAAGAGATAGGGCACCACTTCATTACTGACATATGGAAATGGAAGATCAAGTTCCTCACTTGGCCTCCATTGACACCCAAGTGGGAGCCCACTCAATACTGCTGGGTTTAGGTGGGAGTTCTGGCCCCATACTAGGGCTCTACTGATACCTCCTTGTTTGGGAGGGGTGAGTGTTTCTCATTACTCTTCCCCATGTGGCCTCTGCTGACACCACAGGTTGTAGGGATGGTCTCATTGTTCCTGGACAGTGGTGAAAGTCCTCACTTTTTATGAGACCTCCTCTGATGACACCCCAGTCAGGAGAGGAAAGGGCGACTTTTATCTTTGAGTGGAAGTGCAAGTTCCCCACATGAGCTATATAAACAACATGCTGTGGGGAGGGAAATGCTTCATTACTACATGCTGGGAATAAAAGCTCAAGCTCTCTACTCAGTCACCTCTGACACCACTCCAGTGCTGGTGAGGGGGTACTTGGAGCCCTTGATATAGCCTAGTGAGGGTGGCAATCCAGGCTCCCCTCTTAGCCTTTGCTGGTGTGGATGTGAGTGGGGCCATAGATTTTTTGTATGTGTTGATATTTGGTGAGAGTAGAGCAGCTAGTGTCTAAAAGTTTTCTGTTTTGCTAGGTTACCCTTTTCCTGATTTTTTGGTTAGAGAGAGAAGGCTTTTGTTGAGGCTTCTCCCCTCAACTCCCTGTACCTGTTGGCTTATTTAGCTCCATTTCTGGGATATATAAGGCATAAAGAAAACACAGGGAACCTCAGCACTTTGGGAGGCCGAAGTGGGCAGATCACGAGGTCAGGAGTTTGAGACCAGCCTGGCCAACATGGTGAAACCCCGTCTCTACTAAAAATACAAAAATTAGCTGGGCGTGGTGGCGTGCGCCTGTAATCCCAGCTACTCGGGAGGCTGAGGCAGAAGAATTGCTCGAACCCTGGAGGGGGAGGTTGCAGTCAGCCAAGATCATGCCACTGCACTCCAACCTGGGTGACAGAGCGAGACTCCGTCTCAAAAAAAAAAAGAAAGAAAGAAAGAAAGAAAAGAAAACACAGGGAACTCACCGCTATGCTATGTTGTTCCTTGGATTCCAAGGTCCCTAGCCAGTCTCCTCTTTTCTCTACCATTCAGACCCATCTTACTGCTTGTTTTGTGTATAACATTCTGGGCATTTAGTTGTGCTTAGCAGGAGAAATAGGAGAGTACTCCATCTTCCCAGAAGTGGAAGTTGAATCCCTACAGATAATTTTAAAACAATAAAATTAATAAAAGCCAATCTTGATTTTTACCACCATACTCCAGTATGTCTATATAATTTCTGTGATAAAATGCTCTTCCCCCAATCTTTTATCCTTATTTTTTCAAAAGTTATTTTTCTCTTCAGGGAATTGTCAACCTAATTATATGGAGAGAGGCTCTTTAAAAGAAAATTTGGGAATAGAGCATTGCAGTGGGATTACACGTGCCACAGTAAATGATGTGTATTCAGAGAGGTAAAGGAAGACAAAGGTTTTAAAAGGAAAAAATGAGGAGACTTACATAATTCCTTTGAAATAATTATCCTTAGGCCAGTCGTGACAGTTCACACCTGTAATCCTAGTACTTTGGGAGGCCGAGGAGGGCAGATGGCCTGAGCTCAGGAGTTCGAGAACAGCCTGGCCAACATGGCAAAATCCCATCTCTACAAAAAATACAAAATATTAGCCAGATGTGGTGGTGCAGGCCTGTGGTCCCAGCTACTTGGAGGCTGAGGCGGGAGGATGGCTTGAGCCCAGGAGGCAGATGTTGTAGTGAGCTGAGATCGTGCCACTGCACTTCAACCTGGGTGACAGAATGAGAATCTGTCTCAAAAAAAAAAAAGAAGAAGGAAATAATTATCATTGACTACAAAGGTCAATAACAAGGGTGATGCCAGGCCAAGGTTGGACAAGCAGTTGCTAGGCGGATGCCCTCACAGAAGTATTTTTTGCACAAGGTGGTAATGGCCTTTGTACAAGGCTGTAGGTTTTGCAGACTCTTTTGTTATCAGGCATTCTTACATGATAACCCTTCCTTCATAACCTTTTGCAGCTGTATTTGTCAGTGGTTTTTTAACATTAGTGACTCCATTTTGATTCTGACAACTTTCACAGAATATAATTTCTAAAAATAGTTTTATTGAGATATACTTGATATATATACTCTGGCCCCAAACCCAGAATACCCACCTCCCTCCCTTCCCACACCACTGCCTCTTCCTTCCTCCCTCCCTCCCCACCATCTGAGAATATACAGACCCACACATCATTTTACAACAGGTTCATTTTATTTTCATCACCCTGTGGGGCGCAAAATGTACTCTAGACCTTGTTGGCTATTTCTCCGGCGGGGGGTGTGGGGGGCGGGTCAGACCTTTGGGGACTTCTCAGATAGATTTGAGGTCTCTTGCCTTGCCCTGAAATTACAGGCTGCGCAGGGAAATGCTGGAGATGGTGGAGGTAGGTCTTCTGGCTTACTTGGTCCTGCTGTGGCTGATTTTTATTGAGTTCCTTATTCAGCTGGTTACAGTGGCTAGATAGTGTTGGCCCACTTCCTTCCTCAGGTTTGCTTGAAGCGGGGGTCTTTTAGGGAGAAGCTTTTTTCCTGGAACTCCCTCACAGGGTTCTTTTTCCCTTTCAGGTTGTCTTGGGAACCTGGAAGGACAGCAGGGAGATCACAGAAGGGAATTGGTTTTGGGGGAGAGGATGGAAGAGGGGTGGGAACAGAAGCTTCATGAGAAGGGGTGCAGGCTGGGGTGGGGGTTAGAGCCAGGACAGGACAGGGTAGGAGTCGGAGCTTGAGTGGGCCACTCACCTTGATAGGGCTTCTGGGCCTGGGTTGAGATGTTGGCAAGGATGTGAATGTAAAATGGTACAGTCACTCTGAAAAGGAGTTTAACAGTTTCTAATAAAACTAAATACGCAATTTGCATATGAACATAAAATTAGGCTATTGGCCATTAATTACGGATAAATAAAAACTGTCCACAATTAGCCAGACATGCAAGATAAGGGTTGCATCAAGGTTGAACACTGAAGACAAATCTCCTTAAGTTTTTATTTGTTGTAATAAATGGCCAATAGCCTAATTTTATGTTCATATGCTAATTGCATATTTAGTTTTATTAGAAACTGTTAAACTCCTTTTCAGAGTGACTGTACCATTTTACATTCACTATCAATATATGAGTGATGCAATTTCTCCACATCCTTGCCAACATTTGGTACCGTGACTATTTTTTATTGTAGCTGTTATGAGAGATTATAGTGATATTTCATTAAGGTTTTGATTTGCATTTCCCAATGGGCAATGATGTTGAACATCTTTTCATGTGCTTTTCTGCCATCTGTGGATTCTCCGCTTTTTTACAGTGTCTAGAGCTTCTAGTACTATGTTGAATAAGAGCGAAAAGATCTGAGAGCAATCATCCTTGCCTAATTTTACGCGGAAAGCATTCAGTCTTTCATCTGTAAGTAATGATGTTATCTGTAGGTTTTTTTTTTTTTGTACATGCTCCTTATCAACTTGCAGTAATTTCTGACTATTACTAATTTGCTGAGAGTTTTTAAATCATAAATGGATGTTGAATTCTGTCCAATTATTGTTTCTGTCTCAAATTTGCCTACTTGTGGTAAGTTGTTGAAATTTTTGGCACAAGCTTGTTCATAATATTCTCTCTCTTTTTTTTTTTTGAGACAGTCTTGCTCCGTCGCCCAGGCTGGAGTGCATGGGCGCGATCTCGGCTCACTGCAACCTCCACCTCCCTGGTTCAAGCAATTCCCCTGCCTCATCCTCCCGAGTGGGATTACAGGCACACGCCACCATGCACGGCTAAATTTTTTGTTATTTTGAGTAGAGACAGGTTTTCACCAAATTGGCCAGACTGGTCCCGAGCTCCTGATCTCAGGCAATCCGCCAGCCTCGGCTTCCCAAGGTGTTGGGATTACAGGCATGAGCTACCGTGCCGGGCCAACATTTTCATTATTTTTTAATGGCTCTAGGATCTGTGGTTATGTTACCTATCTCATTGCTGATATTGGTAATGTGTGTCTTCTCTCATTTTGTTCTGAGCTGTCTGTTTAGAAATTTACTGTTTTTATTTATCTTTTCAAGGAACAAGTTTTTAGTATAATTGCTTTCTTCACGGTTTTTCTGTTTATTACCCTATATTGACTTTAATTTGCTCTTCTTTTTCTAGTTTCATAAGGTTTTCTAATATAAGCACTTAGATGTCCTTCTAAGTACTACTTTAATTGCATGCCACAATTTTTGAGGTATTGCATTTTCTTTTTTTAACTTTTATTTTAAGTTTGAGGTACATGAGCAAGTTTGTTACATAGGTAAAGTTGCGTCATGGTGGTTTGTTGTACAGATTATTTCATCACCCAGATATTAAGCCTAGTACCCAATAGTTGTTTTTTCTGCTCCTCTCCCTCCTCCCACTCTCCAGCCTCTAATAGGCCCCAGGGTGTGTTGTTTCTCTCTAGTGTTCATGTGTTCTCATCATATAGCTCCCACTTATAAATGAGAACATGCAGTATTTGGTTTTCTGTTCCTGTGTTAGTTTGCTAGGATAATGGTCTTCAGCTCCATACATGTCCCTGCAAAGGACATGATCTGCTTCCTTTTATGGTTGCATAATATTCCATGGTGTATATATACCACATTTTCTTTATCCAGTTTCATTTTAATTCAGTTCCAAAAGTTTTTAAATTTCCCTTGAGACAAATTATCTTTGATGTGTGGATTATTTAGAAGTATAATTTTAAATTTCCAAATATTTTTTAATTTCCCAAATATAATTCTGTTGTTGACTTCTAACTTAATTCTGCTACTGAGCAAGAACATACCTTTATTACTTCAATCCTTTTTATTTACTTAGACTTATTTTATGGCCCAGGACATAGGCTATCTTGGTAAATGTTCTATGTGCACCTTTAAAAAATGTGACATGAGTATGTATATTGATGTTGTTGGATGGAATGTTGTGTAGATGTCGATTATGTTACGAACACAGATAATGCTGTTCAAGTCTTCCATATTTTTATTGATGTTTGTGCACTAGTTCTATCGATTATTGAAAGAAAGATATTGACATTTCTAAATACAGTTGTGGATTTGTCTATTTCTCCTATAAATAATTTTTTGCTTCATTTATTTTGAAGTTCTATTATTAGGTGCATACACATTTAGAATTAGTATGTCTTCTGGGTAGATTGGCTCCTTTGTCATTATGAAATATCTATTTTTAATCCCTGATAATATTCCTTGCTCTGAAATCTATTTCATCTGATGTTAGTATAGTTAATTCATGTTCTATCATTTAGCATTCTTTTATTTCTGATTTATCTGTTTCTTCATATTTAAAGTAGGGTTTTATAGAAAAATATAATTGAATCATTCTTTTTATCAAATATGACAATCTTTTCTTTTTAATTGGAGGGTATAACCTAATCAAAGATTATGTAATCTCCCTAGGAATAATCTACATCCAATGACTTGTAAGTGCAAGAGTATAAAGACTGGGCCCCTTTGACTCAATTTAAGACAACTCTGAAGGGACATGTCAGCCACAAGGATCCCCATGGGATAGGATGAAGTCTCCATCATGACTGGGCCACAGGTGAATGCTTTCTCTGCCACTTCTTCCTCCCTACTTCCTTCACTTCCTCACAGATGTTGTTCCTGAAAGTACTTTCCAATAATAAGTTCCTTCATACAGACCTCTTAATCTGACCAAACACAGGCAGTTTTAAAATGGTTAAGCACACACTAGCCCTTTCCCAGAAATTCTACTTCTAAGTATTTTTCTCAAAATAAATGAAGCCATAGGTCTACAGAAATATTTGTATAAGATGCTCATAGGAGGGTAATAACAGCCAAACATGAAAACAACCCAAATGTCTGTTAACAGGTTAACAGGTAGATGGTTTAAAAAATTGTGATATATCCATACAATGGAATCCAGCAATAAGAATGAATAAAATACTGATTCATGCAACACAATGAATGAATCTCAAAAACATTATGTTGAGGGAAAGAATCCTGACACAACAGAGTACATACTATATGATTTTAATTATATGCAAAATTAATTTATAATGATGGCAAACAGAATAGAGGGTGCCTTGGATGAGGAAAGATTAAATATAAAATGAAATGGAGAACTTTCTGAGGTCATGAAAAAGTTCTACATCTTAATTTTGGTGATGGATACATAAGTATTCACATTTGTCAAAACTCATATAACCATGGGCTCAAAATCTATGTCAGTAACTATTGAAAATTAAACCTGAATAAAAAGTTTAAAACTCAAGTGACACTAAACAATATTGTTAATAAATGTATTGCAAGGTAGTACAACAAAAGGAAAAAATAAGATGATTATTACAAAATTCTCCCTTTACCGTGGAGAAACTTGACCACAATTTACATAGGTGAGCTTCTGCATTGCTGATAATGTTCTATATCTAGACTTGTGTAGTGAATATATGAGTGCTGATTTCATAATCACTGCTAAACTGTATGTATTTGCAGGTTTTTTGTATATTTCACACTTAGAAAAATATTTAAATGAATATATTTAACTAAGGATTAGTACACAAAAAATATGTAAGAAACTCATATAACTAACAAGAAGATGACAAATAACCTGCTAGAAAAAAAATGGGAAAAATAAATAAACAGGAGTTTAACAGAAAAAGAAGCACAAATGTATCATAGACATTTTTATTTTATTTATCTTTTGTATAGGGATGGGGTCTCGCTGTGTTGCCCAGATGGGGCCTCAAATTCCTGGCCTCAAGCAGTCCTCCTGTCTCAGCCTCCCAAAGTGCTGGGACTACAGGCATAAACTACCACACCCAGCCAGTAAGTAATAGGCACTTTTAAACAGCTATATTGAGATATAATTTACATCTCATATACGCCATCCATTTAAACTGTATGACTCAATGGTTTTAGTCATGCATTTAATTACCTTTTCTTTTTAGTTGTCCATCACTGCTCATTCTTACTCTCTTCCTCTCTCTCTCTCTCTCTCTCTCTCACACACACACACACACACACACACACACACACACCCCAGAATGTAGAATCCTTGAGGGCAGGGACTTTATCTTCTTCACTTGCTGTGTCCTAATATCTAGAATGGTGCCTCAGAATTGTAGGTCCTTAATAAATGTTTGTTAGTTGACTGGAATGAAGGCAGTGGAGATGGAGAAAACTGAATCGACGTGAGGAATAGGTAGGACCCGGCAATGGATAGGATGTGGGGACTGATGGAGAGGGATGTGTCATGATGACTTCCAGATTTCCGGTTTGGGCCATTCAGCAGTTGTTGATGTCAATAACAGAGCCATAGAACACTGGAGGCAGAACAGATTGGGAGATACAAATGACTGGAAGTAGAATGACATCTTGTAGTGAAAAGAACATGTATATAGAAAGTAGAAAAACTGAGTCATAGTCCTGAATTTCCTGTGTAACTCTGATCAGGCAACTGCCCACTTCTGGACCTGTTTTTCTTTTGTGAGTTGATTGGTTTGGACTGAAAAAACATTCTGGGTTTTTGCATCCAGATCTTGGTAAATAATTTAGGACATGTAGAATCTGTCCACAGAGGTATGTTTCACTGAGTCCATACCCCTCAATTGGCTTATAGCTATTATCACAAATCTGTCTGTGGCATCAAACCTTTGCCCAGAGATCTCTGAAATTTCTAGAGAGTGATGCACCTGGGCTGACAAACAAGTCGCTCATCTACACTTAGCCTGAAACACAAAGTATCCTTTGTCGTTTCTGCTCCCACTGTTCATTTCTAGGTCCAGGGAAGTCAGCTGAGGGCAGTTCCTCACCACTGCCACTGCCAGCAGTTCCCTGCACAGCAATGATGATGAGTTCACCAAAGACGTTTTACTGTGGAAGCTCCTAAAACTACTGGCCCAATCAGAAACCAGACCTTAAGATGCCAAAGGATTGCTCGGGGGCCTTATGTTATAGCATGATGAGATAGTGACTATAAAATGAACGTGCTAAACATATTTGAAGACATAAAACACAGAATTTTTAAAACACAATAAAATAGGCCGGGCACGGTGGCTCATGCCTGTAATCCCAGCACTTTGGGAGGTCGATGTGGGCGGATCACCTGAGGTCGGGAGTTTGAGACCAGTCTGACCAACATGGAGAAACGCCATCTCTACTAAAAATACAAAAATTAGCTGGGCATCATGGCACATGCCTGTAATCCCAGCTACTTGGGAGGCTGAGGCAGGAGAATCGCCTGAACCTGGGAGGCGGAGGTTGCAGTGAGCCAAGATCACGCTATTGCACTCCAGCCTGGGCAACAAGAGTAAAACTCCGTCTAAAAAATAAATAAATAAATAAATAAATAAATAAATAAATAAATAAAATAAGAGAACCTTCTAGGGACTCCCCACTTTCCTTGGAATAAAGTCCAGACCCCTTTCCATGGCCCATGGGGTCCTGCATGGTGGGGACATTGGCCTCCTGTCCAGCCTGGGCTCCTGCCACTCTCCCTGCTTAGCTAAAATCTGAAGCCCAAGGTTCCTTCACCCCCTCAAGCAAAACTCCTTTTTGCTGTGCTGGGGTCCCTGTGGATACTGCCTTTCTGCCCTTGAGCTTCTGTGGCCTGTGAGGCTCACCCTGTCCAGAGGCTCAAGCTTACCAAGCTCCCATGCCCTGTGATGATTCTATTGCGAGATTGTGGGGCAATTCCCTATCTGGCTTTGCTTCCCCACGTGGTTGGCTAAGAAGCCACTATGTCTGCGTGGGTCTCAGGCCAGCCTGTAGGACATGAGGAGCTGGAAAGCAGAAGGCTGGCAGGGCTGAGAGCTGAGAGCTGTTGGCAGATCCCCCAGGGCCTGCAGTGCAGCGTCTTGTAGCAGGCATCTTTCTCCAATAGCCCAGAAGGCAGTGTGGGAGTAGGGGTCATTTGTCCCAAATACTAGCTCACTGGTCCTCAGGTTGCAGAACCAAGCAGGGAGGCTATTGGTTCCCTGCTAGGCCACTGCTAGGATTCATGGGCAGCTTCTTTCCTGACAAGGCATTTTCAAGGCTGCTGCTCCTTTCCTCACCTCTTTTTACTTTTAATTGTGGTAAAATACACATCATATAAAATGTACCATCTTCATGATTTTTAAGTGTACAGTTCAGTGGTACATTAAGCACATTCACAGTGTTGTGCAACCATCACCACCATCCATCCACAGACTTGTCAAACTAAACCTCTGTCCCCATTAAACACTAACTCCCCATTCTCCCTCCCCCTACCCCCGGCACTGACCATTCTACTGTCTGTCACTATGGATTTGACCATTCTAGGGACCTTGTATCAGTGGAATCCTACACTAATTGTCCTTTTGTGAGTGGCTTACTTCACTGAGCGTAATGCTCTCTAGGGTCATCCATGCGTAGCATGTGTCAGAATGTCGTTCCTTTTTAAGACTGAATAATAGTCCATTGTATGGATGGACCACATTTGGCTTATCTATTCATCCATTGATGGAAATTTGTCTTGATCCACCAGCTGGATATTATGAATAATGCTGCTGTGAACATGAGTACACAAATATCTCTTCGATCTGCTTTCAGTTCTTTTGGATACATACCCAGAAACGAGATTGCTAGATCATATGGTAATTCTGTGTTGAATATTTCAAGGAACATCCATTCTATCTTCCACCATTTTACATTCCCACATATGGTGTATAAGGGTGCACAAGGGTTCCAATTTCTCCACATCCTCACCAACATTTGTTTTCTGTTTTTGTGATACTAGCCATCCCACTGAGTGTGAGGTGGTATCTCACAATAGTTTTGATTTGCATTTCCCTAACTGGTGATGTTGAACATCTTTTCATATACTTATTGGTCATTTGTATATCTTCTTTGAAGTATCATCTATTCAAGCCTTTTGCCCATTTTTAAATCTCGCTTGTTTCTTGTTGTTGTTTGGTTGTAAAAGTTCTTTATATATTCTTGATAGTAACCCCTTATCAGATGTGTGAATTGCAAATATTTTCTCCCATTCCATTGATTGCCTTTTAATATTGTTGATTGTTCCTTTGATGTGCAGAAGTTTTTAATTTTGATGTAGGCCAGCGTGGTGGGTCATGCCTATAATCCCAGCACTTTGGGAGGCCAAGCAAGGGAATCACTTCAGCCCAGGAGTTCAAGACCAGCCTGGACAACGTAGGGAGACCCTGTTTTTATTTTTAAAAGAATTTTTAAAAAGTTTTAGCCAGGAGTGTTGGCGCGTGCCAGTAGTCCCAACTACCCAGGAGGCTGAGGCAAGAGTACCACTTGAGCCTAGGAGTTCGAGGCTGCAGTAAGCCATGATTGCACCACTGCACTCCAGCCTACACAACAGAGTGAGATCCCGTTTCCAAAAAAAAAAAAAAAAAAAAAAAAAAAAAAAAAAGAAGTAGTCTCATTTGTCTATTTGTTCTTTTGTTGCCTGTATTTTTGTCATTGTATCCAAGAAAGCATTGCCACATCCAATGTCATGAAGCTTCTCCCCTCTGTTTTCTTCAGTTTACAGTTTTGGCACTTGTGTTTAGGTCTTTCATCCATTTGAGTTAATTTTAGTATATGATGTAAAGTGAGGGTCCAATTTCATTATTTTGCATGTGGATAACAAGTTGTCCCAACATCATTTGTTGAGATTCTCCTCAGCTCTTAAAGGAAGAGAGGACAAGGAGCATGGTGACTGAGGGTGACAAGACCTCCCTTTCTCTTGCTGAGCCACTCACTTGATCAAGGACCCTGAGCATGAATTTATTTATTCATTCACGCATTGGGCAATATCCAAACCCAGAGTTCACAACCTCCATAAAATTTAGGGAGTCCATGCAATTAGATCGTGAAAGAATACTTTTTTTTTAAATTTTTACTAACCTCTAGTTGAAATTACCATCATGGATAACGAATGCAGGCAATCAACCACAGGAAGATTAGCAGTACTTATAACAGTCACCGAGTGAAATCCCTGATATTTTCATATTACATTAACTGTGGCAGCAGCTCTTCAAATATGCTTTATACTTGTCACTACTTCCAAATTACAACAGTTATTAGACCTTTCCTCAATTCTATTATTTAACACATTAATGAAGATGCACATACATTTTATGGCATCACAATTGTGGCTTAGAAAAATATTTTGATAACTGTCTTTCAATAAAATAGCTTTCTTTGTATTCCTATCAATTTTATTTCATGCCTTCAAAAACATTATTCTGAGAAGGAACACACAGATTTCCCCAGACAACCAAGGAGAAGGTTCCCTGTGCTGGGCACTGAGGACACAGCAGCCCATGATAAAGACCTTGGTCACTGGCTTTGGAAAGATCCCAGCCACTGAGAGTGGGAGGGCACACAGATATATAGATACAACACAGTCTGGGGATTTCTGTCCCACAGGCAGCAGGTACTGTGGGACCCCAACGGACTATACAGTTCCAAATTGACTAGCCACTTCTTGGAGGTTTTTGTGTGAGGAAGGACTGTCTACTCATCAGCCTGGAGGAGTGGTCCTGTCCCTGGTGACCTGTTTACCCCTCTTTGTGCAGGTAATGAGATTCAGAGAAACCAGCTCTGCCCCCCCTGGCAGCAGCAGATCACCTCCCTTCCCCCGTCTTCTGCTGGCACCAGATATATTCAGCTGTGGGAGCAGAGATGCTTGGTGTGTTCTCGGTAGCTATGGAAATCCCAGGGTTTCCCTAGCAACAGCTCCAGATGGGTCTTGTTGCTAGGGAACGCTGGGATTTCCCAGGCTGCCAGATGAGCAAGACAGCTCTAGCCCCAGGGCAGAGGTGCTGGCAGAGATGTGGGTCTGACCCCTAGGGGATGGATGGTCCCCTTTGACTCTGATCCTTTGGGGCACCCAGCCCCATAGCCAAGCGAAAGGATGCTGTGCATTGAATGAGGAGATCTTGAGAGGGGGATGAAGAGGGAGTGCTCTGGGTAAGCAAACTGATTAGAAAAGTCCAAATGAGCCCAACGGATGCCAGGAAGAGGAAGACAGTAGACTTTGGGAAGCTTGCAACCTTCAAGTCCAGCACTTGGCTGTTTCTAAAGCACTTTTCCCAAGATTATCGCACAGTATACACCTGCTCGGTTTCAAGAGAAGGTCCAAGATTAGAACGAAGGCCAGTCTCAGGAGTGTGCAGCCTAAGCAGTCACACAGCGTCCCACACTTAGAAGGGCTCTGCACGCTTGAATTAATGCTCTACTGCCACTGACTTGAAATGCTTAATAATTTTTAAACAAGGGGCCCTGAATTTTTATTTTGCACTAGGCCCCACAAGTTTTATAGCCAGTCCTAGCTAAAACCTTTATTTTATAAGAGAGAAAGCTGACCCGTAGGGAGCAGATGTACTTAGTCTAAGTTCACGTGACTGAAAGTGCACCTCAGGGGCTAATGCATTTGCACTTAGCTGCTTTCAGGCACCAGCAACTAGACTGAAACAGGCCTTCAGTGTGGGAAGGCATTCCTGGGGTTCCCGTGGCAGAAAGGTAGGGGTAGCTGGAATCACAGCTCCCTCACTTGTTCTAAGGATCCAACTCAGAACTGGAGAAATCCAGGCTTTAGGGAGCTCTCAGGCTCGTAGGGAAGCAGACAGCATTAAGAAAATACAATTGGAATAGGAGCTGAGGAGGTGACAGCAGGACAACACCTGTTAGGGGCTATCTGGTGTCCCCCAAAATTCATATATTGAATTCCTAAGCCCTAGTACCTCAGAATGTGACTGTTTAGACATGGGGCCTTTAAATAGGTAATTAAGATAGAATGAGGCCGTTAGGGTGGTCCCTGATCCAATATGACTGGTGTCCATGTTAAAAAAGGAGATTCAGACACAGACTTGTGCAGAGGGAGAACCATGTGCGGACGCAGGGAGAAGTGGGCCATCTACAAGCCAAGGACAGAGGCCTCAGAATGAACCAACCCTGCCCACACCTTGGTCTCCAACTTCCAGCCTCCAGATCTGGGAGACGATGCATTTTTATGGTTTAAGCCTCCCAGTCTGTGATGCTTTGTCATGGTAGCTGGAGCAGACTAGTATAACATCCTTCATTCCTCCCACTCCTGTGAAATAAAGCCTATGACTCTTTCACAGAGAAAGGGCCCAAGACTTTAAGGGGTTAACTATCTTGCTCAGGGTCAAACCAGTAGGCAGCCATGCCAGGACTTGAACGCAGCTTGATCTGTCCCTAAGCCTGTGTTTTCCACTCCACCAGCCTAGGGGGAATTGCACCCCAATTCGCCCAATTCAGAAGGTCTGAATCCCTTTCCTAGGCATGCCCATCCCTCTGCTGCCCTGTGGGCTCAGGGACTTCCTGGCACAGATCTCCCAACCCCAGACTCAAAGCTTCCCTGTGGTTTGCATTCCTGCCCTAGACTAAGAGGACTGCCGTGGCTGGATCCTTTGACAGAAGGACTCTGGAGCCATATCAACATTTACCCTAACCCTAAGGACCAAACAAAAGAGTGAATATGACAAGCCTTTATAAGTGTCACACACCAGAGTTCCAGGTGCATGGGGTTCATGAACACCAGCACTAAGGGAACATTCTTCCTTTACTATTAAAGTAGCTACATCAGGAAATCACAGATTCTGTTGCCTTTATGTGGAGGAGCAATTCAGCTCTCTCTGTGACTCCCTCATTTCAACCCAGAGGCAGCCAGGTATCTTCCTAAACAAAGAGCTATCTACCCAGGGACAACCATGTTACTCGCCTGAAAAGCAAAAGCAACTGCAGATAGTTAAGGAGATTTTTCTTCTTTCTTCTTTTGTTAAAACAATTTTAGGTTAATGGTGCTTTATTGGGGTATAACATACATACAATAAATTACCCAGATATTGTGTCCAACTTAGTGAAAAATTTAACAAATGTACACTCCCATGGAACCATCATTCTTGTTGATATGGCAGTTGTATTTTTAAATAGAAATCCCACCTTCTTTAGCCAGGCGTGGTGACATGTGACAGTAGTTTGAGCTACTCAGGAGGCTGAGGTGGGAGGATTGCTTGAGCCCAGGAGTTTGAGGCTGCAGTGAGCTAAGGTCACGCCACTGCACTCCAGGCTGGGTGACAGAGCAAGACTCCCATCTTTATTTACAAAAAGAGAAAGAAAATCCCATCTCTCTGCTGCGAGGCTTCCGTGCCATGATGAAGAGAACAAGGGCTGGGGAAGCACAGAGAAGAGTACAAATCCAGCATGGAGGAATCCTGAAAGCATCCCCTCGAGTGTGTGACAGACAGGTAAGCTAGATCTTGTAAAGAGTCTGCTGAGAGGAGACAGGGAATAAAGGGACATTGTAGACATAAGGATAAGCAAAGGCTTAGGGGTTTCCAACAGCTTAGGAGAAAGAGTTCAGAGTAAATACAGCAGAAGATGGCTCATGGGGTGCCATCTGGGGTCAGGAACAGATATGATTATATAAAAATGAAACCAAGCTTGCTGTCTGATTTAGAAGCTATTTCTGCTACCAGAACAGTCAGTGCCTGTCTAACGTTCATGTCAGGTTTTATTGCTTGTGGTCAAAGGCTGTCGCACAGTACACGGAGCAAAGAGCAGAAACTGCATGATTTTTCAGAACAACGTCCAGAATAAATATGAATCTCTGCCTTAAATGGGACATTGCAGAGCAAGTTACATAAAGAATTATCAGTCTAATAGATCACAGCACTAGTTGATCAAAATACTTAACATCAGCTTAGCACGGACGTTTAAAGCAGTCAGCATCAAAGAGATACTTAAAGTTGTAAAACCTAAATGCATGTTTCCCCTCATTGTCCCCACGTCATTTTCTCCCTCTTTAAACGCTTGTCTTACTCTATTGCATAGAATTCATCTTTTTAAGCTGTTTTAAATCCTTTCTGGAAAAATGAAAGTATACAATATACACAGATTACCACATACATAGGTGCATGCCTGTCTGTCTCAGAAACGGCCTATCATTTCACATCAATTTTTAATACCACCCCTACCATAAACCAGATTGCCATATGCACATAAGCCTGTTTCAAGACTATTTCTTCTGTTCCAATAGTCCATTTATTCGTTCCTGGTAGTATACCACACTCTTACTTACTGTATTTTCTTTCATCTAAACAATCAAACATTCTCAAGTCTTTCCCATTAAAAAAAGAAAATTCTCCCACTGCCACCCCCACATGGCCACTAGCTACCATGCTAACTCTCTTTCCACCCTTTTACGGTCACATTTCTCAAAACGTCTGCATGTGGCCCTCTGTTTCCTCAGCCACTTTTCAATCCTAAGCCACGGCAATCTTATTTCTACTCCCACCACACCACACAAACTGCTCTTGCTAAGGTCAATGAGCTTATGTTGCTAAATCCAGAGGGCAAACTCCAGCCTTCACTAGCTTCACCCAGGTGACCACTTCCTCTCCCTTTGCTTCTGTGCCCTTCCATCCTCTTGGGTTTCCTGCAGTTGCTTTCCTTATTTTCCATCCCCCTTCTTGGCCTCTCCTCCTCTTCCCACTTCTTAAACACGGAAGCTCCTAGGATTTCGGGGCTGGGTTACATTCTCTTAACAGGCTCACCACAGTTTACCTAGAAGCACTCCCCCTCATCTATGGCTTCCAACATTACCTGCAACATGGACCATGCTGCATGTTCACCAAACACGGTTTCCTTTTCCTGCTTTACATGCAGTTAGACCACATTTCCTGGAATCCCTTTTGATTATGTGCCACTAGCTTCTGACCAATGGGATGTGGGAAGAAGAGATGTTTAACACTTGCAGGTCTGGCCACTCAAACCTCACACGTGATCTTCCATGTTCTCTCTTTTCATTCATCTGCCAGCCCGGTGCCAAAAAAAAAAAAAAATGCCAGTGGAGATCTCTGAGTGCCTAGGGGCCCCTGGAACTACTGGACAAGAGGAAGCTGGATGTCTAATACCCTGAATAAAACAGAGCCCGGCCTCCACCCCAACCCACCCCCACTGACTTTGAACATGAGTGAAAAATAATCCTTTATTGAGTCAGCTCACTGAAATACAGAAATTGTTTGATGAAGCAATTAACCTGGCCCAACTAATACACTATCTCTATGCTAATGACAACCAAATATTTGCATTATGGGCCTGTTCTTCTAATTATGCATCAAATGATTGACAATGCAGCCCAAACTGATGGGACAGATAGTTTTTTTTTAATAGATTACTAGGAAGTCACAGATATTCATGCATACATTCATTCATTCAATAAATGTTTATCGAGTGCCTACAGGCACCAGATACCGTGCTAGAAACTAAGGTTGCAATGATGAGCAAAGATAAAACCAGTCCATTCACTCACAAAGTTTACTGTGAGCCTGATGACAGCTGATTCTCATGTCTCATTATATTCCAGCTGCGAGAAACTTCTGTAGCATTTGCTGCTTCATGCAAGCCCGCTACCCATAAAACTGAGGCTTCCCCTCTCTAGATCCTGGAATCCACTGTTCTCTCCTCTATGAAAGGGTGCAACTGGATATAATAGTATAACACCCCTTTCTCTTAAGTATTTTGTCAGTTTTTTATTGTAGTAAAATATATATAACACAATCTTTTTCAATGTAACAATTTGTTGCTAATTCAGTGGCATTAAATATATTTACAATGTTGTGTAACTTTTACCACTATCTATACCCCAAAATTGTCACTATCAACAAAAACTCCATGCCCATTCAACAGTAACTCCTCTTTCCCCTTCACCTGAGCCTCCAGTGACCTCTATTCTACTTTCTGTCTCTAAAATTGGCCTATTCTAGGTACCTCATATAAGTGGAATCATATAATATTTGTCCTCTGTGTCTGGTTTTTATCAGGAAGCGTAGTTTTTAATAGTACATCCACGTTATAGCATGTATGAGAGTTTCATCCCTTTTCGTGGCTCAATAATATTCCATTGTATGGCTAGACCATATCTTGTTTATCCACTCATCTGTTGGGATGCACTTGGGTTTCTACTTTTGGCTATAATGAATAATGTTGCTATGAACATTGGTGTATAAATATCTTTTCAAGTCCCTGTTTTCAATTCTTTTGCATCTATATCTTGAAGTGTGATTGCTAGGTCATATCATAATTCTATGCTTAACCGTCTGAGGAACTGCCACACTGTTTCCCAAGGTGGCTGCACCATTTTACATTCCCATCAGCAATAAATCCAGGTTCCAGTTATTCCACATACTTGCCAACACTTGTTATTTTCCTTATTTTTTTATTATAGCCGTCCTAGCGTGTCCTAGCATGTGTGAAGCTGTATCTAAGAACAGTTTTAAGTATAAATGTTATATATGAATACAATTTTGTTCTGACAAATTCAAACCCAGAATAGAATTTAAAAATCCACTTCACTGTAGCCACGTCCAACCTCCTTCCCCTCTCCAGAGAAAATCACTGTTAAAAATTTGGTATGCATCTTTCCTGATCTTGTTCTCTGCATTTGTGTTCTTTTTTTTTCATATATGGATTTTTTTTTATGGCAGAATTTTTATATATTTATAAATCAGTTGGGAAAAGGTAAACTATTCAATAAGTGATGCTGGAACAAATGAGTCTCCATATGGGTTCAGAAGGAAAATTTTGCCACCCACCAAAAAATTAAGATGAAATAGACACGAAACATGGAAAACAAAACTATAAAACTTACAGAAGAAAACACAGGAAAATATCTTCATTATACGTGGGCAAACACAGATTTCTTTTTTTTTAAATTTTATTTTTCCATAAGTTATTGGGGTGCAGGTGGTATTTGGTTACATGAGTAAGTTCTTTAGTGGAGATTTGTGAGAACCTGGTGGACCCATCACCCAAGCAGTATACGCTGCACCATATTTGTTGTCTTTTATCCCTTGACCCCCCTCCCACTCATCCCCCCAAGTCCCCAAAGTCCATTGTATCATTCTGCTTTTTGTTTTGTGTTGTTTTGCATTTGTATTCTTATGTGTGCGTGAATGCAAGATTATGCGTAATGGAAACATAGCCATTCTGTCACTGTCAGTTTTCTTCCTTCTTTCCAACTGTTCCACTGTTGTTGTTGTTTTTTTCTGTTAGAGAAGTTCCACTTCGAAAATTTTGCCCTTTAGCTTGTACTGCTGGTTATAACGTGGTCTTTGATTTCCAGGAAGAGTATGCTGTGTTGGCTGAAGTCACTAGCAGAAGAACTTTGGTGTCTGCCTCATGTAGAATGCATTGCCTAGGTCGTCTCAGGCCTGATCTGAGCTGAACTTCTCCTATCACATATGCCAACAACTCTTTATGCTTCTCTCTTTCTCTGAAATTACCTTCTTTTGTCTGGAAAAAAAAGGAATGAGGAAGATTTTTCACCCCTTCAGAGAAAACAACTATCCAACAGGACGAACGTGGGAAACAGCCAGTGTTTGGTGAGAGATCGCCCTCTGCTGCCTGTGTTAATCAGGGTTCTCCAGAGCAGCAGCCAATAGGAAAGATAGATACATTTGTAAGGAGTAACATAATACATATAAATATACATATTTAAACATATATATTTAGATTATAAATATAAATCTATGTCTATATTATATATAAATATATACAAGTTGGTTATAAGGAACTGACTAACACTGTTATGGAGGCTGGCAAGTTTCCAGATCTGCAGGGTGAGTTGGCAAGCTGGAGATCCAGGAGAGCTGATAATGTAGTTCCAGTCAGAGTTCGAAGGCCTGAGACCCAGGAGAGCTGATGACATAGTTCCAGTCCAAAGCCCAGCAGGCTCAAGACTCAAGAGAAGCCGATGCTGCAGTTTGAGTCCAAAGGCAGGAAAAAGCCAATGTCCCAGTTTGAAGGCCTTCAAGCAGGAGGGATTCTCTCTTACTTGGGGGAGAGTTGGCCTTTTTTTTCTATTCAGGCCTTTAACTACCTGGATGAGGCCCACCCACATAATGGGTGGCAATCTTTACCCAGTCTCCTAACTCAAATGCTAATCTCATCCAGAAACACCCTCACAGACACACCGGGAATGACGTCTGACCAAATGTCTGGGCACTCCGTGGCCCAGTCCAGTTGACACATAAAATTAACCATCACACTAGCCATATGGGCCTTTTAGGGAGCCTGAACCCATAGCAGGAAGCTCTGGTGCCTTGAGCAATTGTCCGGATGGGCATTATAGGCAGTTAAAATTCTAAGCAAGAAAGATTAAGAAAAAAACAAAAGCGTGTAGGCCAAACTGGAGAGAAAGAGAGTGCAGTGGCAATGCTATTCGGGTTTCTTTCCTGCTCAGAACCCCGTGATGACTCCTCATCCCCCATAGAACATACCCTTACCTTATGGGGTTTGTGAGGCCTGACTCACTGCCTGCCTCCTGCTGCCACCACACATGCTTCTTCACTGTTCCTCACTTGTGCCAAGCCTGTTGCTGTTTCAGGGCCTTTGCACTTGCTGTTCCATCTGCCTGGGCACTCTTTCCCAGATCCTTACAGGGCTTCATGGCAAGGCCTTCCCTGACCACCCTCCCCAAAATAGCACCCCCTCCATCCATTTCCGCCTCCTTACCCCCCTTTATTTGTTTGAGCTTGTTTCCTGTCTTCTTCACTAAAATGTAAATTCCACGAGGCCAGGGACTTTATTTTTTTTCTCTGCAAGGCCTGGATCGGAATAGGTGCTAAGTATTTGCTGAGTGAGTGGATAAATGAATAAATGAATAAATGCAAAAGATAGAAGGAGGGGACAGATCTAGTGATGGATAAAAAGCACATACGAAATGGTGTGGATCCTAACGAATAATTAATCTGGGGAAAGCTAAAGCTGAAAATGAATTGAGGCTTTAAGAAAATGCTGAAGACAGATAAGTAAAATGCCTTTTAGTCAGTGTAAGGAAGTGTGAGAGCAATTTCTTGGAAGAAAATAAATCCTCTTTTGTTGGCATTTTTCCTTCCAGAAGATTGATCTTCAAGCTAAAGAAAAGTTGGAGGAGAGGGAGGAGAGAGAGCGGGAAATCCAGACAGCTGGTGAAGTTGCTAGATCCCAGAGGCTCCAAGGAGCGATTGATTGCAGGGGATGTCTAGATAGTGACAGAGAAAGCGTCATAGAGATCCCCAGGCCCCAGAGCAGCAAGGAAGCAGCAGCCTCATGCCCTCAGGCATGGCATAAAAATAATGCTAGAGCTGCCTCACTGAAAAAAATCCCGAAGGGCCAGGAAGCAGGCTGAACTCAGCCAATGTCTGTATGGACAGAGGATCTCTAAACCAGCCCCCACCCCCAAACACACACACACACACACACACACACACACACACACACACACACACAGAGCTATGGCACAATGCTATGGGTTTGCATATTTTTCTCCATGCCCCCCAGAATGATGTCCAAATCTAGAGCAGTGGGTGTGAATCTTGGCTCGTGAACTCTTTGAACAAATCTGATGAAAATTGCCACATGTGCATTATTTCAGGGAATTTAAGGAAATTTCAGGAATTCTCCTCCAGGCGATTCATGGACACCTGAAATCCAAGTGCCCCAGGTTAGAAACTCCTGTTCTAAGGGTATATTCCTCAATTGCAGCACTTGGATTAATGATGTAACTCCTTAACCCTAGAGTTGAAGATTGCAGCCAAATTCTTAGTGTATTCATTCAACAAATATGTATTGATTGACTGTCATGTAGCTTATTTAATCCTCACAACTGCCCTTGAAGTAGATTATATTAATACCACCCTCACTCTTGACAGATGAAACAAACGAGGTACTGGGGCTTTGGGTAACTTGCTACAGGTCACTCATTTTGCACTAGTCACTAGTAGGAGCAGAGCCAGTGGTGGAACCCCAGAAATTCAGCTTTAGAGACATTTTACTGCTACCCCACGATGCCTCTTACGAGGTTGGCATCTGTCTTTCAGATAGCCCCGTTCACCCTGAAAACATGTCTCTTAGACTACATATAGTAGGTTAGACATGAAAATCCCACCACCAACGACATCCGGAGGCTCTGTCACCCTGCCTCTGCTTATTCATCGTTCCCATGGTTTGCTGACTCAGTTTTAATCATTGGTTTACCTTCTGGATCTATTTGTATGAGGGATTGCACAAATATTTCCCCACATCCAACATCTCGCAAGGAGATGGACTCACGTGCATGTTCAAGTTCAGTCTCCAAGTTGAGAAGAAAGCTTTCTGGTAGCAATGCTGCACACACCCAGGGGCTCATGGATCTCTCAGGAGAGGCCACATCCAGTGTCCATGAAGTCATGAGTTCTGCAGCATAGATTCCAAGTTCAGCTTTTGTTTCATCAACATTACTGTGTGCACTTCTGGTTGAGACACTTAGGGGAACAGAGAAAGTTCTTCAGTAAAAGAGAGGATGTATGAGCTTCCTGTGGCTTCTGTAACAAAGTACCCATGGACTGAGGAGTTAAACAACACAACTACATGGTCTTGCAGTTCTGGAGGCTGGAAGTCAAAGATCAAGATGTCAGCAGGGTGAGCTCCTTCTGAGGGCTGTGAAGAAAGGATGTGTTCCAGGCCTCTCTCCTTGGCATGAAGATGACTGTCTTTGCCCTGTGTCCCTTCACATCATCTTCCCTCTACACGTGTCTGTGTCTCTGTCCAAATTTCTCCTTTTATAAGGAAATAAATACTGTAAATATATATATATTTTGCACTATAATACTGGAAATATTTATATATTCCTAGTGTTTATTTATATATGTATATTCCCAGTATTCATATATGTATATATTTCCAGTATTTATTTATATATTTATTTGATATAAGGAAATACTGGTTGTATTGGATTAAGGCCTACTGTTGTAAACTCACTCTAACTTGATTACCTCCACAAATACCCTACCCCCAAATAAGTTCACCTTCTGACGTCCTAGCAGTTAAGACACCAACATATGAATTTTAGAGGTCACAATTCAACTCATAACAAGGGATAATGGTCAGGAAGAAAAAGAGCCACAGAATGCTAGACATTTTTAATGAGTTAATAAATCCTTGCTATAGGATCAACAAACTTAGTAAGTTAATAAACCTGATGATGGATGGATGGAGCATTGTACCAGGCACAAAGCCCGGCTATGATGACATCAAAGGCACCCTGCTCTCTTCTGTTGAGAAGTGTTCAAAGTAGTTAGGGAGTCTCAATGAGCCCATGTAGCAGGTAAGCAATCTTGATCGCTCACACTCAAAAATGCAAATGTATCATTTTGTTCACTTATAGCTAGACTTAATAGGGTATCCATTCAAATGACCTGTCATTCCATCAGTGCCCACACCTGGTGACTTTTTCCAAGGGGTCCACAGCCCCACCAGGATTCTCCCCACTGTGGCATTATCTCCATCACACCCCAAGGCTAGATGAGACCACAGCCCTCCAAGGCTAAATGAGACCACAGCCCTCTTGGGGCACTAGGAAGATCCAGCTTAAACCACTGCTGAATTCAAGGTAATTTAGTGGCACTGCCTCAGAACCTCTCTGTCCTGGCACCCCACCTAGTGGCAAGGGACATATCTGCAAGACTGCTGTCTTCCAGAATTCCAGCTGGGACGCAGTCCTCTATTTGAAAACAAGTTTTCTGGAAGGAGGGAGCTCTGAGGAGGAGTTTCACAAGGAGAAGAACACAGATTTGGGATAAGATGGGGGGACAATATTTCAGTAGGGACAATGACAGAGACATGAGTACATATATATATAGCAACTAACTTTATATGAAGGGAAACACACATAGACATGTATTAAGGACACGGTGTCCAAGTCAGAGGGAAAAAGAAAAACAGGCTAATTAATGAGCAGCCATCATCTGTGGCAAAGAGGCATCAGGCTCTACGCTAGCCTTTGTTTGCTGTCTTTGACCTCTCTGCACCTTTGTTTTCTAGATGAGCAAACTGAGGCTTGAGGGGGTTGAATCCTTTCCCCCAAAACCACAGCTGCTGGGTTGAAGAGTTGGGATTTTAACCAGGGGCGGCTGAATCAAAAGGCTAGGTCTCTTCCCTGAGCAAAATAATGGCATGACAAAGACAGTACTGCAGATTGTCTTGGGAAAAGACAGGACAGGGAAATCAGCTAGGAGGACATTTCAGCAATCTGAATTTGAGTTGAGGTGGTGGCTTCAGAAATGAAAAAGAAAGGGGTGGATGAGTGTGAATACTGTAGGGAAAGTCTGGGTGACATATAAGGCAAAGACAAAAAAGAAAATGAAAATGACATCAATCCTCTAAACCACTGCATCAGAAAGATAAAGGCAAACGGTGGTGGTTAAGGAGAGGCTTGGAAGACCAGATGACTGGGAGGCTGCAGGGAAAAGCTAGAAATGAGGGTAACTTTAGCTCCAGATACAGCAAGTGCTGATGGCGATGTTCTTTGAAATGGGTCCACAAACCCACATAAGAATTTGGAGGGCTACTGACAGAGATTTGGGTCAGCAAATGGGTCCGATATGTCCGAGCATGGCACACAAGGATGATGTCTCAGCTTCACAGCTGCAGCTGATGCAGAGGCACTATTTTTGCTACAACTGAAGATGTGGCCATTCCAGCGGCTTCCAGCATGTAGGACGATGAACTAAGCAGGTCATGAGACATGGAGTGGAGAAAGGAGCAACCTGCTGTAAGATACTTCTCACTAATGGTGATGGAGGAGCTAGCTCAAAAAGGGGTAGCTTCTGCACTGTGCAGGAACTTGACACCATCTGGACAGCAAGCCGGTCCAGTCCAACTGAAGGGTGACTAAGTGTATAGTGGGCTGCCTACTGGCCTAGAGTAGTGACTAAGTTGCAATTCTCGTTAAACTGTTGTTTTGAGTGTATTACTTCCTTCTAGCATATTGTCAAAATTCTAGTATTCAAAGGTGTGACAAAAACATAAAATAAAGTTGAGCAGCCCTGGAATACAGTTATCCTTGACAGCAGGAGTCCCTCAAGGGAAGAGCTGCTCTAAGATCAAGTTTTGAGGTTGGCCCAATGACAGTCAGACATCCTGGCACTTGAGGTTGCATTTGAAAGGTCAGCATTCTCAAAAGCCAGATTGAACTTTAAGGAAATTTCCCCCAGTGGATGGTAGGGAGCCACGTGGTCCCTGAGACACCTGGGTCTAACCTCACAGTCTAACTCCTAGGCTTCCTAAAGAGGTGGTTAAACAAGAAAAGTGGTAAAAAATGTGTTCTTTCTTCTCTTCCCGGTCATCATAGAACTTAAAAAAATCTCAGTCCCAGCAGCTGTTCCATGTCTTACAGAGACAGAAACTGAACCACCTCCTTTCTTAAATCATTTCGTTATATCAGGCTTGAGCATGTCTACCAACAAATTCTGCTGTTCACAGTAGTTCTAACACTTGGAAGCAAAGAAAAGACGAATCTGCTGGACAGGTTTTTCAAGGAAATTTAGCACAACCCTAAGTTATTAAGGAGGCCCACAAGACCAAACACAAACTGACTATTCTCCCTCTCCGTCCCCCTACCCTTCCTCCCCTCCGGCTCTCTGGTCCATCCTCAGGGAACTGGCCTGCATTCCCTAGCCCTCTCCACCATCCCGCCAGATCTCTCTAGTCCAACCCCATATCAACTGACCTCTGCTCTCTCTCCATCCCCATCCCCTTATCCCCCCCATCCCCCTCTACCTCTCTGGTCCAGCCCCACATGAACTAACTCTGGGCTCAATCTCCTTCCCAGTACCCAGTCCATTGTGAGATGACCTCTCTTGCTCCCTATGTCTCTAAGCCTTTGCACCTGTTTGCTCCATCTTTGCATGAACTAATCTCTGCTCCCTCTACTTTTCCATCCCCCTCAACTCCTCTGGCATCCCTCTGGTCCAGCCCCACATGAAGGAACCCCTGCTCCCTCTTCCTCCCCTTTTTCTCCAACTCTGATTGAACTTTTTAGTTCAACCTCACATGAAGCAATCTCTGACCTCTCTAGTTCAAAATTCCACCCCCACCCTCCTGCAGCTCTCCAGTCCAACCCCGCATGAACTGCTCTCTGCTCTCTCCTGTGCCCTGTCTCCCCCCATTGCACTACTGCCCTCTGCCGCAGCTGCACATGAATGAATCTTTGCCCTCTCTCCAGCCCAATCCCTACACGCAACCGACATTTCTTTGGTCCAGCCCCACATGAACTGCCCTCTGCTTTCTCTCCTGCCCCTTCCCCACCACCTCCCTACATTGGTCCGTCCCACGCTGCATGAACTGACCTCAGTCCCTTTACTTCTGATCTTCTCCCACTCCCCAGTGTCCTTCTGGTCCAGTCCCACATGAACTGACCTCTGTTACCTCTCCATTCCAAACCCACCCCACTCCTCCATCTCTCTGGTCCACCCGCAAGGGCTGACCCCTGCTACCTCTGTCTCCCTGCCTGTCCCCTGCAGCTCTGAAATGACCGGTATTTGAACCCACTCACCCTGCCTCTCCCTCCCTAACAACAAAATGGGAGGCAGGGCCCAGTCTTTTCACTCCTCTCCAATAGTATATGTCTTTATGCAATCATATGCCACCTTCACACCCCTTAGAACTTACCCAGTCACTCTCCCTACATCTCTCTGGTCCAGCCCTCCATGACATGAACTCAGCTCCATCTCCTTTCCTTCCCCTTCCCCACCATACATCTCTGGTCCAGCCACACGTGAACTAAGCTCCGTTCCCTCTCCTTTCCCTTGCCCCACACTCCGGCTACCTCTGCAGATACAGCCACACATAAGCTGTCCTCAGTGGCTTTTCCTTTCCCTCTCTGACGCTCTGCATCTCTCCAGTGCAGCTGCACAGGAGCTGGCCTCGAATGCCTCTCCCATGCCATCCCATTCAGCCTTCTGCATCTCTTGGTACAGCCTACATGAACTGACATCTGCTCCCTCTAAGTGTGCATCGCCACTTCATCCCCCTCCAGCTTCCTGGGCCAGCCCCACATGAACTGTCATTTCCCCTCACTCCCTCACAACTCTATTGTCCACATGAATAAGCCACTAACTCTACAAACCCACCCACTGACACTCCCATGAAAACTCAGCTGCATCCTCACATGAACTGATCCCTGCTCCCTCTCACTCCCTTCCCCCTACCCCTGCTCCCCTGCACCTCTCCGGGACACCCCATGCACGGATCTTTTCTACTTCTCTGTCCCTATCCTCTGCAATTTCCCTTCATCTCTTGGTCCAGCCCCACGTGAACTGACCTCAGTTACTTCTCCATCCACATCCTCCCCCGCCTTCAGGACTCTTTTCTGCCTCCACATGAACTGAGCCCAGCTCCCTCTCCTTCCCCATCTTCCTGATCCCTTTACAGCTCTCTGGTCCAGCCCCACTGACTCATGCTCCCTCTCCGTCCCCATCTTCCTGATCCCTTTACAGCTCTCCGGTCCAGCCCCACTGACTCATGCTCCCTCTCTGTCCCCATCCTTCCACTGAATAACTGCACACCTATGTTAGAATGGCTGCCAGGCAAAGACCTTATGTTTGCTTTTATCCTCAGGGATAACCTATTACTTGCCACTCTCCGTCCTGTCTCAAGAGATTCCTGAGAGATTTCATTTATGGGAATATTAAGCAGGAGGAGATAAGAATGTCTCCAGGATAGTCCATTAGCTTAATTTAGCCATTCAACAATGTATACATCTTTCAAAACATCATATTGTACACCATAAATATATACAATGTTGTCAATTTCAAAACTTCTTTTTAATTAACTTTTTTTTCCTTATCCCTGAAACTGTTTTTTTTTTTTTAAGTTAAGTTCCGGGATACATGTGCAGGACGTGCTGGTTGCATAGGTAAACGTGTGCCACGGTGGTTTGCTGCACCTATCAACCCATCACCTAGGTGTTAAGCCCCACATGCATTAGCTATTTATCCTGATGTTCTCCCTCCCCCCACACCCCCACCCCCACTGCCACCGACAGGCCCCTATGTATATTGTCCCCTTCCCTGTAACTACGTGTTCTCTCTGTTCAGCTCCCACTCACGAGTGAGAACAAGTGGTGTTTGGTTTCCTGTTCCTGGGTTAGTTTGCTGAGGATAATGGCTTCCAGCTCCATCCATGTCCCTGCAAAGGACATGATCTCGTTTAATTAACTTTTTTTCAAAAGAGTGTTTCCAGGGTTACAGTTAACAGTAAAATTGGAGGCAGGGCCCAGTCTTTTCACTCCTTTCCAATATTATGTCTTTTATCCAATCATATGCCTCTTATTAGAAAATCACAATACAACAAAGGTCAAATCCTCCTAGGAAATGCTATCAACACACTTTGGGGACAGTAATGATAAAAGCTTCATGGACCCACATTTAACAACAAAGCTTATGTGATAACTGTAGCAAAAGAATGGGAGTAAGACTGAACACTTCTGAATCCTCTTGTTCTTGAATACCTTCAAGCCAGGTCCTCTCTGTAAGTTTGTATTTCACCTCCAGTGATTCTGAGTAGGCACAACTCTTCTCCCCATCACACAGACATCAAACTCCAGGCACCTAGAGAAGTAGCTTGCCCCAAATTGCCCGATGAGGAAGTGGGTGTGTGTGAGAATCCAGGGTTTGGGCTAGTCTGGGCTCTTCCCCCAAGTTTTTCTTAAGGAGCAGTCCCTCGGCATGAGACTCATCTGGGGGATATGGTAAACTTCATATTCCTGGGCCCCCAAGTCCTACAGGATGTCAGGGTCCAGAGGCATGAGACCGAGGGCCAGGCTTCTGGCCTCTGTAACGTGCTCCCCGGGTAGGGTTACCAGTGGCAATACAGGATGCTTAGGTAAATTTGCATTTAAGATCAACAATGAATAAACAAAAAATACAAATGGGATATAGTCATACTAAAAAAAAGGCATCATTGATCTGAAATGCAAATTTACCTCAACTTTCTTTTTATTAGCTGAATCAGGCAACCCTATCCCCAGAGGACTAGCCTACCCCCAGAAGTTTGAAAATCTGTTTTCTCCCTCTCCATGTGAACAAACGAGCATTCCATCATTGTTCATTTTCTATTCTCCCTCACCCCTTCTGCCTCCCCACTCTCACCCTGGAGCAGAGACTTTAATGTCATCTACCAGGATTTCTCACACAGGGAATCCCGGGCAAGGCCAGGAAGATGGTTGGATGGGGTCACTCAGCCCAACCCACCTCCAAGAGTCGATGAGATACCATAAGCAAATAAATTCACGAGAGGTTGGCTGAATCCATCCTAGTGTTGCGTTAGCCTGGCTCTCCCCATTTTATTCAAGCACAAATTACTAACAAGACTCTTTTCCAGTCTTAGCTTTGCCAAAACTATTTTTAGAGCATCATTTAGGCTTAGGTGATATAAAAATTCTGCTAGTTTTACAAACCAGCAGCCTTCCAAGGCAAAAAGCAATTCATGCCAGGAAAGTAGCAAAGGATTATTCATTTTCTGTCCATAGGCTGGTAAGGAGTTTTGTATCTAATAGGCTGCCTTCAACACAATAATTGAGAAGAGGAACTCATAAGCAAAGCTAAAGAACTCATCCTTAGAGAATACAAGTTCAAACTGAGAAAGGTTTTACTTTTAAGACAAAACAAATAGCATTAACACACATCCAAATGCCAGTGCAGGAGTTCACTGGGTTTATAAAAGAGAAAACTAAACTCAAGTGTCAAATAAAAACTGGAGCCGTCAAGAATGACTGCTTGTGGCAACACAGGTGTAACATGTGCTTGTCTAAAGTCGTTCTGTGTTTGTGGATATGTGGAAATGCATGACGAGGGAAACGATGCAAGGCAAAATGGCAGGTGCTCAAAGCTTTAAGATCCTTTTCTTCACGCTTGTGTGCTCTTGTTTTGCTTTTGAGAATTAGGGTAATTCGCAGGTCATTTTACAAAGAACTGTAATATCAAAGAACACTTCCAAACGGCTAAAATAGGCTCAAGGTCACTATTAAAGTGATAAAGGGAGGTCCGTGGGGGAAAAGTTTGTGTTCTCAAAAGCCAGATTTCACACCATGGCAGGCACTAAATCTAGTTACATGTGCTTGCAGTAGAAAAAGAAGACACTGATCTTAATAGAGGCTGGTCTTTTTCATGATGCGCAGGAACTCTTGCTCACTGACCTCTCCATCTCCATCTCGATCAGCTTCATCAATCATTTCCTATATGACAGTAAAGATTCAGGTTAATTTATAAACTAATGCCAAAAGGTGACTAAGTAATAGACTTTTTTTTTTTTAGAGATGGGGTCTCTATGCTGCCCACACTGGTCTCAAATTCCTGGCCACAAGAGATCCTCCTGCCTCAGCCTCCCAAAGTACTGGGATTATATGCATGATCCACTGTGCCTGGCAAGCAATAGACTTTTAATCTATGTGAATAGATAATTTGTATCTATGTGAATAGATCATTGTAGTCCACCCAATGCCAGTATGCTACTCCTGATAATAGCTTGGTTTCTGAAAAGTTATTTGAAAACCAACTCATACTTTGTCAAACATATCACCTGGGAGGGACCTTGAAGATTGCCTTGACTAGAGGGATTCCTGGAACCTAAAATAGTAAGCAAAATTGTGCATATGTGCATTTTTCTGGAAGCAGGGTTCATAGGTTTGTCTGACTATTAAAGGAGAATTAAGTTGTCTGCAGAGGGACAAAGTACACTGGCTTTTCTTCAAAGAGGTGCTCACACTAGGGAAAATGTAATGGAAAAGTCACAGAGGGCTCAAAGGTGGGAATTTTAAGTTCCAGTGTGATGCATTACAAACCTGCAGCTCCTCATCAGTCAGGTTCTCACCCAACTCCTTGGCCACGCGTTTCAGATTTTTGAACGAAATCTTCCCAGTTTCATCATCATCAAAGAGCTTGAAAGCTTTCAGGATTTCTTCTTTAGTATCTTTCTCAGACTTAACAAGTAGAACATAAAACACATGAGTAGGGGGACACCACGGTTGGTTACTACTGTCCTGTAGCCCTGCCACTGCCTGGTCAGGTCACCCTTTCCTTTTTAACAATGTAACTCGAGTCTAGACTTGCGGCAAGTGTCAGGAAGCCCATTTTGGCCTCAAAGAAACACCAGGCAAGCCAGGCACTCCATCCAAGGTGACGTTTGCTACCTATCGCTATATCTCTCCCTATCCCATATCTATTTCCTAACTGATTTGGAATTCTGTGGGAAGAGGTATCTGCTTGGAAGTCTTGAGAAAGAAGCACAAGGGCTTGTTTTGGGAGCCCAAAGTAACATGATGGGAGGGCAGGCCTCCTGATGCAGTTGCTACCTGGACTGCTCTGTGGTCACATGACTGTTTTAACAGGAAGACGCCATGGACCTCTGCAGATGACTGGGGCTCCATACCATGATAATTGTCTTAGCTACTTACCATTTTCTGGGTCATCACAGTTAAAAAGTCACCAAAGTTCATTTTTCCTGTCCCTTCCTTATCAATTTCACTTATCATTTTCTTAATTTCTTCTTTCTTGGGTTCAAAGCCCAGGGCCCTCATTGCCACCTATAAAGAAAACAGGATCGTCTCAATAAGCACATCTAAAGTAGCAGGAGCAAAAATAACAGTGTTGAGAGCATTAAGCCAGCATCTGATGTGGTCATGTTAATATGATTGGGGAACACTATGACATTGATCTAATTGATATTTGCAATCAATTTTATTGAATAATACTCAAAGTAAGTAAAGACAGGAAAACAGCACAGTACAACCTCCCCTGTTACTTACTGCAGGGAGAAGAGGGCAAAAGGGGTAGAGAGGTGATAGGGAGATGACAAGGAAGAGGCAGAGGAAAGGAAGGGCAGTACGGCAGGAATGCACAGAGCTTGCCTTCAGTTCTTTAACATCTATGGTGCCAGTTCCATCCGCATCGAAAAGATCAAAAGCTTCCCGGATCTCCTGCTTTTGCTCTTCAGTAAGCTCAGGCTTAGGGCTCATTCTTTTTCGCTGAGAACTTGATGCCATGTTTGCCTTCTTAAAGTTGGAGGCCTTTATATGTTATGCAATACACAAGCACAATAATATATCATACAGTCCATATTTACATAACATAGTTACAGACACCCATATGTATTTTTAAAGTCATTTATATAACCAATTCCAAAGCTTTGCTTAAAAAGAAAGATAACAGGGTTTACTGGCAAGAACAATGAATCTTTCCATGAACTTCTACCCCTCCCTTTTCTTTACTGTTGTTTCTAGAAGCAGGGAGATCACTTGTTCAGTAAGGACACCTCTTACTGAAAATCATCCCAAAAGAGAGCCAGTCAAGAAGATGACTGTGAATAACTAGAGATAATCAGCTCTTCCCGAACGTGGGGATCCTGGTTCTGAAAACAGTCTTACGATGCCCACTCCCAGTACTCCCCTTCCCAGTAAGTACTCCGACTTCCCAATTACTTCTAGATTTGGCCAAATATTAGTAAGTTGTTAAGATGTATATTGTGTCAGTACCGAGTAATAAAACTCAATCCATCTGGCACCTTCGTGCCTTCTCCAAGAAGCTAAAGCATCCCCTGAATGCCCCTGTATTTAAATTGTAAAAAACATTGTAACAGAACACGATACACCTTTTCCCAGCTGTGTGTGGAAATTTTGGCAGAATGAGGAGGCCAGGGGGCCAAGGTCTGAGAGAGTCAGGGGCCTGTGAGGGATTCGAGTCTTTTTTGCCCAGGGAGGTTCACCGAGGGGATCAGGGAATGCAAGGGGAGCCCGAGGGGCGGGTGTGGGCCTGTTGTGGGTGAAGAGGAGGCAGCAGCGAAGCGCAGGCCCAGTAGGTTGGTTAGCGTCTGTACCCTACTCTCCCGGGAAAGAGCTCAAAGGAAAGACTGGTGCGCTAAAGCCGAGAAAGGCGCAGGAGAGGCGGCGTGGCCGAGCTGGGGCCTGGGAAGGGCTCAGCCGCTGGGCGTGGGGCGCGACAGAGCGGCAGCACTCACCATAGCCAAAGGAGTCCGCTGCCGGTTGTTAGGCAACCGACGTGTACACTGACTCGGCGCCGTTCCCACCGCCCCGCGCGCGCAGCCCCGCTCCCCATTGGCCGTCCGCTCGTCGCCGCCTCTCCCTATTGGTGCAGGGCCGAAGAGGGTGGGACTAACCTGGCAAAGCCCCGGCCCAGCGCGGGGAGGGGCACGCTGGCGACAGAGCCCCGTCTTTATTGGGCAAGATCACGCCGTGAGCGCCAATTGGCTGAGTCGTCGCCGAGCTGGGCCAATCCTCTTGGTGGAGGAAGCTCGGCTGATTCTCGGCTCACGCGGGAGGGGAGTAAAGGGTGGCGGTCCGGGCCTGGAGTTCAGTGGGTGCAGCCTGCTTGCGAGCTGAGGCCAGACAGGGGGGCGCCTACGGACGGGTAAGAGTCGTGGCCTTGCCATTGGAGGTCACCCTGTGTCAGCGACTGGGCAGTGCGGGAGGGTGGGGAGCTACGGGGTCGCCCGGGTCGGGTGCTTTCTGGGTTGACCTAAGGCTGAGTTTAGGGACCGAGTGCATCAGAGCAGCCAGAAACGATTACCTTGCGTGTTGGAGCAGGGACTGTACTCACGGGGCAACTGAGACCCGGAGAGGGGAAGGGGTGTGCTGAGTGTTGTCGCAGAGGTCGGACGGCTGGGACCTAGGAACTGAATCCAGCCGAGGCTCGCTCTTTGAGGGTGGCCCTTCGAGAGCACCCCTAGACTGACCCAGATGTATAGGCCCCAGACCAGGTTCCAAGAGAGGATCACTTTAGATCTTACCTGGCTAAAAGCAGCCCAGGACGGTGAACTGGGGCCTTTGGGAACGGACTTTGAAAGGAGTGAGGGGGATGTGAGCGAGCATGAGGGGCGGGGAGAGGTCATCAAAATATACTCTTTTTGACACCCACACAATGCAGATAAGGAGGAGCATTCCAGGCCGAGACGCCCTCATCAGCAGAGTCACAGGAGTTTTGGAAGTGAGAGGTATGCTTGGAGAATTAAAAGGGAGCGTGTGCAAGGGCTGTGGACTGACATAGACCTGCAGAAGTGGAGCTGGAGGTCCAGTTTGCCCTCTTTAGCTATCCCCGTGGCTTTTAGCCTTCACCTGTTTTTCCTCCAGGCATAGGGGCAGTAATCTAGGGAGACAGAGGGCAGAGAGTAAGTTTCTCAGACAGAGAAAGGCCCGAGGCTTATTAGAACCTTTTAAATGGAGCTGCTGCCCTTTGCCCTCTTCTCTCTTCAGCAGTGAACAGATTCCTGACTTTTGGGTCATCATCATCCCCCCAAGTAGTACGAGCCAGAGTTCTCACTGTGATCTCCAAAGCTTGGCACGACGTGTCCCCTTCCATCGCTCCACAACTCTTCTCTCGTCTGGCTCACTCCAGCCCCAGAACACTGGCTTTGTGGTTGAACCTCATGTGCCAGCCACACTCCTGCCTCTCATCTTTGTCTCAGTTGTCCTCTCCGCCTGCCTCCTCTTAGGCACCCTATTTAAGTATTGCAGCCCCCAGTACAAACAAGCCACTCACCTTGCTCTACTTTTTTTTCCAACAGTTCTTATCCCCTTCTGACCTACTGTATATTTTGCTTGTTTGTTTTGCTCTTTGTTGTCCCTCCACTAGAAGGCAGGCTGTCTGAGGGCAGGCATCTTTGTTGTATTCACTACTGGTACTCCAGGACCTAGAACAGAGAGGGGCACATATTAGACAACTGATGAGTAGCTCCCCTGTTTCCCAGCTCTCACCTAGCTAGTCCTCCCTGCTCTACCAGGTTAATCTTCGTAGTGAACGGCCCTGGTCAGGGCATCTCCCTGCTCTTAAACCTTCAGAGCCTGAACCGTAAAGGGCTCCTTAGCCTGGCCTGTGATCCCTCTGCCCAGTTTTGCCCCTGGTAACCCTTCTAGCTTAATGTCCCTCCATACCTTGCTTCCCAGTCCGTCAACCTGCAGATCGGAAGCCTGACAGAGTACAAGGGAAAAACACAAGTTCTGCGCAGGCTGTGTGCAGGCTGTGTGACCTTGGGCAAGTCGCTTAACCTCTCTGAGCCTGTTTCTCATTTGTTGAGTGAGACCAGTACTGTCTACCTGATGGGATACTTTTGCATCTCAATGGGATGAACTACTTATATGTAAAGTGGCCTGATGTTGAGCAGGTCTTCAGGCAGTATTACAGTTGACCCCTGAACAACATGGGTTTGAACCTTGTGAGTCCATTTACAGGCAGATTTTTTTCTCATCTCTCCCACCGCTGAGCAGCAGGATCAGCTCCTCCTCATCTTCCTTCTCAGCATACTCATCAGGAAGACCGTGAGGATGGAGACCATGATGATCCACTTTCACTCAGTGAATAGTAAATATATTTTCTCTTCCTTATGATTTCATAGTAACATTTTCTTTTCTCTAGCTTAATTTATTGCTGGGACACAGTATGTAATACATGTAATGTACAAAATATTTGTTCATCAACTGTTTACATTATTGGTAAGGCTTCCAGCCAACAGTAAGCTATATTAGTGAAGTTTTAGGTGAGTCAAAAGTTATATGTGGATTTTTGACTTCGGGGCTCCGTGCCCCTAACCCCCACATTGTTCAAGAGTCAAATGTAGTTCTTGTCTCTGATTTGCTCTTGTCATTCCCCCCCGCCCACCATGCCTGGAGCCTTAGACTTGTCCAAAATCTCTTCCCTGCACTGCAGCCAAGGTGATCTTTCCAGTCGCAACACTCACTCCTGCTTCCAACTTCTAGGGGCTCCACCATCTTTCCCCCCTTGTAACTCCCTAGCTTGGCACACAGCCCCCACATGTTCTCAACTTTGCTCCCGATCTTGCTTCACACTTGCTGTGACACAGCTTGTCACTGTTATAAGAACATGCTGGCTCTGTGCCATCACTTTGTCCTTCCCACCCTGGCCATGGAATGTCTTTCAGGACACCATGCGCTCTGTTTTACTCACTCTTCTGGGGCCTTTTGAAGTCAGCTTAGGGATCTCCTAGTTGGGGCAGGCTTCCCTGAGCCAGCAGCCTGCATTGGTGCTCTGGGCTTGCCCTCATCAGAGTGGAAACGCACTTCTGTGACTCTTTGCTTGCTCCTGTCTCCCACCCTAGATGGCGGGCTCCTTGAAGGTTGGCAGTGTGTCTTTGTCAGCTTCTGCCTGGTAGTGGCTGGCATTTGATAACTTGTGAATGAGGAAATCAATGCATGAGGTGACACCTGGGGGTTCTTTTACAAGTTACAGCTCCCGCTTTAACCCTGGGGGTTTGTTTGAGCCTCACAGTAGCTCTGAGGTAGGGAAGAAGGACGCTGTTTTACAGATAAGGCCTCATGGCCAGCGGCAGCACGATAATTCACTCAAACCCATCTTCCATTCCAGGCTGTCTGCTGGGCCTCCAGGGGCTCGTGGTGTCCTACAGGGTGCTGAGTGTGAGGATGAGAGCAGAAACAGGTGCTGTGGAAGCGACTCACCTTCCCTGGGGAGGGGGAGGAAGTTTCACAGAGGGGGCAGTTCAGCTAGGCCTTGAAGGAAGAGGAGGCACTCACCGTGGAGAGGAGAGAGAAGGTATTCCATGCAGAGGAACAGCGTAAGCTAAGCTCACAGGCATGCTGCTGGGTTTCTGAGAGGTCTACCACAAAATAAAAGCTGGCGACTTTTTTTGTCCTAAAAGTAAATAGAGAAACAAACAACTGGTGGAAACATGGACACCGCAGGTCCGTGGAAGGACAAGGTCAAGCTGGGTTGCCCCAGCATAATCAAGGCTAAAGTGACACCTCTAAAGAGAAATGACCTCCAAGCTATTGGCCTCACTAATCCTAATCTGGGTATTTTCTTTCCCATATCACATCTTTGAATTCTGAAAGGGAGGCTTTATTGTTGTTCCTACAGGGCTCCTGCTTTGCTGTATTTTCTCTAAGAAATATGTCCATAATGAAGGTGTGTGCCGCCTCAGGTGAATCCTTCTCTTTGCATCTGATCATCTGGCCCAGTCCTGCAGAGGAGGCCAAGCATGAGGCATGAGGTGATGGGAAATAGGGGAATCCTCTTTTATAATCCAAGGCTTAGGCCCCCATTTCAGGATTCCAAAGAAAGTTCTAAGAAACATTACTTGGCATTCCTTGGATAGCCAAACTCTACTGAGGTGTTTGGGGAAGGGCAGTTTGCCTGGCATTGTCTGCCCATGGACTGAAGGGATGAGCTCTCAGTGGCCACATTCTAGCTTCCTGCACTGGACCTTGTGCAAGGGTGGGGCTCCGACAACCTTTCCCCTTTACAAAGATGTCACACTTCTTTCTAGAAGGACGGGACGCTCTCATCTCTCTCCCTAGTTTGAGACAGAATGTTCTCTCCTTTTCCCTCCAGGAAATGTTCCCCAGCAGGAAGGAGGAGGTTGGGCTAACTCGCTTCTCTCTTCTCGCTTCACATGAGGCGGCACACACCTTCATTATGGATGTGTTTCTTAGAAAAAATACAGCAAAGCAGGAGTCCTCTAGGAGCAAACGTAAGGCCTCCCTTTCAAGATGTGATATGGGAAAGAAAATACTCAGATTAGGATTAGTGAGGCCAGTGGCTACAAGGTCACATCTCTCTTTTTTTTTTTTTAATTATTATTATACTTTAAGTTCTAGGGTACATGTGCACAACATGCAGGTTTGTTACATAGGTATACATGTGCCATCTTGGTTTGCTGCACCCATCAACTCGTCATTTACATTAGGTATATCTCCTAATGCTATCCCTCCCCCAGGCCCCCACCCCCCAGGCCCCAGTGTGTGATGTTCCCCGCCCTGTGTCCAAGTGTTCTTATTGTTCAGTTCCTACCTATGAGTGAGAACATGTGGTGTTTGGTTATCTGTCCTTGTGATAGTTTGCTGAGAATGATAGTTTCCAGCTTCATCCATGCCCCTACAAAGGACATGAACTCATCATTTTTCATGGCTGCATAGTATTCCATGGTGTATATGTGCCACATTTTCTTAATCCAGTCTATCAGTGTTGGACATTTGGGTTGGTTCCAAGCCTTTGCTATTGTGAATAGTGCCACAATAAACATATGTGTGCATGAGTCTTTATAGTAGCATGATTTATAATCCTTTGGGTATATATACCCAGTAATGGGATTGCTGGGTCAAATGGTATTTCTAGTTCTAGATCCTTGAGGAATGGCCACACTGTCTTCCACAATGGTTGAACTAATTTACACTCCCACCAACAGTGTAAAAGTGTTCCTATTTCTCCACATCCTCTCCAGTATCTGTTGTTTCCTGACTTTTTAAAGATCGCCATTCTAACTAGTGTGAGATGGTATCTCATTGTGGTTTTGATTTGCATTTCTCTGATGGCCAGTGATGATCAGCATTTTTTCGTGTGTCTGTTGGCTGCATAAATGTCTTCTTATGAGAAGTGTCTGTTCATATCCTTTGCCCACTTTTTGATGGGGTTGTTTGTGTTTTTCTTGTAAATTTGTTTAAGTTCTTTGTAGATTCTGGATATTAGCCCTTTGTCAGATGGGTAGATTGCAAACATTTTCTCCCATCCTGTAGGTTGCCTGTTCACTATGATGGTAGTTTCTTTTGATGTGCAGAAACTCTTTAGTTTAATTACATCCCATTTGTTTATTTTGGCTTTTGTTGCCATTGCTTCTGGTGTTTTAGTCATGAAGTCCTTGCCCATGCCTATGTCCTGAATGGTATTGCCTAGGTTTTCTTCTAGGGTTTTTATGGTTTTAGGTCTAACATTTAAGTCTTTAATCCATCTTGAATTAATTTTTGTATAAGGTGTAAGGAAGGGATCCAGTTTCAGCTTTCTCCATATGGCTAGCCAGTTTTCCCAGCACCATTTATTAAATAGGGAATCCTTTCCCCATTTCTTGTTTTTGTCAGGTTTGTTAAAGATCAGATGGTTGTAGATGTGTGGTGTTATTTCTGAGCGCTCTGTTTTGTTCCATTGGTCTATATCTCTGTTTTGGTACCAGTACCATGCTGTTTTGGTTACTGTAGCCTTGTAGTATAGTTCGAAGTCAAGTAGTATGATGCCTCCAGCTTCGTTCTTTTTGCTTAGGATTCTCTTGGCTATGTGGGCTCTTTTTTGGTTCCATATGAACTTTAAAGTAGTTTTTTCCAATTCTGTGAAGAAAGTCATTGGTAGCTTGATGGTGATGGCATTGAATCTATAAATTACCTTGGACAGTATGGCCAGTTTCACAATATTGATTTTTCCTATTCATGAGCATGGAATGTTCTTCCATTTGTTTGTGTCCTCTTTTATTTCGTTGAGCAATGGTTCGTAGTTCTCCTTGAAGAGGTCCTTCACGTCCCTTGTAAGTTGGATTCCTAGGTATTTTATTATCTTTGAAGCAATTGTGAATGGGAGTTCACTCATGATTTGGCTCTCTGTTTGTCTGCTATTGGTGTTTAGGAATGCTTGTGATTTTTGCACATTGATTTGGTATCCTGAGACTTTGCTGAAGTTGCTTAAGGAGATTTTGGGCTGAAACGATAGGGTTTTCTAAATATATAATCATGTCATCTGCAAACAGGGACAATTTGACTTCCTCTTTTCCTAATTGAATACCCTTTATTTCTTTCTCTTGCCTGATTGCCCTGGCCAGAACTTCCAACACTATGTTGAATAGGAGTGGTGAGAGAGGGGACCCCTCTCTTGTGCCAGTTTTCAAAGGGAATGCTTCCAGTTTTTACCCATTCAGTATGATATTGGCTGTGGGTTTGTCATAAGTAGCTCTTATTATTTTGAGATATGTCCCATCAATACCTAATTTATTGAGAGATTTTAGCATGAAAGGCTGTTGAATTTTGTCAAAGGCCTTTTCTGCATCTATTGAGATAATCATGTGGTTTTTGTCTTTGGTTCTGTTTATATGCTGGATTACATTTATTGATTTATGTATGTTGAACCAGCCTTGCATCCCTAGGATGAAGCCCACTTGATCGTGGTGGATAAGCTTTTTGACATGCTACTGGATTCAGTTTGCCAGTATTTTATTGAGGATTTTTGCATCGATGTTCATCAGGGATATTGGTCTAAAATTCTCTTTTTTTGTTGTGTCTCTGCCAGGCTTTGGTATCAGGATGATGCTGGCCTCATAAAATGAGTTAGGGAGGATTCCCTCTTTTTCTATTGAGTGGAATAGTTTCAGAAGGAATAGTACCAGCTCCTCTTTGTACCTCTGGTAGAATTCGGCTGTGAATCCGTCCGGTCCTGGCCTTTTTTTGGTTGGTAGGCTATTAATTATTGCCTCAATTTCAGAGCCTGTTATTGGTCTGTTCAGGGATTCAACTTCTTCCTGGTTTAGTCTTGGGAGGATGTGTGTGTCCAGGAATTTATCCATTTCTTCTAGATTTTCTAGTTTATTTGCATAGAAGTGTTTATAGTATTCTCTGATGGTAGTTTGTATTTCTGTGGGATCGGTGGTGATATCTCCTATATCATTTTTTATTGTGTCTATTTGATTCTTCTCTCTTTTCTTCTTTATTAGTCTTGCTAGCGGTCTATCAATTTTATTGATCTTTTCAAAAAACCAGCTCCTGGATTCACTGATTTTTTTTGAAGGGTTTTTTGTGTCTCTATCTCCTTCAGTTCTGCTCTGATCTTAGTTATTTCTTACCTTCTGCTAGCTTGTGAATGTGTTTGCTCTTGTTTCTCTAGTTCTTTTAATTGTGATGTTAGGGTGTCAATTTTAGATCTTTCCTGCTTTCTCTTGTGGGCATTTAGTGCTATAAATTTCCCTCTACGCACTGCTTTAAATGTGTTCCAGAGATTCTGGTATGTTGTGTCTTTGTTCTCATTGGTTTCAAAGAACATCTTTATTTCTGCCTTCATTTCGATATTTACCCAGTAGTCATTCAGGAGCAGGTTTTTCAGTTTTCATGTAGTTGTGCAGTTTTTAGTGAGTTTCTTAATCCTGAGTTCTAATTTGATTGCCCTGTGTCTGAGAGACGGTTTGTTGTGCTTTCTGTTCTTTTACATTTGCTGAGGAGTGCTTTACTTCCAACTATGTGGTCAATTTTGGAATAAGTGTGATGTGGTGCTGAGAAGAATGTATATTCTGTTGATTTGGGGTGGAGAGTTCTGTAGATGTCTATTAGGTCTGCTTGGTGCAGAGCTGAGTTCAATTCCTGGATATCCTTGTTAACCTTCTGTCTTGTTGATCTGTCTAATGTTGACAGTGGGGTGTGAAAGTCTCCCATTATTATTGAGTGGGAGTCTAAGTCTCTTTGTAGGTCTCTAAGGACTTGCTTTATGAATCTGGGTGCTCCTGTATTAGGTGCATATATATTTAGGATAGTTAGCTCTTCTTGTTGAATGGATCCCTTTACCATTATGTAATGGCCTTCTTTGTCTCTTTTGATCTTTGTTGGTTTAAAGTCTGTTTTATCAAAGACTAGGATTGCAACTTCTGCTTTTTTTTGCTTTCCATTTGCTTGGTAGATCTCTCTTCATCCCTTTATTTTGAGCCTATGTACGTCACTGCACGTGAGATGGGTCTCCTGAATACAGCACACTGATGGGTCTTGACTCTTTATCCAATTTGTCAGTCTGTGTCTTTTAATTGGGGCATTTAGCCCATTTACATTTAAGGTTAATATTGTTATGTGTGAATTTGATCCTGTCATTATGATGTTAGGTGGTTATTTTGCCCGTTAATTGATGCAGTTTCTTCCTAGCATTGACAGTCTTTACAATTTGTCATGTTTTTGCAGTGGCTGGTACCAGTTGTTCCTTTCCATGTTTAGTGCTTCCTTCAGGAGCTCTTATAAGGCAGGCCTGGTGGTGACAAAATCTCCCAGCATTTGTTTGTCTGTAAAGGATTTTATTTCTCCTTCACTTATGAAGCTTAGTTTGGCTGGATATGAAATTCTAGGTTGAAAATTCTTTTCTTTAAGAATGTTGAATATTGGCTCCCACTCTCTTCTGGCTTGTAGGGTTTCTGCCGAGGGATCTGCTGTTAGTCTGATGGGCTTCCCTTTGTCGGTAACCCGACCTTTCTCTCTGGCTGCCCTTTACATTTTTTCCTTCATTTCAACTTTGGTGAATCTGACAATTATGTGTCTTGGAGTTGCTCTTCTCGAGGAGTATCTTTGTGGCATTCTCTGTATTTCCTAAATTTGAATGTTGGCCTGCCTTGCTAGGTTGGGGAAGTTCTCCTGGATAATATCCTGCAGAGTGTTTTCCAACTTGGTTCCATTCTCCCTGTCACTTTCAGGTACTCCAGTCAAATGTAGATTTGGTCTTTTCACATAGTCCCATGTTATTTGGAGGCTTTGTTCATTTCTTTTTACTCTTTTTTTCTCTAACCTTGTCTTCTCACTTTATTTCATTAATTTGATCTTCAATCACTGATATCCTTTCTTCCAATTGATTGATTTGGCTATTGAAGCTTGTGCGTATGTCATGAAGTTCTCGTGCCATGGTTTTTCAGCTCCGTCAGGGCATTTAAGGTCTTCTCTACACTGTTTATTCTAGTTAGTCATTCATCTAACCTTTTTTCAAGGTTTTTAGCTTCCTTGCGATGGGTTAGAACATGTTCCTTTAGCTCAGAGAAGTTTTTTATTACCAACCTTCTGAAGCCTACTTCTGTCAACTTGTCAAAGTCATTCTCCATCCAGCTTTGTTCTGTTGCTGGCGAGGAGCTGTGATCCTTTGGAGGAGAAGAGGCACGCTGGTTTTTAGAATTTTCAGGCTTTCTGCTCTGGTTTCTCCCCATCTTTGTGGTTTTATCTACCTTTGGTCTTTGATGTTGGTAACCTACAGATGGGGTTTTGGTGTGATGTCCTTTCTGTTGATGTTGATGCTATTCCTTTCTGTTTGTTAGTTTTCCTTCTAACAGTCAGGTCACTCAGCTGCAGGTCTGTTGGAATTTGCTGGAGCTCCACTCCAAACCCTGTTTCCCTGGGTATCACCAATGGAGGCTGCAGAACAGCAAATATTGCTGCCTGATCCTTCCTCTGGGAGCTTCGTGCCAGAGGGTCACCCGCCTGTATAAGGTGTCTGTCGGCCCCTACTGGGAGGTGTCTCCAGTTAGGCTACATGAGGGTCAGGGACCCACTTGAGGAGCAGTCTGTCCTTTCTCAGAGCTCAAACGCCATGCTGGGAGAACTACTGCTCTCTTAAGAGCTGTCAGACAAGGACGTTTAAGTCTGCCAAAGTTTCTGCTGCCTTTTGTTCAGCTATGCCATGCCCACAGAGGTGGAGTCTATAGAGGCAGTAGGCCTTGCTGAGCTGTGGTGGGCTCTGCCCAGTTCGAGCTTCTCAGCCACTTTGTTTACCTATTCAAGCCTCAGCAATGGCGGACGCCCCTCCCCCTCCAGGCTGCAGCCTCACAGGTGGATCTCAGACTGCTGCACTAGCAGTGAGCAAGGCTCCATGGCCATGGGACCCTCCGAGCCAGGCACAGGAGAGAATCTCCTGGTCTGCCAGTTGCTAAGACCGTGGGAAAAGTGTAGTATTTGAGCGGGAGTGTCCCGTTTTTCCAGGTACAGTCTGTCACGGCTTCCCTTGGCTAGGAAAGGGAAATCCCCCAACCCCTTGCACTTCCTGGGTAAGGCAACGCCGTGCCCTGCTTTGGCTCACCCTCCATGGGCTGCACCCACTGTCCAACCAGTCCCAACGAGGTGAACCAGGTACCTCCATTGGAAATGCAGAAATCACCCATCTTCTGTGTCGATCACGCTGGGAGCTGCAGACCGGAGCTGTTCCTATTCGGCCCTCTTGGAATGAACTGAGTTCACATCTCTTTAGAGGTTTCAGTTTAGCCTTATTTTGCTGTGGCAGCTCAGCTCAACTTTGTCCTTCCATGGGCCTGTGGTGTGGGGCAAGGTGGTTGGATTTCACCAGTACAACATATCTCTGTTTTCCTATATTATTTTTAGCTTAAGATTTTGTCCCAGTGTACATCGTGGGTGCACATATTGGTTTTTAATGGATTCAAATAACTAACATTTTAAAGGAAGAGACTTGAGGCTTCTGATGTGTGAACCATAACAATCCACCAGCCCCTAAAACATTGCTCTTTGGAGTCTTGTTTTCAGTAGTTCAGAGCTATTCTTCTGTATGTCTGTGTGGTAAAGTAGACATAACAGAAAATGTACCATCTTCACCATATTTAGGTGGACAGTTGAGTGGCATTACATGCATTCCCATTGTTGAGTGACCATCACCCCATCCGCCTTCAGAACTCTTTTCCTCCTGCAGCACTGAGAGTCTGTTCCCATCAGCAGTCACTCCCCACTCACAGAGCATTTGTCCTTTTGTGTCTAGCTTATTTCACTGACCATAATGTTCTCGAGGTTCACGCATGTTGTTGCATGTCTCAGAACTTCATTCCTTTTTATGGCTGAAGAATATGCCCGTGTGTGGCTAGACCATATTTTGTTTATCTGTTCATCTGTCAGTGGACACATTGCTGCTCCTACCTTTTGGCTGTAGTGATTAATGCTGCTGTGAACATGGATGTACAAATTTTTCTTCAAGTCCCTGCTTTTAGTTTTTGGGGGTATATGCCCAGACATGAAATTGCTGGATCCTATTGTAATTCTCTGTTTAATTTTTTTGAGGAGCTGCCATACTATTTTCCACAACGTCGCACCATTTTACATGCCCATGAACAATATATGAGGGTTCCAGGTTCTCCACATCCTCACTGACACTTGCTATTTTCTCTTTTCTGGCTTTTGATAATAGCCATCCTAATAATGGGTGTAAGGTGACACCTCACTGTGGTTTTGATTTGCATTGCCCTGTTGATTAGTGACGTTGAGCATCGTTTTTTATTTTTTGTTTTTTGTTTTTTTGAGACAGAGTCTTGTTCTGTCGCCCAGGCTGGAGTGCAATGGCGGCACCATCTTGGCTCACTGCAACCTCTGCCTCCCGGGTTCAAGTGATTCTCCTGCCTCAGCCTCCCGAGTAGTTGGGATTACACGCATGTGCCACCACGCCCAGCTAATTTTTGTATTTTTAGTAGAGACGGGGTTTCACCATGTTGGCCAGTCTGGTCTTGAACTCCTGACTTCAAGTGTTTCACCTGCCTCGGCCTCCCAAAGTACTGAGATTACATGCGTGATCCACCACGCCCAGCCTGTTGAACATCTTTTCATGTGCTTTTTAGCCATCTTTAAAGTAGATCTTCTTTGGAGAAATGTCTATTCAGTCAGAGCTATTCTCAATGTACATTTTAACCCAAGCGTATATCACATGGTGAATTTAGGTGAGTAGGCAGGGGACGGGGGTTGCCTATGGGATCTGACTCATTTGCGCGGCTAGCTCTGGGTACTCCAACCCATAGAGACAGCTAAGCTGTCACCAAAATTCTTATCTGACTCATAGTATTTACAAACTTTAAAATAATTGGTATATAATTTGAGACAAAGGAGATTTTGTTTTGACAAGAGGCTGGTTTGCAAAGAATTGTGTGATTATTGTTTCAGCAGTACAGCTCCGTTGGGGTGAGACATGTTTCTTCTTTGACCTCCTACATCCTCCTCTAGCAAACGAGGAGAGGAATAGGCTCTAAGGCTTCTTGCTTTTGCTAGTCATACAAGGGGACTTGTGGAATTGGCAGCTCTGCTATTTGGATTTCGGCACTACAAAGGATACTCGTATAGTTTGCTGGGTCTGCTGTAACAGATGACCACAAACTGGGTGACTTAGAAAAGCAGAAATGTGTCTCTCACAGTTCTGGAGGCCACAAGTCCAAAATCAAGGTGTTGACAAGGTTGTGTTCCCTCTGAAGGATCCAGGGGAGACTCGTTCTTCATTGTTTCCACCTTCTAGTGGCTCCAGGTGTTCCTTTGCTTGTAGCCACATCACTCTAACCTCTGCCTCCATCTTCACATGGCCTCCTCCTCTTCTCCCTGCCTTTCCCCTCTGTATGTCTCTTATAAGACCACTTGTCATTGGATTTAGGGCCTACCAGGCCTCCAAGGACCTCTATTGGCCCATTCTTTTCCTACTTTTCATGCAAAACTTAAGGCTACGGGAGCAGTTAAAGTTACTTTTTGGTTCAAGAAGAACTGAATGAAGCATTTGGTGTTAGTCATTATGCTATTCATTGAATGAGGCCAAAGAGGAAATGATTCTTTCCACCCAAGTTTGCTTGCGAGTCCCAGTCTTTCTTTACACTCCTGCCCCATGCTGTCGCTGTACACCTACTTTACAAAGCATGTCCTTGGTTGTTTATTTGTTAGCCAGCATCTAGTTGTTGCGACAACCCCAGGAGTTAGCCTTTAGGCAGGACCTGGGAGCCGTTTCCAGGACAGATAGGACAGCCCCTGCCTGCCCAAGCTTATACCGCATGGCAGCAGATTAGATAGGGGAGAACTAAAGTGGTGGAGAGAGTCCAAAGGCAGCCCAAGAGGAGGCATAGGCAGGGAGACTCCTGCACAGGAAGCTGTGTTACAATGATAATAAAATTAGCTGCCTTGAATGGCGTGTTGACAGGTATTTGACACAATCCTCATAATGACCTTATGAGGCCATTTACTTTACATATGAGGAAAGGCAAGCTCAGTTCTTTTAAATAACTCCCCCGAGGGCTACCTGCTGGTAAGGAATAGTAGCTGGGATTTGAACCCAGGCAGCCGACTCTGGGTTAATTTATTGCCAGCTGCACTGAGGAGTGGCGTGATTTGTGATTTCTCATGTGTAGAGGGTGAGCAGAGGCTTACAAGAGCAGAACTCCACAGGGGTGGGCTTGCTTAGCCCGGCTGGCCTAGTTAGCCTGTCATGCGGTCCTGTCACTGCCCCAGGCACACGCCCCTCAGATCCCCTGCCAGCAGAGGTCAATAAGGCCTTGGTGGGGTCAGAGGCCAGATGTGAGCCATCTCCTTGCCCCTGTAGATGCCATGTGCCTTTTCATTTGCTCACATTTCCCTGAATATCTGGGGAATCTGGATAAGAAGCCAGCAGTGGGCATTCGTGATTATATCATCACTAAATAACAGTCACTTGCCCCACTGAAGCCCCTGCACCTTAGATGGGATATGCATGTATGCGATGGAGAGCAGTATGGGAGCTCTGGTGGGTGTGCCCACACATGGTAGTCTCATGACCCCCGGCCGATATGTGAGTGCCCACTTTGTGCTGGGCACTATGCTTCATGCCCAAGTTGCAACAGTGGGCAAGGCTTTGGTGCAAGGTGCCAAAATCCTTGTTCTCTAGCTGCTTTGGTCTAGATACACATTGAGTCCCAGTGAGTTCAATATCAGCCACATGTCTTTCGAATGAACAGTTGACAGGGCCCCTACCAATGTGAAGGGGATTCTGGGATAAAGGGAGGGACAGGGCAGGCACAGAGCTACAGATTGACTTCAATGCATTCTAAAAATGGCCATGACAAGTCAAGTTTTGACATACAGTTTCTTAATAACTTCCATTATGAGTTCAGAAAAATGTTCCCCCAAATGGCTCCTCCAGACATTGAGGGTCCTGCATCCATTTCAAGGCCATTTTGGCTTTCTACATGCCCGTAAAGTCTGTCCCCACTGGGACACATGATCATGCCCATTCGTTAAAAGTGGCAAGGAGTGTAAAATTCGAGGTGTGGGGTTGGATTGGAGCAATCACAGCAGGTGGAATCCCAGTGCTGCCTGCCACCTCCTCACTGAAGTGTTCTGTGAATCTAGCCTTTCATGAGCAAAGTTAGACTCTTGTCTTGTCGTGGGTTTTGCCATCTCCAGATGTTAGGGGAGCCATGACTAAGTAAATTGGCAACTACCAAGAAAACATGGATGCAAGACCAAATACATCATAGTCAAGTGGCATCTTTGTGTTTGCAGTTCAGTATCATGGGTGACTGAGGAGAGGAGCACCCTAAGGGCTGTCACTAAAGCCATACTCCTCTGTTTGGCAACGTTGTCGGATTTTATTGCTACCGTCTCCCTGCTGTGAACTGCTGGGTGCCCACTGTACTCTGATCACTTCTCAAGGGTTTCTGATGGCCCAAGATGCTAAGTTCCTCCACGCATCGTCAGGGCGGCTTTAACTTAGCCAAGCAGGAGAGCTCCGTCTCCTATTGCACTCCACTCATCCCCCGTCCCAGCATCCCATGTCCTGAGCTCCTAGACATGAGCCCTTGTGCCCATTTCATTGATGGGAAAACTGAGCTGCAGCAAAGGGAAGTGACTGGAGCAATTCCGTACAGTTCGTGATAGGCCCAGAGCAGGACTCCCTAGGTGTGGGCACTGCTACACCCTAATGAGCACCACAGGGGAAATCCACGCTGACTGAAGCGTGGGAGAGCCATGGAAAAAGCTACAATGCCAAAGACGTTTTTTATGTTGTCACTGATAAGTGAGCTGATTTAACTGGCCTCCTGTGCGCCTCTAATCTAACAGTGTGGTGAGTCATAGGCCCAGTCGTTGGCCCCGTTAGCCGGGCATGGTGGCAGACACCTGTAATCCCAGCTACTCAGGAGCCTAGTGTCTTGTCGAACAGCTGTCGCTATGGTTCAGCTATTTGTAAAAACATGAACGGGGGGATGGCATCTGCCCAAAACACTAACAACTAAAGATGTTTTGACTTAGGCAACATTAATGTCTGTCTCTAACTATGTCTTTAAGAAAAGAAAAGTTGATTACAAACGGGACCATATTTTGCTTCGAAATGGAACCAGCAGTTAGCGAGCCAATGAGAGACCAAGTCGCACGGACTCATTTGACAGAGGACACTCCCAAAGTGAATGCTGACATAGAAAAGGTTAACCAGAATCAGGTAAGGAGAAAGTTGACACGTACATACCAACAGGCTGATACTATTTACCTGTGGGTGAAAAATTGTATTTGTACATGTATTAATCAATGTTGGGTATTTTTTATGTAAGATATATAGCTTTGTTTAAGATGTGTCAGTTACTTATTGCTGTGTAACAATATCAGAACACAGTGGTTTAAAAGAACAACCATTTCTTTGCTTATGACTGTGGTTTCGGCTGAGCCCAGCTGGGGTGTTCTTGGATGGTCTCCCCTGGGCTCTTGCATGTAGTTGCAATCACATGGGGACCCCTTGAAGCATATGCTCCCAGGTGGCCTTGCTCACACCTCTGGTAGTAACTGGTGGCTGTCAACTGGGCACCTTGGTTTGCCTTCATGTGGCCTCCAGTAGACCAGGCTGGGCTTCCTAGTGAAATGGCAGCAGTATTTATTAGGCCTAAGATTTAGTGTCGCAAGTCTCAGTCTGAGAGAGGACTTGAAGAAATTGTTGAGCCTGGTCGTTGTCAGGCTTCCTGGAGATTCTTCACATCAGTCTGCAAAGGTTTGCTTTGATTGATTCTTAATCAGTGCTGCACTTCAAAAATGTGGCTGGGCACGGTGTCTCACACCTGTGAAATCCCAGCACTTTGGGAGGCCGAGACAGGTGGATCACCAGAAGTCAGGAGTTTGAGACCAGCCAGGCCAACATGGTGAAACCCCATCTCTACTGAAAATACAAAAAATTAGCCAGGCATGGTGGCAGACACCTGTAATCCCAGCTACTCAGGAGGCTGAGGCAGGAGAATCACTTGAACCCAGGAGGTGGAGGTTGCAGTGAGCTGAGATCACACCATTGCACTCCAGCCTGGGCGACAGAGCGAGACTCTGTCTCAAAACAAACAAACAAAACAAAACAAAACAAACAACGTAATTACATCAAGACAAAATGTGTTTATATCAAATGTTAATAGGTTCAAGATCCCTAAGAGGTTATCATGGGCCGTGAAATCACCCTGTATTTGGTGTAGAACTCAGAGTCAAGCCTCCTCTGGGCCTCTGTGGTTGAAGCCACGTGCCATCTGCAGTTCCTCATTTATGTAAATTTGGGTTTTATGGCTACTTGGCAGCCAGCAAACAAAGGTGGATTCCAATGGTTATAGCAAACTGCCATTTTCAGCTAGTTTCAAATTTTTGTGTCCTTCGAAATAACATTTTTTTCTCTCATTAGTGGACTGATTTTATAAGAAGTAAAAGTTCTAAATTTAGACTACTAAAACAAAAAGAACACATTTGTCTTAACTTACTATACGTTCTGCATAAGACCTCTCTGAGAAAAGGGTCCCACTGCTGACAACAAAGCAAAACAAGAAGGGTTGGAAAAACCCAGCGCCCTAGACTATTCTGTTATCTCAAGATTCTATTGCAATTAGATTAGTTTGCCTAAATGGTTTTTTTTCTTTTTTTTTTTTTGAGATGGAGTCTGGCTCTGTCGCCCAGGCTGGAGTGCAGTGGCGTGATTTCAGGTCACTGCAACCTCTGCCTCCCGGATTCAAGCAATTCTCCCTCCTCAGCCTCCTGAGTAGCTGGGACTACAGGCGCCTACCACCACACCTGGCTAATTTTTTGTATTTTTAGTAGAGACGGGATTTCACCATGTTGGCCAGGCTGGTCTCGAACCCCTGACCTCAGGTGATCTACCCACCTTGGCCTCCCAAAATGCTGGGATTACAGGCATGAGCCACCGTGCCTGGCCCCTATTCTTAACACTGTCTCCAAGAGGTTGATCTTATAACTCACCTCAGTAACCCATTATGGAGTCTTGCTGTTTCCAGTCTTGAGTTTTATACTTGATTGTTAGTACATGTTCATTCTTGTCCACTGTGGCTGTGAGAAGTAAAAAGTGGTCATGAAAAGTTTCATGTGATCTCCTGTAATCACACAGCATTATAGGTATGATTATCACACATTTGACTTCCCTGGGGTAAAGGCCAGTTTGATTCCCATCACTACAAGGGTCTCCAGGGAACAGCCATTGGCCTACTCATCCCAAACATTATTGATAGAACATTTCAATATCATAAAATAATCCACGTCACATTGTCCAAGAGTAGCGTACTGATTAGTCACAATTAAAATCGTGAAATGAAATCACACTGGACTAACAGCAAGGTTGTTTTTTGAAGAGATTAGCAACCTTTTGAAACACCTGTAACTAGAGATGCCAAATGAAATAAACAAGGCAGTCTGAAATCTTTCAGGATGCTTTAGTAACATATCTAGTTCTGACTGTCTTTGGGCTTAGCCAGACTTTTAGTAAACTGCAGAAATCCAGGTTGGGAAACAGGCAGCTCAGAGTTATTCTAAATAGCTACAGTTTGCCTGTACAGCTGACTTGGGAGGAGGGGAGAAGAAAGGGATTGCTAGAAAAGGGATTGATGTGAGTTTTGTATTTAATTTGGCTATGACTTGAGGAAATATACATCTCAGTCCAGGTGCAAATCATGTAACCTGGTATGATTACATGTGTTTAGGAATAATCAGAATAAAGCCTAGAAAAGAACAGGTTGGGAAGTTAGTTTTGGGTGGTAGAAGAATGGTGAGGCTGATTTTGTTAGTAGATTGCACATGGACAGATGAAGGTAAAGTACAGTGCCAGCTCCAGCTGGGCCTGGTGGAATCCAGTATGAGTGCTGTTTCAGATGGGACACCCCAACTGGGAGGGAGGTGGATCTAGAGAGGATGTCTGGCCCTGGCATCCCTTGAGTCTCTTGCATAGCTCAATTGTGTTGATGTTTAAGGAATAAGTAGGGAGATTTGTTTGTTTTTTAAATCTAGAACATAATTTCTTTAAGATCTTTCATTTCCACAAACCCAAGTTGGATTTACTGTATATGAGCTAAGGAAATTGGAGGTTGTCATCTTAAGGAGGCCCAGATACAGTTTTAGAAAGACCCTAGGGAGGAGGGATATCACAGGTCCTCCTCACAGACACCCATAGCCAGCTTGTCTGGTGTGCAGCAGCCACAGTTTGGCATCAACATCCTGAAATGAGGGTATTTAAGTGCCTGCATGTGCTACTGTGTCCTTTCATTATGCCCAGTCACCAGAGTTGGAATTACCCAAGGAATCGTGTGTGTTGTGGAGGCTGAGACATAAACACCATGGCTCTCCCCATTTCTTCAACTTCCTTGTAGTTCGGAGGAGGGAAAGCAGAGCCCTGGGCTCATCCATCCTCACTGCAGCCCCACCAGGAGATCCCATCAAGGCGGTCTTAGATTTCTAGGCTGAGGCAAGAAGGGGTTGGGCGATGAGCCCAGAGCCACACAGCCCAGCCCTGTTGTGGCCAGAGAGGGAAAGGGACTGACTTTGTCCTGCAAGTATGGAGACTGCTTTCTTCTTTCTGTTGTTTTCAGTGCAAGCTATCAGCTACCAAATGGCTGCCGTTTTGTTTTGTTTTGTTTTGTCCTTAGAGAAGCGCCCAGGGATCAGCTATCGGGAACAAGAAGGTATCACTGTTTTTTGGGGTATTTTTTAGATTGTCCAGTTTTGGTCATAGGTGGTTTGATTTCCTTTCACTGAATACAAAGCATGGATCTTGTCATCAAACCCAACCAAAGTCAATCTCAGTGTCATTCGCTATCTCTCTTCCCTCCTTACTGATCCCAGGAGAGAAGGTTAGGGTTGCACTAGTGATGGAACACCAGGATGATATAAAGCTTCCAACTTGGCTCAAGAAGAGTTCCAAACAAACAAGTATATCTGCCATTGCAGTGGCTCATGATATGTAAGTCTGGACTCTGTAGCTTCCAGTCCTCACTACCCTGGTCTTCCCCACCGTTCCTCTCTTTCCACAGGCCAAGAGATGCACAGTGATCGGTGGCTCTGGATTCCTGGGGCAGCACATGGTGGAGCAGTTGCTGGCAAGAGGATATGCTGTCAATGTATTTGATATCCAGCAAGGGTTTGATAATCCCCAGGTGCGGTTCTTTCTGGGTGACCTCTGCAGCCGACAGGTAATGGACCATGCAGCCTTGCTGATTTCCCACGAGCCCACGAAGGGAAACCACGATACTTCCCTTGCTCAGAAGCCAGCCAATTTGTTTGAAAAACAATTGTTTCATTGTGAAAATTTTCAAAGTTATAGGAAAGAACACCACATTCTTACTGCTTAGAATGAATAACCATCATCTCTGTCACAGATACTCAGCTGTGTCCTGGTAGCACAAAAGCAGCCATGGTCAGCACTTAAATGAACAAATGGCTGTGGCTGTATGCCAGTGAAACTTGACTTCAAAAGCCGTCCATGGGCTGTATTGTTCCAACTGCAAAACAAGTGTGTGCTGGGCCACAGGGTCTTGATTTTTTAATTGAGATATAATTCATGTACCACAAATTTCACATTTTTAAAGTGTGCAATTCAGTGATTTTCAGTACATCCACAAAGCTGTGCAACTGTCTCCCATGATCTAACTCCAGAATATTTGTATTACCCCAAAATGAAATCTTGTAGCCATCCCCTCTCTTCCCCTCCCAGCCCCTGGCCGCCACTCATCTACTTCCCATCTATGGATTGGCCTCTTCTGGACATTTCATATAAATGGAATCATGTAATATTTGTACCTCTGTGCCTGACTTTTTTCACTTAGCATGATGTTTTCAAGCTTCATCCATGTTGTACAGGTATGAATATCTTGAATTTTATTAGATGGTGCCAAATGGCTCAGCAAAGCTGCTATGTCAATTTTACCTCCATATCCACAATGTGGCACAAGCCCCATTGCTTCACATCTTTGCCAACACTGGGCATAACTAGACTTTTTGGTGTTGCCATTCTGAGAAGTATGAAGTGGTGCTTCACTGATGTTCAGAGTCACATGTCCTCCCTGACCAAGTAACCAGCCACTCTGCCACTGGGTGATCGGCTTTCAGGCTTCCTCCTGTGTGAAATGTTTGTCTGTGTCCTTTGCCCCTTTGTCTTTGGGGTTACCTTTGCTTCCTTGTTGATCTAGTTGGGATGCCAATCCTGTGCCCGTTGTACTTATTATGGATGGCTTCCCTCAGCCTGTCACTGGGCCCTTATTCTTGGCTTTGGTGTCATTCGCTATATGGTTTGTTGATGAAATATTAAGGCCATTGCTTCCGCTGCAAAGTTACGGTTGTTTTCTCTCCCGTGCTGCCCACACCTCCAGGCCTGGAGATGGGGTAGACATCTTTCATGCTCATCATTGCTGCCTCCGAACCGTTCTCCCTCATGCTGCTCTAAGCCTCTCCAGCTTTGAAGAGGATACCCTCAGACTGTACAAACCCCGACACCGTTCCCTCCTTGTGGTGGCCACCCACAGCCGCCTGCTCCCCTTCCCAGTGACTCCACATCATTTCTCAGTGATTTCAGCTCCTTTCTGGCATTATTATTGGTGAATTCAGCGTTCATGTAGATGACCCTACCAATGCCCTCGCCTCTCTCATCCTTGGCCTCCTCTCACCCAATGATGTTGCCCTCCACTCCCCTGTCATCACCAGTAAGCACGTCCTCTCCTTCTTCTCAGTTGCAGGCATTCTACTCTGAGCACTAGCTCCTCTCTGTCCAGCTCATGCCCTCTAGTGCCTCAGCTGTCCCGATTCCTTAACCCCACCCAGACATCCAGCCATGCCCACCATGGCTCAGCCTGTTCGTGCCTCACTGCCTTTAGTTCCCTGGTCTGCTTGTTCGCTTGCATAGTCTTCACCCCTTCCCCTTTCTCTTCTGGTTGTATGTATCCATAAAGTTTCTCCAGAGAAACACCAGCAGGGGGATGTGTGGAGAAGGGCAAGGAGAGAGATGGGTGGGTGAGACGGAGAAAGAGAGGTTGAGATTTAATTCACAGAATTGGTTTACATGATTGTGGGGGCTGACTAGGCAAGTCTGAAATTTGTAGGGCAGACCAGAAACTCAGGCAGGAATTGATGCTGTGGTCCCACGTTAGAATTTCTTCTTACAGAAACCTCAGTTTCACTTTTAAGGTCTTTGAACTGAGTATATACTGCCTGTCCAGAGTAGCAAGGGTAATCTCCTTACTTAAAGTCAGCTGGTTGTAGATGTCAACCACAGCTACAAAATACCTCTACAGCAACACCTACACTGTTTAATGGAGTCACCGGGGACTAGAGCCTGGCCCAGGTGGCAAATAAATGTGGCCACCACAGTGTACTTCACATTGTAACCCCCACCCTGGTTAAATCTTGCCTTGTGCATGGCCATGGCCCTCAAGCAGACCCTTGGTACCACCAAGCACCATCTCCACAAACCTGCCCACATCCACGTCTCTACTCAGCCTCCCCTGCTGTTCCCGAGGACGCCTCATCCCCACCAAAGTGCCCATCCTGGTGCCAGCTGGAAGCCACCTCCTCTTCCCTACCCAGTCACTGCCACCAGGGACCTTGAGGCAACCATATCTGGTGGTTGAATCTCAGTCCTCCTCTGACTTGGCCCTGTAGCAGCATCTGATGCTTTCTTTGCTTGCCTTCTGAGATACCACCTCACTCATTTCTCCTCCTGCCTCACTGATTGTCTCCTGATCACTATCATTTCTAAACTTTGCAGACTCCAGAACTTATTCTCTTTTCTTCTCCAAGTTTAGACAGTGTCACAGTGACTCCATCCCATCTCATGGATTAATTACTGTCTAGAAGCTGATGTGCTCCCTGCTTGTTATCTCCAACCCCTAGCTCTCTCAGGCACGTGTGTGTGTGTGTGTGTGTGTGTGAGCGTATGTGTGTGTATGCCTGCTGGACATCCCTGTTTGGATACCTCATGGACACTTCAAGCTTGCTACATCCAAAATTAAGCTCCTGGTTCCCTGACGCAAGCCCCTCCCCCACCACAGCAAACCTATTTCTGCTAAGTCTTCTCTATCTCCATAAATGGCCTACTCTGCTTTTCCAGTTCCATCAACCAAAAACCTTAGATTCATCCCTGCCCGATTCCTTTCTCTCTCATGCCCTTCATCCCATCCATCAGGAAATCTTGTTGGCTCCACTCAGAATAGATCCCCAATCCAACAACTTCTCACCCCTTCCATTGCTGCCACCCTGGTCCAAGCCACCATCACTGTCTCACCTAGATGTTAGAGGGACTCTTAATGGATAAATCAGATCACACCGCCCTCTGTACAGAAGCCTCCAGTGGCGTCCAGTCCCATGTCAAGCAAACAGAGGCCTCTGTAATCACCCATGAGGCCCTGCACGGCACGTCCCCACTACCTGTCTGGCCCACTTCCTCCCACACCCGCCTCATGGCTCTGCCCCAGGCACACTGGCCACCAACCAAGTTTCTGCCTCAGGACCTTTGCACTTGGTGTCCTTTCTGTCAGGAATGCTCTTCCTGAACCACAGAACTTGCTCCCTAGCTTCCTGTAAATCTCCAGCCACCCTGTGCTAAGGAACAGGCCCCCGCTGGTCTCCCTTACTCTGCTCTAGTTTCTGCATAACACCTGCCAGTACGGACGTCCTCTAGATTTACTTGTTTGTTTGCTTATTTGTCCTGATTGAAACATGATTGACCATGAGCGGATACAGAGCAGAGGAAATCTCTGAAATTTGTCCTCTCTACCATAGAATGTAAACTCCACAAAAGCAGGAATTTTGTTTTTCGATCACTGCTTTGTCCCCTCAAAGGAGACGAGAATCCTTAGCAAGCTTTCACTTCTCTCCAAAAGGCTCCCCCGCTGCCATGCTGTTGTTGCTAGTATGTTATTTCAGCTTTCCTTGAGTACAGATTTCAAGGGAACCCTCCAGCATGCCATGTTGTTCTCCAGCCACACTCAACTGCTCAGCCGCAAGCGTGGAGAAGGGGCGAGTTGCATTTAACCAGGGTTGGAGTTTACTAGACAAATTTAATAAAGGGAGAGGGGAACAAGGCAAAGGTGGTGCTGGTGGATCATGAAATCTAAGCTAAGTCCAAGGTCGATGTGATGTGGGTGAAAGACATGGCAGGAGAGGACCTTTTTTATTTTATTTTATTTTATTTTATTTTTATTTTTATTTTTTTAGACATAGTCTTGCTCTGTTGCCCAGACTGTGGCACAATCTAAGCTCACTGCAGCCTCCGCCTCCCAGGTTCAAGCGATGCTCCTGCCTCAGCCTCCCTAATAGCTGGGATTATAGGTGCCCACCGCCACACCCGGCTAATTTTTGTATTTTTAGTAGAGATAGGGTTTCACCATGTTGGCCAGGCTGGTCTTGAACTCCTTGTATCAGGTGATCCGCCCGCCTCTGCCTCCCAAAGTGCTGGGATTACAGGTGTGAGCCACTGCGCCCAGCCGAGAAGGACTTTTAAAATGTACTTTCACCTGGGTGTGGTGGTATGCACTTGTAGTCCCCCAGCTATTTGGAAGGCCAAGGTGGGAGGATCACTTGAGGCCAGGAGTTCAAGACTAACCTGGACTACATAACAAGACCCCCCCCATTTCTTTTTTTTTAAAAATGTGTTTTTATAGTCAGTAGAGAGAGAGAGAGAGAGAGGAGAGAGACAGATATACATACATATAGATAAAGTTTATGTATATATAGTTATATAGTTTTATACACACAATATGTATTACATAACACTTTTTTTTTTTTTTTTGAGACGGAGTCTTGCGCTGTCGCCCAGGCTGTAGTGCAGTGGCGTGATCTTGACTCACTGCAAACTCTACCTCCTGGGTTCAAGCAATTCTCCTGCCTCAGCCTCCCGAGTAGCTGGGATTACAGGCGCCCACCACCACCCATGACTAATTTTTATATTCTTAGTAGAGACAGGGTTTCACCATGTTGGCCAGGCTAGTCTTGAACTCCTGACCTCAAGTGATCCACCCGCCTCGGCCTCCCAAAGTGCTCGGATTACAGGCATGAGCCACCGTTGCCACCGCGCCCGGCCCATGACACTTTTAAAGTCACCTCGGTCTTGTGCATCTTTTGTTGCTGACAGGAAGTCTACTCTCAAGCCGGTCGTTGTTCGTTTGTAGGTTGTCTGGCTTTCCCTCTTATGGTTTTTAGGATTTTATTTTTTATCATTTATAGTCTATAGAGAATATATCTGGGCCTGAGTTTTAGTTTTGATTTTAAATCTTAACACCTGGTAGGCCTGTGCAATCTGAAGATGAATGTCTTTCCTCATTTCTGGAAAATTCTTCAAAGATTAACTCTACCCCTTTTCTCTCTTTTCTCTCTTTCTAGAAGCCGTGCTGGACATATGGTGGTCTTTCATTGTATCATCTGTCTCTTATCCTCTCTTTCTTGCATTCCTTCTCTTTCTCTTTTTGTACTATTTCATAGGAGATTTCCTCCTCCCTGCCTCTGCTCATGGCCAATCGTGTTTCACCTATATTCCTCCTCAGATTATGTTGAAGTCAATCCTAGACATCATATCATTTTATCTGCAAATATTTCAGTATTTGTCTCTAAAAGATAAGGATTATTTTTAAAAACATTGACAGTAGTTCCTTAGTATCTAGCCAGCGTTCAGATATCCCTGAATGTCTTATAAATGTTTTTGTATTATTGTTTTTCCAAATAAGGAACCAAGCAAGATCAAGACTATGGATTTGGTTGAAATATTTAGCTCTCTTTTAATTTACGATTCCCTTCATTTTTTTAAACTTCAGTCTATTTATTGAATAACTGATGTTTAGTAGAAACCATGTTTATGGTGCTGTAGTATTTCCCACAGTCTGGGTTTTGCCGATTACATCCCCATTGCGTTTAACATGCCCTTCTGTCCTCCAGTATTTTCTGTATACTGGTAGATCTGGGATGGCGCTGTCCATTAAGGCAGCCATTAGCCACGTGCAACTATTGGGCACTTAAAATGTGGCAAGTCAGAATTGAGAAGCACTGTAAGTGTGAAGTCCACACCAGATTTCAAAAACTACCTACAGAAAAAAGGAATGTAACTGTCTCATTAAAGTTAATTTCACCTTTTTCTTTTTACTTTTTAATGTCATTACTATAAACTTTAAAGTCACTGTGACTTTTATTATGTTTCTACTGGACTAAAGACTTGATCGGACTCTGGTTCAGTTTTTCCCTCTGGGGTATTATTACTTCTGATACTCCAATAGTAATAAGCATGCCTAGTGCTCAGATTTGGGTTTCTATATACCATTTCCCATAAAAAGAACTAGGGCTTCTTGGGAAAATTGCTCATTCTAGGACCCTAGGGCAAGGGCAGTACAAAATGAGTCTGGGACATTTTCTTAGCACAAAATGAATGGGGACCTGCCAAGAAGATACAAGAGCCAACTTGAAGGGCTTCCCCTGGCCAAATTTGGGACATTTTGAGCATTTTGAGCCTCTCAAAACATAACAGTAGTGGATGACAATGCATTTTGATTTCAAAAAGAATCCGTGGGCTGGGTGCAGGGCTAGCGCCTGCAATGCCAGCACTTTGGGAGGCCAAGACAGGTGGATCACCTGAGGTCAGAAGTTCGAGACCAGCCTTGCCAACATGGTGAAACCCCATCTCTACTAAAATACAAAAAAATTAGCCGGGCATGGTGGCATACGCCTGTAATCCCAGCTACTCGGGAGAATCGCTTGAGCCCGGGAGGCAGAGGTTGCAGTGAGCTGAGATCATGCCACTGCACTCCAGCCTTGCCGACAGAGCGAGACAATGTCTCAAAAAAATAAAATAAAAAAGAATCCATGGGTCCATAGAAATACTGAAAATAACAATTGGGGTCAGGGAGAAGGGGAAGCTCTACAGAGGAATGCCAACTAATAAATGTAAAGGCCATGAATTAAAAGGCTAGACTTAGAATGTCACCATTTTATACCCAGTACATTGATTATTGTTCCAGGCAAGGACTATCAATAAATGCTGAGGTTAATTGGTAGAATTAACATGCTACAGATTACTTATCAATTGCAAAGGAAAAGGTACCTTTTTGATGGCCGGAATCTGGCAGCCATCATCATCACCACGTGCTCCAACTTAATATCACCAAAAGTGGGACAGACTTGCACCTCCTGAGGTAATTCCCTGAGAAGGACACACCACCACTGATGTGGTATTCTTGCCAAAACCATTAAGCCTGAATCTAATCTTGAGGAAACAGACTAATCCAAACTGAAGGACAGTCTATAAAATAACCCAAACCCTTGAAAAATGGCAGCATTAAAATAAGACAGAAAAGACGGGAATTTGTCTCAGATTAAAAGAGATGGAAGAGACCTGAGGACTAAATACTACATGTCATGCGCAATTGGATCCTGGACCCCAAAACAAAAGGCTATAAAAGACATTACTGGGACAATTGGGGGAATTTGAATATAGACTAATTATTGGATAAGAACATCATATCTGTTAAGTTTCTTGAGTGTGATCATTGTTTTATGGTTATTTAGGAGAATGCTTTTGTTCTTAGGAGATACCTGTGAAGCGTTTAGAGGCAGCATGATGTCTGCAACTTACTTGACTGGTTTCAAAAAAAAAATCATGTGATTGTATGTAGAGAGAGGAAATTGTGGCAAAATATTAATTGGCACATAATTGTCATAATTGTCTTTTGGTGACAAACATGAATCATACTTAGATCATATTACTTAATTAAGGTTTGACAAAATGATGACATGCTATTAGTCTTCATTTAGTAGCTCCAGTCTTTATACCTTAATGCAGAATAAATATTTGATTCTTTCCCTTTATTTACCTGAATTTTTATTCTTGCTTGTGGTCAAGCTGTCCCTTCTTTGCCCAGTGGGAACCTCTTCAGGTTGGCCCTTGAGTGCTTTTAACGTGACCCCGGTAGTCTTAGCTAGCTAGCATCCTCACTCTCTGGTACAAGGTGTGCCTGGTTCCTCTTGTGTGTTTCCTGTCCCAGATCTGCAATCAGCCATTTCTCTCAGGAGCTCTTGTTCCTTTTAGCAGTAAATCAAACAGACCTGTTTTAAAAATCCCTTTCAGGTTGCTGTATTGTGTCAAGTTTCACAGGAAGGAATATGCCTGTGTATTGGCTATTTACTGTCTTTAATGGTGTGGAACTTTTTCATGTGATTCATAATTTCTATCTGAGTTCACCTTCCTGGGGAGTTTTACCTCCTAGGTGCCTGCTCTGAACCACCCAAAAGGATGTTGCCTCTGTGTGGATCCCACAGGCTTCTCATGCCCCAAACCCCTTTTGACTGGGGACTAGTTAGTGGGGAGAAGGTGATTAAAGGGACAACTTGGTTTCCATCCCATGTACTTCGGTATCATTGATTCTTTTATGAGAATGTATTTCCATATTGATTATAGAATTATAAGACAAGGAACCTACAAGCCACAGGTTGGAGGGTGAAAACATGAGAATGCCATTGACCTGTCAAAGCAGGAATGATTATTTTGTCTTTCTTTGCTTTTCCAGGATCTGTACCCAGCTCTGAAAGGTGTAAACACAGTTTTCCACTGTGCGTCACCCCCACCATCCAGTAACAACAAGGAGCTCTTTTATAGAGTGAATTACATTGGCACCAAGAATGTCATTGAAACTTGCAAAGAGGCTGGGGTTCAGGTAAGGGGAAGGCTGGAGTGAGTGCTGTCAGGAGCACGTGATGGCCCTTTCTAAGGGTGCAAGGCCGTAGTTCTTGCAGTCTCCCTGGGCCTAGGCGGGGTTGCTTCTTAAAGTGTTGGGAAGATCTTAGAAATGAAGCCCTTGGAGTCACTGGAGATGGTGAAGGTCTGCTTGCCAAGGCTGATTTGAGATGTAATATTCTAACTGCACACAAATAGAACATCTGAGGACCTCAAGCCTATTGGCCTTCAGTTAAAGAGCTGCAGAACTTAGACATTGCTTATATTTTTATTGTGATAAAATATATATCACATACAATTTACCATCCTAACCATTTTTAAGTGCGGAGTTCAGTGGCATTAAGTACACTCACAATGTTGTATAGCCATTACCACCATCCATCTCTAAACCTTTTTCTTCTTCCCTAATAAAAACTCTATACCCATTAAACAGCAACTCCTCAATCGCCCTTCCCTACCCAGCCCCTGGCAACTACCCTTCTACTTTCTGTCTCTATGGGTTTGACAACTATAGGGACCTCACAGAAGTGGACTCATGTAGTATTTCTCCTTTTGTGTCTGGCTTTTCACCGAGCATGATGTCCTCAGGGGTCATCCATGTTGTAGCATGTGTCGGAATGTCCTTCCTTTTTCAGGCAGAACAATATTTCATTGTATGGATGGGCCACATTTTGTTTATTCATTCAGCCATGGATGGACATCTGTGTTGTCTTCACCTTTTGGCAATTGTAAACAATAGTGTTATGAACACAAGTGTACAAATATCTGTTCAAGTCCCTGTTTTCAATTCTTTCAGGCATCTACCCAGAAGTAGGGTTGCTAGATCATATACTAGTTCTACGTTTAACCTTTTGAGGAGCCACCACATTGTTTTCCAGACCTTGCTTATATTTTAAAAGAAAAGCAAACTGTGTTTACCCTTAGCCAATAGAAACGTGTTATAACTCAGGCCTGAGGGGATACGAATTTTCTGCCCATCATAGCTTGCTGCATCGTTACCAATCCTGGTTCTTAGAATTGTCTTTAGAGGACTCCAGCCACTGGCTAAAACGGCTCCCTGTCAGCTCAGTATCCTGACCCTCACAGGGATGCATGCCACAGGTACTGCATAAATTAAGAGAAAAACTTGAAGCAAGCCAGGGGGTTCCTCTCCCAACAACCTGTCCTGGCACTGTTGGCTGGTCCGCAGCATCCTCAGCCGGCCCAGCAGGGTTGGAGCTCTTCTGGGCTTGGGCCCTGGAAAAGATCACTTATAACTGACCCCTAGCAGTTGACAAGATGCTTTGCCCTGCTGAAGTTTTCACCTAATTAGCTCCTCGTTGGGTGACCAGGGGCTAAACGATGTCTCTTTGCTAGTAAATGGGAGAGGTGGGGTCAAAGCAGATTCTCCAAGTCCCAGACTCTGCACTCAGCCATGCTGATGTAACTGGAGCCCTGGGAAGGGCCCTGCTGCTCTTTGTTAAATGGAAGGTTGGGGGCATACAACAAAGATTTGTGCCCCAGGTGTGGCGGCTCACACATGTAATCCCAGCGCTTTGGGAGGCCAAGGCAGGAAGATCCCTTGAGCCAAGGAGTTCAAGACCAGCCTGAGCAACATAGCAATACCCCACCTCTACACGAATTTTTAAAAGCCAGGTGTGGTGGTATGCACCTGTAGCCTCAACTGTTTCGGGACGCTGAGGCAGGAGGATCGCTTGAGCCCAGGATTTTCAGGCTGCAGTGAGCTGTGATCCCAACACTACACCCCAGCCTAGGCAACAGAGCAAGACCTTGTCTCTTAAAAAAAAAATTAAAAAAACAACAAGATTTGAGAATAAAACAGCACCTCTCCACTCACCACAGCATTTAAGAAACAACATTACTGGCATGTGTAATGTGTGCCCATCCTCGATGCCATTGCTCTCTTCTTGTAGCCATGGATAGCAATTCTGAATTTGGGTTTATTTCCATTTGCTCCATGTGTAAGCAATATAAAGTATTGGATTGCATGTTATAAGATTTTATACAATGATATCTTATTGAACAGATCCTCCTGCAACTTGCTTTTTTCCCCAGTGTTATGTTTTTCTTTATTCATCTTGGCATATGTAACTCTGGTTTATTTACTGAAGGGGCAGAGTGGCTTAGTGGGTAAGAGTGCAGAAAGTGATTGCTGTGTTGTATTGAAGGAACATTTTCCAACACTGAGATCAAAAGATTATTTAATGTACTTTTTTTCCTCAAAGGTTTTAAGTGTTGCTTTCCACATTTCAGTCTTTAATCCACCAGGAATTTATGTTTGCTTATGGTGTGAGATAGAGATCTAACTTTCTTCCATGTGTATAACCAGTTCAGTGCCATTTATTGCATAATCCATCCTTTCTGCATCGCTGCACACCATCTGCAGCATGTCTTAGGTGTTTGTGTCTTACATGGGCCTGTTCCCAGGCTCTCCCCTCTGCCCCATTGACCTCCCTGTCTGCCCATGCAGAGAAGCTCTGCCTTTTTAGGATAAGTCTCAGTGTACCGTAGATAAATCACGCCCCCAACCAATTTCTTCAAACTTCACTTGGCTATTCTGAGCCCTTTGTTCTTCTACATATGTTTGGCTTAACCAGTTCCTTGCTAAAGCCAGCTGAGACTGCTGTTGTAATTGTGTTGAACTTGTAGGTAATTTTGGAGAGAATTGACATCTTTCCCATATTGAGTGTTCCTGTCCATAAATATGGGATATGTTTCTGTTTATCTCGCTCTTTAATGTCATCAATAGAGTTTTATACTTTACTTCGTAAAGATTTTGCATATCTCGTTAAATTTATTTGTATGTACTTCGTTTTTTGTTATTTAATAACTTTCTATTACATTTTCAGTTATTGCTAATATATAAGACGAGTTAATTTTTGTATATTGATTTTTAATTCAGCAACTTTGCCAAACGCTAATATTTTCTACATATTTGCCTGTGTTTTCTGTGTAGATTTTTCTCTCATCTGTAAGCGATGGAAGTTCAGTTTCTTTTCAAATCATTATAAATTCGTGTTTATCTTACCCTACCACTCTGGCTAGAGCTTCTCATACAATGTTGAATAAGAATGGGAACGATATGATTCATGCTAATGGTGTTCAGTGTTGGATGAGCTTCTCTTAACCAGCAGGCTGGACGCTGGGGACCCTCATAAGAGAATATCTTCCTTTAGAATAGCATTTCTTAAGAGGTCGTGTGGTGTGTGTATTCCTATGTGTGTTCACATGGCCAGGTCACTATCAGAATAGCCAGTGATCTTTTTCAGACATCTTCCTAGAAGTTTGCGGGCTGCCCTTCACTTACAACAGAGAATCGCTGTCATAGTGAGATACCATGAATGCAAGTCTATTCTATCTCTCAGGTGTGATGGGATAGAAAAAATGTGTTATCCCTTGTTTTGAAACCAAGATCTCTTGATTCTTGGTTAGAATGTAATACATAGTGTGTCTGGAATCCACATAGCTGCAAAAGATGGTGATCTTTGGATTATTTTAAGAAGGCATGAAAAGCAAAGGCATTGCAGCAAATAATTTCTTCAGTGCCTCGAATGCGAGGGCAACAAAGGGATGCCCCTGATTCTCTTTCATACAGGATCATGCACTGTTTGAATTGTGATAATTTGTGACTTTTATTTTTTCTGACCTTCCTCTGTCAGAAACTCATTTTAACCAGCAGTGCCAGTGTCATCTTTGAGGGCGTCGATATCAAGAATGGAACTGAAGACCTTCCCTATGCCATGAAACCCATTGACTACTACACAGAGACTAAGATCTTACAGGAGAGGGTATGTACCTTGGAACTGGTTGAGTGAGCAGACTGAAGGGTTTAGAATCCTAAGAAAAATGTTTATGAACTTATGAAGTTTGTATTCTGAGGCCTACGTACCTGATTTGAGATGTAAAATTTGTGGGTGAAATTAAATTTAAAAATACTGTGAGAGGCCGGGCACGGTGGCTCACGCTTATAATCCCAGCACTTTGGGAGGCCGAGGTGGGTGGATCACCTGAGGTCAGGAGTTCGAGACCAGCCTGGCCAACATGGCGAAACCCCATCTCTACTAAAAATACAAAAATTAGCCCAGCATGGTGGCAGGCGCCTGTAATCCTAGCCACTTGGGAGGCTGAGGTATGAGAATTGCTTGAACCTGGGAGGCGGAGGTTGCAGTGAGCCGAGATTGTGCCATTGCACTCCAGCCTGGGGGATAGAGAGAGAGAGACGCTGTCTCCCAAAAAAAAAAAAGTTACTATGAGAACAGCTTTATGTGGCCAGACACTGTTCTGAGTGTTTTCCAGGAGTATTTTCCTTGTTTAAAGGTCACAATTATCGCATCATCACCAGATTATAGATGAAGACTGTGGTGCACAGATGCACAGAGAGGCTCAGAACCTTTCTAAAACTGTGCAGCTAGGAGGTGGCTGACCCCAGGCAGTCTGTCTACAGAGCTTACAGCCCACCCTCAATGCCATGGGAGCTTCCTCGCCTGCTATGGGAATTTACAGCAGTTGCAAGCGTGCAGACAGGAATCAGGCTGGAGGCACCTTCCTAGTGGCACTCTCACCCCCTCCCTTACTTAGAAAAACAAACAACGGAAGGATCTTGCTTTATTTTAAGGAAAAAGTACTTTTCCACTTGGCAAAACAGCTTCATCAAAGGGCACCTGATTTTAGTATGGTTGGATTCAGCCACGGTCGCTACCAAGCCTTCAGGCTGCTGGGGCTGTGGGGCCCCTGACAACTGCTAGCTGCAGATGGGGATTGTCACCCTGAGGCCATCCTAAGCTGCAGGCCAGGAGTGCTCCTGAGCCTGGGATAGCTCGTCTTAGCTGGGTAGCTGTGAGTATACCCCTCCCAGGTGTGTGCAGTGTATCACACCCACTGAGGTTTTCTCGCAAAGCCGGTACATGCTGTACTGGAGCTGAACACTGACCTGGCTACCTGAGAGCCAGCTGCCTCCTGGCTGTTTGCCGTATTTTTTTTTTTTTTCTTTTTTGAGATGGATTCTCACTCTGTTGCCCAGGCTGGAGTGCAGTGGCACGATCTCGGCTCACTGCAACCTCCACCTCCCAGGTTCAAGCGATTCTCCTGCCTCAGCCTCCTGAGTAGCTGGGATTACAGGCGCGTGCCACCATGCCCGGCTAATTTTTGTATTTTTAGTAGAGACGGGGTTTCACCGTGTTGGTCGGATGGTCTCGAACTCCTGACCTCATGATCTGCCCGCCTTGGCCTCTCAAAGTGCTGGGATTACAGGCGTGAGCCACCATGCCCAGCCTGTCTGCTGTTGCTTCAGCTCAGAAAGTCCTGGCAGAACTGGTCCACAGGGAGACACAAGGGCCACCCAGACCAGGGGTGGAGGCTTGAACTTTGGCAAGCCACAGTCCTGGCTCCAGACTATGCTGTCTTGCTCCTTGGAGCACTCATGTGCTCGAACTTGGCCCAAGGAGTACTAAAGCCTCCCTGCGCCTTGCAGGCAGTTCAGTCACCATGGAGACCCTGTGTATTCTCAACCCAATATGCCTGATACTGATTGCCACCAGAGCTGAGCCCATCTAGGCTCAGGAGCTTCAAATGATGGCCTTGGCCCAGACCATCAGTGTCTCGCTTATATCAACTTTTGGGTTCTCAACTGGAAATAAGCAAAGCCTGCAGATGACTCCAGCAGTAACTCACCGGAAGCCTCCTTTCAGCCGAGGTTGACATCCACTGTTGGCTTTATAACCTTCCTACTGATCATAAACCAAATGTGATGGGGAGCTAGGACTCCTTCACCTCTCTTCCCTTTAGTAGTAGAGATGAGCCTTGGTGGAAGCCATTTGAGGGTTTATTTAGTCATTTCCTCCATCGCTGTGGGGACCAGAGTCCTGGCGGGAAGAGGAGGGCCAGCTCTGGGAATCTGTTGAGAGGCAGCTTTTCCATTGTTGAGTTGCTTAAGATCACTGGGGCCAAAACATAGACCAGCACTTTGCTACCATAGAGTAGAAGAAACCCGAGGTGACATGACAGCAGGAACCGTACTTACCAAGCATACAGACACGCACTGAAGCAACTCACATGGGCCATCTCGTGTAATTCGCATGCAGCCCCGTCAGGGTAGGTACCTTTATGATCACCACTTTTACCCACGATAAAACAAATCCTTTGGAAAGTTTTGTTACTTTTGAGGCGAAACCCATTTCACTGTGCTTTAGACTCTTGAGTTCTAGTTTGTCCATGAAGTCACACAGAAGTCACCCTTTCCTTGCGGTGGCAACAGGAGCACTGGCTCTGGACCAGGCACTGCTCTGAGGACTTTACATGTCTCGGCCTCCTTTGCCCCCCAGCTGCTGGCCTGTTTCTCCCCAGGCATGGTCTTCAGACCCTTCACCTTCTCTGACCCTCTTCTGGGCCCACTTGGGTTTCTCAGAGCCCTCCCCTCGGAGGTGATACTCAGAATTGCCTGGAACAGACCCGGCCTGGTGGAAACGTGGGCGGCACATGCAGTTCAAGTCACTGGAGGCTCACGGCTAACTTGTTTGCCAGAACCTTTGGACGTTTTCCACAAACTGCTGCCGAGGCATGTCTTCTGGCAGTGTTGGTGGATTTTAGCCTTTGAACGCAAACCAGGGCCTTCTGATTTGATCTTACCAGTTTTTGCCCAGCTGTCTGTCCTGCATTTTCAGATTTTGGTGTGAGGGTGGGTGGGGTAGAGAGGTAGCCCAGAATTATACCAGCCACTGATGTAGGTTGTCAGCTCAAGGCAGACCACTGCTCAGTGGCCACATGCCAGCAGAGTGTGTCATCTGTCTGTCCCCCACGAGTGGTGCTTCTCACCCAGCGAGGCACTCTCTTGGCTTGGGCCTAGGAATTTGCAATGGACGTGCCCCTTCTCCCACTCTCCTCCAGGCAGTTCTGGGCGCCAACGATCCTGAGAAGAATTTCTTAACCACAGCCATCCGCCCTCATGGCATTTTCGGCCCAAGGGACCCGCAGTTGGTACCCATCCTCATCGAGGCAGCCAGGAACGGCAAGATGAAGTTCGTGATTGGGTGAGTCAGCCCACAGCGGCTCTTCCCTAGTCCTTCCTGGTCCATGCTCGCATTCAGAGAGCACTTGGCAGGAGCCACATGGCATTGTAGCTCTTTTCTTATGTGACTGTCTTGGTCCATGCAGGCTGCTGTAACAAAATACCTAAGACTGGGTAACAAACAACAGAGAGCTTGGAGGCTGGGAAGTCCAGATCAAGGCGTTCCCAGACTGGGTGTCCATTGAGGCCCTGTTCCTCATGAGTGGCACCTTTTCACCATGTCCTCACATGGTGGAAGGGGCAAACAGGCTCCCTTGGGCCTCTTTTATGAGGACACTAATCCCATTCCCGAGGGCAGAGCCCCCATGACCTAATCACCCCCTAAAGGTCCCTCTTCACAGTACCATTGCACTGGAGGTTAAGTTTCAACATATGAATGTTGCGGGGATGCAAAGATTCAGGCGATAGCAGTGACCTTGTCCGCTGTCCTCTGTATTCATTTCTTGTAGTTGCCATAACAACCTGCCACAAAGTAAGTGCTTAAAACAACAAATGGATTCTGTCACATTTTGGGAGGCCAGAAGTCCTCAGTTAAGATGTTGGCAGGGCTAGTGTCTTCTGGAGGTTCGCAGGGAGCGTCTGTTCCAGGCCTCTGCCCTAGCTTCTGCTGGCTTCCAGCCATCCTTAGCATTCTGTGCTTGGAGAGGCATCACTCCTGCCTCTGCGTCCCTTTCACATGGCTGTGTTCCTTGCTTTCTGTGTCCAAATTTCCCTCTTATAAGGACATCATTCCCTGGATTTAAAGCCCACCCTACCCCAGTATGAGCTCAGCTTAACTAATTGCATCTGCCGAGCCCCTATTTCCAAATAAGGTCACATTCACAAGGCCCAAGTGGACAGAAGCTTTGGGAGGATACTGTTCAATCCAGTGTACCCTCTCAGGTAGGCTGGGAAGGTATTTGTGACCCTGTTTGGAAATTGAAGAAACCGTGACTCAGAGGGAAAGCAATGGGCCCCGGGTCAAAGGCCAGGGCTTGACTGTCCTTGCATCTGGGAAGGCAGGCGGGGGCATTACTTTTCTCCTCGGGTTAAGTGCAGGTGGAGGGGCCTCCACAGGGGACAACAGTGTGCCTCTCTCCCAAATAGGCTTTCTCTTCCTTCATTTCCTCCTTTTCTCCTCTCTCTCTTCCTTCCTTTTTCCCTCTGCCTTGCCTTCCTGTTTCTCACTCAGCCTCACTGCTACCCTGACTTGTCACCTTGAAGGATTACAGGGAGACTGGTCAATAAACGGAGGACCAGAGCAAGGCGTTGGCCCCGTGTCTCCTGGGAAGGGGCTGAAAAGCTGCTACCCAAATCGGGACAGGAGAGACAGCACCAGTGTTGGCCATGCTGGAATGGGTGGGCAGGTCCCCCAGCTTTCAGATTCCACTAACCCTGAAGACCCAGGAGTCCCGGCCCAGTGTACATCTTTAACCAGTACAGGCATCCATGAGTGCCTGGGCCGGCCTTGCCAAGTGAGGTGGCAGCCATTCTGTAGGTCACAGTCTCTCAAATGCCAAGACTTGGGAGTGGCCCTGGCCTTCGTGCAGGGGCTCCCAGCACGTATTCCATCATCCCTTGTGCACCTGCAGAAATGGGAAGAACTTGGTGGACTTCACCTTTGTGGAGAACGTGGTCCATGGACACATCCTGGCGGCAGAGCAGCTCTCCCGAGACTCGACACTGGGTGGGAAGGTAAGGCCTGCTGCACCGGTCCCTGCACAGGTGCCTTTCTGCGGGTTTCTTCTCCTTGCCATTGGATTTGCTGGCAAGTTGCTCCTGTGATCCTGTATCATGGAGGATCTGCCTTAGGACCCCCTGTGCCAAGATCAAGCCCCTCTGATAGAGCATGTGGTGTCACTGCAGCGTCACATCACTTGGGCAGCCAAATTTGGAGAGCTGACGAGCTGGGATTGAACAGACATTCAGGTCACGGTCATCTATGGTCCCCTGACCTGGCTGCCCACCTGTTGGCATGGCTCCTTGTGGCAGGAGCCCACGTAGATTGGGCAGGGTGCTTGCTCCTCACCCTTTCTCCCACTCATTCCTCAGGTCTCTCCCTCCCTTGCTGTTTGGTCCTCTTTTATTCTCCTGAACCTCTGCCGTTTCCCCACTGATAACCTTCAAATAAGTTGGGAATAGGGTGGGTGTGGCATTTTTTTTTTCTTTTTTTTTTTTTGAGACAGTCTCACTCTGTCACCCTGGCTGGAGTGCAGTGGCGTGATCTCGGTTCACTGCAACCTCCGTCTCACTGGTTCAAGCGATTCTCATGCCTGAGCCTCCCGAGTAGCTGGGACTACAGGCACATGCCACCACGCTCAGCTAATTTTTTGTACTTTTAGTAGAGACGGGGTTTCACCATGTTGGCCAGGCTGGTCTCCTGACCTCAGGTGATCTGCCCGCCTCTGCGTCCCAAAGTGCTGGGGTGACAGGCGTGAGCCACCGCGCCTGGCCCGGGTGTGGCTTTTGATTTAAAACAAGCAGAACACCGTCAAGAAATGTAATATGAGGAATTCATTGCATCCAAAGATATGTAGATGAGTTTTATGATGATTAACAATTATCAAATTAACAAATGTGCCTTTCCAAGTGCAATCTATGCTTCATTTAAAATCCTGGCCCATAGATGAAACTTTCATTGTCTGCCCTTTCTATGCCTTAGCAGTTGTGCAATTGAGGGCAGGCCACGTGGAAAGCTGCAGCAATTAGGCAGTGAGAATGCGATCTGCACGGGCTTAATAGATGCTTCAACTTTGGGCAGGTGGGGGTGGTGTTTCTAACTTCTTGTTCTTGTTCTCCCGCCAGGCATTTCACATCACCAATGATGAGCCCATCCCTTTCTGGACATTCCTGTCTCGCATCCTGACAGGCCTCAATTATGAGGCCCCCAAGTACCACATCCCCTACTGGGTGGCCTACTACCTGGCCCTCCTGCTATCCCTGCTGGTGATGGTGATCAGTCCTGTCATCCAGCTGCAGCCCACCTTCACACCCATGCGGGTCGCACTGGCTGGCACATTCCACTACTACAGCTGCGAGAGAGCCAAAAAGGCCATGGGCTACCAGCCACTAGTGACCATGGATGATGCTATGGAGAGGACCGTGCAGAGCTTTCGCCACCTGCGGAGGGTCAAGTGAGGGACACTGGAGGCTGGGCTCTCTCGACACGTTGCTCAGCCAGTCACTCCTTCCCCTGTGGATTGATGAAATAACATCCTTTGAATGAGTTTGCTCTGAGCCTGTGACTCCTTCTGCTAGGCAGAGAGCGCACCCTACTCTTTCCGTGACGATGAGGGCGGCAAAAACAGACATTTCTTCCTTCATGGAACTGGATTTGGATTTCTTGAAGCAGGCAGCTTCATATTATACCGATTTGTTCTCTGTCTTTTTGTGTCTCTCTGTTTACCCCCTCCCTTGCCCCCTCTTCTGGTTTATACATTTCATTCCAGTGTCCTTGTACATAATCAAGGAAGCTGTAGGAAGCTACAACCCATTTGTTAGTTCTGATGGAGAACCATTTCCATGCAGACCAATACTAGAGTGAAGCCTCTAGACTTTGTTCAAGATACTCTATCTTCAAAATATCCCAGAAGAAAAACAGAAGCTGTTAACACACAGGTGAGACTTTACATATACATTTCATACTGACAGTGAGCTTAGAGCAAAAGCTGAAAGCTGAAATGACTGTAATTCCTCCCCAGTCTCTGTTGCTTGTTCAACTCCTTACATGTTCCACATTCTCTTTCAGGTACGTTGCCGTGCCTGCCTGCATTGTTTTTTGTTGTGGTCGTTGTAGAGACAGAGTCTGAGTGTGTCTGTTGCCCAGCTGAGAGTGCACTGGCTAATCACAGGCCCAATCATAGAGCACTGCAGCCTTGAACTCTTGGGCTCAAGCAGTCCTCCCATCTCAGCCTCCTGAGAGCAAATGTGCGCCGCCACAGCAGGCTTGCACTGTTTTCACAAAACATTTCTCTTATCAACAGAGTTCTGTTGTTTTGAGAGGCAAGGCAGTGATCCAGCCCAGTGGCACCCTGTTTCATCTGTTCAGCTCCTCTCCTAATGTGGGACACTGGGCTGGGCGACAGTAAGCCAGGGAGCAGGAGGGGCTCCTTCCCTGCAGCTCACCCTCAGAACCCTTCAGGCCAGTTTCCAAAGGGCATAGCGTAGAGGATAATTCCTCGGAATGAGGAGAGACTGTGCTGCCCTCTGCTGATGGGGCAGGGGGATATAAACATAAATAAGACAGCCTTTGCCCCTAAGGCACTTAGAATCATGGACTTAAGATATGTTCGCAAGCCCCTGTAATGCCAGGCAGGACATGATACACACACTTAAGACGCAGTGGTAAATGTTCAGCTTCTGTCGAGGAGGTGATGCCTTGAGTCGGACCTTGAAGAATGGATAAGCAGTGAGACTTCACTGTCGAAGTTGGCATTTCAGGCTAAAGATGTCAGAGGGTCACAGTCAATGGCATGTCATAGTTTAATTAGCAGCACGTTGTGTTTCTTAGGGGTCCATGAGATAACGGTGTCTTAGATTCAGTGAAGGACAGACGTGCCAGCCTGGTTTGGCTGATGGTGCAAAGCTGAAGGGGATGTACTTTTATCTCCCAGGCAGTGGTGGCCAAGAATCAAGGAAACCATCGTGGCTCTTACGTGGAGCCTTCAGACAAGAAGCAACAAAGGCCCACGCGATGATGGAGTTGGGCGGGGGCGGTAGGGTTGGGGGTAGAAATGAAGCCTTACAAGAAATGGCCTGGAGGGGGTCCGCGCTCAGCACCTGATTTCCTGTGGGGAGTGAGAGGGAGGGAGGAGGCCACTCAGGCTGGAATGAAGCCGCAGAGCAGCTCTAAGCTGGTGGGAGGATGGTGTCGGGCCCGGAGTGGGTGAGGCCAGCAGACCTTGCTGATGAGCACCAAGGACCAAACTGCCCTCAGCTTCGACCTAACCACTCGCTCAGAAAAATACTAGCTGCCATCTAGACCAAAGATGTCCCTCATGGAACGTCTTCTCTGCCCTCTCTTCACTCATTAGACCACAGATAATCGTTGGGCCCTGCCCTGCGCTTCAGTGGTGAATAAAACACGCAGCCCACAGACCAATAGATTATTCAAAACTGCTGAAGTTTCCAAAAAAGAAAAGTGCAGGGTGCTATGAGAGGGACATAGGGCTGCAAGCAAGCCTGGCCCAGGTGGCGATCACGGCAGAACAGTTGCAGAAACAGTGCCTGCTCAGATCCGAAAGGTGAGGCTGTGCACAGAGACCCTGAGCCCCCCGCTGGCCAAGCTGACGACCTCCCAGCCGCTCCTTGTATTTCCCTGCATTCCTGACCCACACCTATCTCGACCCACCCGTTTGGAGAAAGTCTAACCACCAGGAAACCATAACCTCAGTACCCGCTGAGAGCTTGTTAGAAACCATCAGGCCCCACCCCGGAGCTACTGAACCGAGACCCTGGGCTTGGGCCAGCACTCTCTTCACAAGCCCTGTGGATGGTTTCTGACCAGTGAAGAAGCCTTCCTGCAGATCACTGAGTCCAGCTAGAACCTCCCCTTGGCTGCTGCAAGACTGAACTTGCCCTACTCACAGGCCCAGGGCCTGGGGGCCACCCCCACCCATTTCTTTCCTGACAGCTGATGGCATCCTAGAGTGCGGACCCAGGCCTATGTCTGTCCCTCGTGTCACATCCCATCTGGAGAATCGGGGCCAAGGGAAGGCAGTTCTCTCCCAGATTGGGGACAGCTAGAAGCCCTATTGCCAAGTGCTGCGTGTCCTTTGGGATGATCGCATTCAATCCCTCTTCCTTCCCTTCCCTATCGACACTGACCTAGTTCAGCACCTGACCCCATCTGCACCTAGGTCAGGTGTCCTGGGACAGCCGACCTGATCTGTCTGCTTACTTTCGCCCCTCCTCCCATCCAGCTGCTATGTGTACACCTAGGGTATCCAGTCTCTCTGCTAAAAACACTAAAGCAGGGTCCGATTTTCTCCCAGCCCACATTTCCAGCTCCTTCCACTGGTCTTCACACCTGCTGTGTTGTAGCCAAATGGAACCACGGTTTCCTGTTCACGCCCTGTCATGCATCCCCTGCTCAGGCTGTCATGACTGCATGCGATGTCCTCTCCCCACTGTGTCCCAGCTCCAGAATGGCCCGTTCCCTTCCCCTAAAAAGCCATGCCTAATCCTCCCAGTTGGAAACCACCTCTTTTCTCTGGATTCCCAGCCTGGGGCCCCTGACCTGTACCTCATTTTGTGTTTCCTATTTGTGCTTTTTCCTGCCCCCACCAGGCCAGGAGTTCTTAAGGACAGAGGCAATCAGTGTCCCCACAGCATAGTGGGTGCTCAGGAAACCTCCCTGTCTTGGAATCCTGGAGTCACAGTAGCAACAAAAGAAAGTGGTCCCAGGAATGGGGAAAGGCACAGCCCATGAGACTGGGTTGAAGCAGAGAGAGGTTCCCAACCTGCCATTCAGATGGGGCTTGAGGAGTCTGTGAACTCCCTAAATTCGATGCAGCCTCTGGGGGTGTGGGTGTGTGTGTGTGTGGGGGTGTGTGTGTGTGTTTGTGGGTGTGTTTGTGTGTGTGGGTGTGTGTGTGGGGGTGTGTGGGTGTTTGTGGGTGTGTGTGTGTGGGTGGGTGTGTGTGGGTGTGTGGGTGTGTTTGTGGGTGTGTTTGTGGGTGTGCGGGTGTGTGTGTGGGTGGGTGTGGGTGTGTGTGTTTGTGGGTGTGTGTGTGGGTGTGTGGGTGTGTGTGTGGGTGTGTGTGTTTGTGGGTGTGTGGGTGTGTTTGTGGGTGTGTGTGGGTGTGTGTGTGTTGGCATGAAAGGGCACATGGCTTTCACCAGCTTCTCAAAGAGGACTGTGGCCTAATAAAAACTAGTGAGTGGAGGGGGCCAGCAGCTGTCGGGGGAGGGGCCAGGAGAGACATGCCAAGGGCAGAGTGGGGCTCCCAGGCCTCATCGTCACCCCTGTGTGTGTGTGTGGCTGGCTGTTCCATCATGGGGTCCATGGCTTCAAAACAGGGAAGCACTGGAATCCACGAGGAGGAGGGCTTGCCAGACAGGATGGCAATGGTTGAGGCCTCTGGCCCCAGCCCTCTGGGCTCTGGTGCCCATTGCCCCTGGAAGATTCTTAGCTTTCTGGATGAGACAGCCCTTGCTAGTAGAAAGCTCTACCTTCTGCTGAACTGAAACACCATTGGATGTGACTTCCCTTGTCCTCCCTCATTTCCTCCCTCACCAAACCCCAGCAAGTGCAGCTTACACAGGCGCTATTCCCTCCGGTATCCCGCAGCTCATCAGCAGCACTGTCCTCTGCTCAGCTCACCTGCCTCAGGGCACCTGGTCCTGCAGGGCCAGCCACTCTTCTTCAAACTCCATCTCCAACATCATTTCTTCTTTGCAGCTGTCCCCCACAGGTCTCTCTGGCTTCATACAATGGCTGGCCTACATCTCCATCAAAGCACTTCCTCCATCACAGGGCAACCATCCACTTAGCTGCCCAGATAGAGCTCTATGAACTGCTTTGCTCCTCAAGGGCTTTTGATTCGTTACCTGTTCCAGGGAAGTAAGCATGCCCAGTTCATGTGCCAAGACTCCAAGGGCATTTACAGGAGAAAGCCAGCAACTCATTGGCAATCTGGGGGAGCCCCAGAGAAAAGAGGCCATGGCCAAGGGCACTCAAGGGCAGTCAGCAGAGCCAGGGCTGGACCACTAGCTCCTGATCCCCCAGGCCAGCGCACCCCAGGTCACCCATTCAGATCCAGGCAGCCTAATGCCACATAGGTGCCCATGTGGGAAGGAGGCAGTCAGGATATGGGCTCCACCCTGAGGTTCTCTTAACATGAAGGGCTGAAAAAGCACAAATGGATCATTAGGAACTGTGAGAAAGAAGATATGTTGGCAGACACTAGAACCTTCCATTCCAGTCTGTATCTCTTGTCACCAGCACTGCCTAGTCATTGATCGTGGAAGGCTCCAAAAGATGGTGGACCCAAAGTCGAGACTCTTTGCCAGCTCTGCCTCTTACCGGCTCCAGGAGGTCTGTTCATATTAACTCATTCGGCCCAGAGAATTTCCCAAAGAACTTTCTAGAGTGACTGGGGTAGGGGAGAAAAGGAGGGAAGAGGATGGAGGCCTCTCAGCTTCTTTTGTCCTGTATCACAGCCTGGCTCCCAGCAACACTTTTGGGATGCCTCTTGTAGCAGGTACTGGGAGACATGCACACCACTGGCTTTGTTCTCCATGGTGGGCAGGGGGAACATCAATTCAAAACATTTTAACTGGGCACCTGCCATTTCCCTCAAAGAGCTCACAGTCCCATAGAAGAAATGAAATGCAGAAATTAATAACCCAAGCACTCCTTCCTTTAAGAGCAGAGGTCAGCAAACTATGAACTCAGGCTCCAATCTCGCTTGCCACCTGCTTTTGTAAATACAGTTTCGTTGTCACACAACCACATCCATTTATTTACATAATGTCTAAGACTGCCTTTTCACTACAATAGCAGAGTTGAGTAGTTATGACAGAGGCCATCTAGCCTACAAAGCCAGTCAAAATATTGACTATCTTGCCCTTCATAGAAAAGGTTTTGTGATGGAAGAATGAGGTCAGAGAAAAAAAGAAGAAAAGGAAAGGTTTGTCAACCTCTGCTTAAGAGGGACTGAGAGGCCACGAGCACACGATGCTTAGCATCACTAATCATTAAGGACACGCAACTCAGTACCACGATGCGACATCGCCTCATCCCATTAGGATGGCTACTATCAAAACAAAAAAATAGGCCAGGCACAATGGCTCACGCCTATAATCCCAGCACTTTGGGAGGCTGAGGCGGGCAGATCACTTGAGATCAGAAGTTCAAGACCAGCCTGGCCAACAGGATGAAACCCTGTCTCTACTAAAAATACAAAAAATTAGCCAGGTGTGGTGACAGGCGCTTGTAATCTCAGCTACTCGGGAGGCTGAGGCAGGAGAATTGCTTGAACCTGGGAGGCGGAGGTTGCAGTCAGCCAAGATCGCACCACTGCATTCCAGCCTGGGTGATAGAGCTTGGACTTGATAACTCCCTGGAGGGTGACATGGTGACATTTGTGTTTGGATGGTGGGGAGAGTGCAGGGAGAGGGACCAGAGGTGGGGCGCCAGTGGGGAACTACCTCTAGTCCAGGGGAGAGACGGTAAGAGTGTGTCTGTCCTGAGGAACAGGCAACGGGGCTATGGTGCAGACGTAATGAAGAGATGATTCTGTGCAAGAATGGACCATCCATGATGATTGATTGGATGTGGGGCTAAGGGAGGGGAAGGGATAAAGAGAACTAGGAGGCTGAAGCTTAGAAGAATTGGTGGCCAGCCATGCCTTCTGCTGAGCTAGGGACCCAGGAGAGGATGAGATATAGGTAGCAGCAAGGAAGAAGCTGAATTCCATTCTGGCCATAATGAGTTGAATGAACCTTGCAGTTTCCAGGTAGAAAAGTCTAGAAGGCAAGAGATAGTTATTTCGGACATCTTGGCTTATTGCTGCTACCGAAAGCCACAGGAAAAGCAGGAGGATGAAAAAAATGGGACCCTGAGAATTAAGAAGTGAACGAAATACCCAGGTGTCAAGGAAAGCTAGGGAGGAGGGATCAAGCTTGAGAGGATGGTCAGCAGCGTGGGTGGTGCTGGGAAGTTAAAGAGGCTGAAGACTGAGCAAGGAAATGTCCCTGAAATCTAACACTGAACACCCACTTTATAACTGGCCTTGTGCTGGGGGTAAGGGCCACCGTGGTAGACAGTCTATCCAAGAGCCTTTCCAGAGCTCCTGATCTAGCTAAGGGAAAGAACCACAGTTGATGCCAGCTGAGCTAAGCGGCCCCAGGGAAGCTGCAGCACAGCCTATTTGGCAGTACACTTGTGCCCAGCGTGGATTTTCATACCCTGCTCATGGACTTGTGTCCTTTCTTCATCCTCCCTTCCATATTCTTCCTTGATGGCGCTCTTCTCAACCATAGATTTTCTTAGACCTTTTGGGGGCCCTTCCAGCTTCTGACCCAGACAGTGCTAGCCAGGCCGTGGGCACTACAGGTTTGTTGAGTGGTTTTGATGGGAGCGGATTAGAGGAAAAACCAAAGATGAATGCTGAGCAAGATGATAGGAGCAGGGTTGTGGGAAGGAGAGTGCCTCCTCAGCCAGCCAGTGCCTTCCCAGGTGGTCAAGCACTTTCTCCTTGGATCCTCAACAAGCCTGTTGAGTCCAGCAAGGTCTCCCAATATCCCCATTCCCCATTTTGTATAGGGAAGCCCAAAGTTTCAGACAGGGAAAGGGGCATTCTGAAGATGCACAGCAAGTTAGGGACAGCATCCTTTTCCTCAATGGCCTTCTACTCTCTTGGAATAATGTTGAGTGGCCTGAACTCCTTGCCTCTGTACTGGCTGGGAACACTGGATGTACTCCTTTCCTATGACTGCTGTATCAGATTACCACCAGTTGAGTGGCTTAAAACAATGCAAATGTATTATCTTATAGTTGTGGGGGCCAGAACCCCAAAATCAGCTTCACTGGGCTAAAGTCCAGGAGTTGGAAGCTCTGAGGCTTCTGGAGGCTCCGAGGGAGGAGTTCCATTTTCTTTCCTCTTTTGAGCTTCTGGTGGCCGCTTGTTTTCCTTAGCTTGTGGCCCCTTCTTCCATCTTTGAAGCACATTACTCCAATCTCTGCTTCTATGGTCACATTTCCTGCTCTTCTTCTGTAGTAAAATCTCCCTCTGACTTTCTCTTATGAGGACACTTGTGATTACACTTAGGGCCCACCCAGATAACCCAGGATAATCTCCACATTTAAAGATCTTTAACTTAATTGCATTTGCAAAGTCCCTTTTGCCATATAAGGTAAGAAGAGTAACAGGTCTCAGGGGTTAGAATGTGGACATGAAGCTGGCTAAGAGAGGCAAGCCCTTGGGTAAAGCGTCACCTCACAAAAGACCCTGCTTGGCTTCAGTAGGCTGAGGACCTTGAGGAAACTCTGCTAGATCACTACAGCCCTGTCTGCCAGAACTATCCAGATCGTTCACTGGGCTGGTTTGGCACCAGCTAGTGATTGTGAAAACTGAACAGAAGTCACCAATAGGATGGTGCCAACTTAGTGCTAGAAAATGTGGGAGGATCGGCAGGGCAGGTTCACAAAGGCCCGAGAATCCAGCGGCCCAGGTGAGCAAGTGCCTGTCCCAGCACTGCCTCCAGGCTCGGGACTGGGGCTTCCAATCCTGGGTCTGGACTTCAGGTCCTGCAGGGGAGGGACTCAGACTTACACATCCTCTTTGTACCTTGTTTGCTGCTGGGATTAGAATTTAGGGGAGTGAAGTTCAGGGACGAATCTAAGGCCTCCCAGCCAAAGGCCATCTAGCCACAGCCCAAACAAAGGGGCTTCCAACATGGTCCTAGGTGGCACTGAGACCAAGCCTGCAGAGACTGGGCCCTGTGAGAGAGGCAAGGCAAGGCCCCAGGGCACTGCAGGCTGTTCAGGTGAGGGCACCTCATGCCACTGTGGAACCAGGAGCTCCCAAGGTCCCTGTTCTGTCAGCATGAGTGTCTGATTGCTCCCTTCTTCAAAGCCGGCTCTGGCTCGGAACGCTGGGTGCTGAGACACTGCCTTTGGTGAGCATGGGCTGCTTAGGAGCTTTAGAGGGACTCCTGCTGAACTGGGGGGCCTCTCTCTGCAATGCCTTCTGCCCTGTCTGCCTGCCTGACTCCCACATGTATCTCTATGGGCTAGTAGCCTGGTCGAGTGAGGCTCCCTCTGTGCCTGTCCAGTTTGGCACCAGCTAATGATTGTGTCCAGGGGCTCTGGACCTGCCTCTTTCTAGACCAAGGAGTCCTCAAAGGCAGGGTCTGCTGGGAGCCTCCCTGTGACCCCTGCAGTACCAGCACAGGCATTCGTGCCATGAGTTGAATAGAACTGAAGAGAAGGGAGAAGCTTCCCGGGGGTGGGCAAGAGGAGGCTTGAGAGCCCAGGAATAATGATAAAACAGTAACGGCCCAGGGCTAAAGGAATCCTCCAGAATCCGAGTTCTGTGGATCTAAGTTGGCCTGGGACTGCCTGAGGATGGGGCAGGCCCTGCCCAGAGCCCTCTTGGAGCCAGCCTCCAGCACCTCCTCAGCCTGACCTTCCACCTTCAGTGTTTAGAGCTGAGAGAGCAGGCTACGGGGCACATAGGTCAGCCCTGCATTGCTTACACAAGTGGGCCAAGACTCCAAGAGGGGCTGAGATTTGGCCAAGGTCTTTGAAGAAGGAATGCCCATTCATGAAAGAAGAGCTATTACAACTTCTGTCTCTTCCCAGAGTCTTCTTTCCAGCTCTTCCTAGAAAAGCATGGCCTGCTCAGTCATTCTCAGGTTCCTGTGCTGAGAACAGGAGTGAGGAAGGGAAGCTCACAGGAATGAAGCACCCACTGGCCACTGGAGATCAGATGGGCACCATTATATGTTGGATAGTATTCCTCCAAAAAATATGTTGAAGTCCCAACACCCAGTGCCTGTGAATGTGACCTTATTGGGAAGGAGAACATTTGTAGATATAATCAAGTTAATATGAGATCATTAGAGTGGGCACTAATCCAACATGATGGTGTCCTCATAAGGAGAGACAGAGACACAGACACACGTGGGAAGACAGTCACATGGAGATGGAGGCAGAGACGAGTGATGCAGCCACAAGTCAAGAACACCTGGGGCTACCAGAAGCTGGAGGAGACAAGGATCCTCCTCTACTCCTGAAGGAGCGTGGCCCTGCTGATACCTTGTTCTTAGACTTCTGGCCCCAGAACTGGGAGATAATTCATTTCTGTTGTTTCCAGCCACCCAATTTGTGGTACTTTGTTCCAGCTATCCTAGCAAAGTCATACAGACACTTTCACAAATGTCTCACAACAGCCTCTCAGCCAGGCAGAGATGGCAGCATTGGCTCCGTCTTCTCATTCTAATGTCAACTCCTTGCATTACCTCTCCAGGCTTGCCACCGCCCCAACTGTGAATAAACAGTGCTCCTCATCTTCAAAGCCCTTTGGAAATACTAATTAACTCTCAGCTAATTGGATGAAAGAACGTGAAGCTCTGATGACATCATCTCCATTCTGTGCCCAGATCTAGCCACAAGCGAAATCTGGGACTGCTGGGCTATGAGCCTTGTCTTGTGGGAACATGTTGTGCCCACGAAACATGGCTGGGGACGGCCGTCTACTCACTTTAGCTCCATGGGCTTCAGAAAACGGCCAGCTGTGGGCACACTTGGCCAATCAAGCACGCATAACACAAACAGTTTCTGTGATTAAGAGTTTGTGTGGGTGTGGGTGTGTGTGTGCGTGTGTGTTAATCACATACCTTTGCACTCTGCACATCACTGAGATTGTCTTATTGGCCGTTCTAAACAGAAGCTTACAAAAACATGTGTACTTTCAAATCTCCTCAGAATGCATCCCTGTGATCCTGAGGGCCTGTGTACCCCCTGCCTTGTAGAACCAAGAAGAATCCCTCTGCGTCCAGGGCCCCAGGGGGTGAGCATCAGTTGAGCTGGGCAAGTAGCTGCGTGCAAGGCCTGGAGGCAAGAGCCTGCAAGTCGGAGGCCATCTGAGCCAGGAGCCAGAGCTGAGAGAGATTCCGACCAAGGCCAGAAGGGCGTGAGGAGGAGGTGCAGGGCTGGGGCTGTCCCCACGACAGCAGGGTCTTTGGTGGACAGACAGCAGGCATGCTGCAGTGGACAGGGTCAGGAGACGAGGGTTAGAATCCTGCCTTTGACTTTGCCACTCATTAACCTGGACAACAGTGACAGGCCCATTCCAGGTCTCCCTGACTCCGTGCGATCTCTCCTTCATCCTCCACCCTGTGGCCAGGAGCACCATCCATGCACCAGGCAGATCTGCTCCTGGCACTGACCACTAAAAACCTCACCCGTGTGTCCCACGGGATGGACTTGAACATGATGGGTAGTACAATGACCGTCTTTGTTCAATAACAAAGAAAGAAAGAAAGGCCATTCCTGCTCAGTTATCTTTCAATCCTTCAGATCATGAAAAAAGATCAAAAAAACTAAAAAAAACCCCAAAACCTCAGAGTTCCATGCTCTCGTGTTTTTTGACTTTGTATTGAAGCATAATATACATTTTGAAAAGTGCATGTCATACATAAGTATAACGCTTGATGACTGCCCACAAGGAGAACATATCCATGTCAAAGCACCCAAACCGAGAAACAAGATGGCCACTACCCTGACATCTAGGAGCAGAAATTAGTTTCACCCATTTTTCTGTTTTATTTAAAAGAAATCGGCCGGGTGTGGTGGCTCACACCTGTATTCCCAGCACTTTGGGAGGCCGAGGACGGTGGATCACCTGAGGTCAGGAGTTCAAGACCAGCCTGGCCAACATGGCGAAACCCTGTCTCTACTAAAAATACAAAAATTAGCTGGGTGTGGTGGTATGTGCCTGTAATCCCAGCTACTTGGGAGGTCAAGGCACAAGAATCACTTGAACCTGGGAGGCAGAGGTTGCAGTGAGCAGAGGTCGTGCCACTGTAAATCCAGCCTGGGCGACAGAGTGAAACTCTGTCTCAAAAAATAAAAATAAAAAATAAAAACAAGAAATCACTCTATATGTGCTCTTAGGTGTTTAGCTTTCTTCCCTCGACATTATGTTTGTGAGCTGCATCCATTTGTTTCTACACTCATTGTCATTGCTGTAGAGCATTACATTGTGTGAAGACACCATAAATTACTTGTTCCTTCTACCTTAATGGGCATTAGGGTTGCTTTTGGCTATAACAAATAGTCCTGCTCTGAGTATTTCTTGGGTACATGTTTTTAAAAACATCCGTAGGCTGTTGAGTGGGAACCTGAAAGTGGGATTACTAAGTCAGAAAGTATGTGTGTATTTGGCTTCAGTGGGTAAGCTGAGTTTCCCAAGTGGTTGTACCAATGTACCCTCCCCACCAGTAAAATATGAGTATTCTAGTTGCCAACAATCAGTATTTTCTGTCTTCTTAATTTTATTTTATTATGTTATGTATGTATGTATTTATTTATTTCTTTTTAGAGACAGGGTCTCACTCTGTTGCTCATGCTGCAGTGCAGTGGTGCGATCTCGGGTCACTGCAGCCTCCAACTCTTGGGCTCAAGCGATTCTCCCACCTTAGCCTCCTGAATAGCTGGGACAACAGGCGTGCTTCACCATGCCTGGCTACTTTTTTATTTTCTAGTTTTTTGTAGAGAGGAGGGTCTCGCTGTGTTTCCCAGGCTGTTCTCAAACTCCTGCACTCAAGCAATCCTCCCACCTCGGCCTCCCAAAATGCTGGGATCACAGGTGAGTGCCACTGTGCCCGGCCTGGAGTTGTTTATTTGTTTGATGTATTCTGGATGAGGGTTTTGTTGAAGATGTGTATGGTGAAGATCTCCCACATGTTGAGTATCCTTTCACTTTCTTAACAGTGTGTTTTGATGAACAGAAGTTTCTCACTTTAATATGGTTCAATTTATCACATTTTTGGTCACACTCAGCACTTTTCGTGTCACACTTAAGAAATCTTTGGCTGTTGCCAGTTCACAAAGACACTCTCCTATGTTTTTCTTCTAAAAGCTTTATTGTTTTACCTTTCACATTTAGGTCTGCAGTTTGTGTGGAACTGATTTTTTTATATGATGTGTAGTAAGGATTCATAGACATTTTTTTTTCCCATATGGGAACCCAATTAACCCAGCACTTTTTGTTGAAAGGCCAATCCTATTCCTACTGCCCTGCCCTGTGGTGCTAGTGTATCTTTAGCTTCTCAAACACTTGATAACTCTCTGATTTGCTGTTGTAAGTGTTAATGAGTTAAAACAGTTCAGACCCCAGTTATCAATCAAGCACTTATCTAGGTGGTGTTGTGAAGGTGGTTTGCAGATGTGATTAAAGTCTTTCATAATTGACTTTAAGTATGGAGATTGTCCTAGATCACCTGTGCAAGCCTCAGCCAATCAGTTGAAAGGATTTAAGAGCAAAGCTGAGACTGCCCTGAGGAAGAAGAAATTCTGTCTGTGGATTGCAGCTTGGGCCCACGTCCAAGAGTTCCTGCATGCCCTTCCTGACGACCTGCCTTATGGATTTTGGACCTCCCCAGTCAGCCCCCACCACCACATAAGCCAATTCTTTCTCATAGATCTCTTAATATGTATCTCCTACTGGTTTTCTTTCTCTGATGGAACCCTGTCTGATACATGCCTCCATCTCCCAAACAAGACCGAAATGGTTTCAATAGTAAATTCACTAGCCATTCACCGCAGACTAGGCGAAGAGGGAACCCTCACTAATGGGAATGGAATGGAGGAGGAAAATGAGTCTAATCTCAATCATGAACATAGATTTAAAAAAGAAAAAACTCTACAAAATCTTAGCCAAGTATTCAAAGGATCTTATGCCATGACCGAGTTCATGTTGGTATACACTGCAATTGCAAACCAAGTCTTGCCAGGCCAACTCATCTTAATGGAAATGATGAAATTCAGTTGAGAACAGTGGCAGGCCAACAGTGAAACTTTTGAATGAAATGCACTTTAATTCAATGTCCTCATCCTTGAATGTCTTCATATCTTTATTATCCTTGGTACTTTCATGCCCCAGGACCCAAAGCTGAGAAACCAGCTTGAGGAAGCATCCTGGGCCCACAACTGATTTGGTTCCACCCCTACATCTCTCTCCTAAAACTCCCTTTCTCACTGTGTCCACCTCACTCAGAAGCAGTAGTCCTCAGTCCTTGGAGCACACCTGAGTCTGCAGGGATACCTGTTAAAAATGTGAGCTGTCTCCTGGGGCAGGTTAGTTGACCTAGTGGACTCACGTCTCTGAAAGGTTCCAGCTGACTTGCACTGGTATCTAGGCTCACCCACTTTCCAGCTGTATGGCCTTGGGCAAATGATCTCCCTGCTCTGAGGTTCAGCATCCTCCCGTGAACCACATAGCCTCCCTAGCCCAAAGGGGAGGGAAGAGTCACAGCTCCTTTGCCCACCATGCAGGGTGCCGCATGGTGGTAAGGGCAGCAGCCAGTGGGGAGCAAGGGAAGATATCCTTTGGGCAGCCTGAGTCCAGGAAACACAGCTCTGCCTCGCTCAGCCCCAGAAGGAGCCACACATCTGCCAGGATCTCAGCAGGGTCAACAGGAGCAGCCAGGCTGAGCTCACATCTCCCTGAAAGAAAGACAGCCGTGGGGCGTTTCCTGCTGGGGACAGGTGGAGTGAAGTCCTTGCTCTCCTTGCAAGCAGCCGAACATTCAAAGCGAGGCTGACAAGTTCAAGTCATCCTCTGATCCTTCTAGAAATATCCTGCTAAAAGCCAATCACATGTTTTCTTTCAAATGTGTCATTTTGCACAGATGTTTAAACTCTGGCATAAGCAGCAGGTTGCATCAGCCTCTCTTACATCTAAGGCCTGCAGGATCCCAATAATTTAATGTTGACCAAAGGAAGAAAGCCTCCTTACAAAGTGGCAGAAAGAAGAGGATCAAGACCTCAAGGAGGGTTTTCTCAGGACACCTACTGACAGAAGCACTGTGCATCATACCTAGCATGTAGTAAGCCCTCAACAAATATTAGCTTTATTATTAGCATTGTTAGCACAGCTCCCACGAACAGTCCCCGATGCCGCATGTAAGTGGCTAACTGAGCAATTTGAACCCAGTGGGGTAATAATCTTGGAAGTTAAGAGTCCGGGCTCTAGAGTAAGACAGCCTAGGTCCAAATCCCAGCTCCACCACTCACTAGCCCTTCCGTGCCATAGAGTCCTCATCTGTAAAATGGGGATAATAATAGTATTTACGTCATAGGGCTGTAGCAAGGATGGAATGAGATGTTTTCAGTAGAGCGCTTGGGACAGCACCTGACATAAAAAGCATTAAGTCAACATGGACCCTCAAATCACCCCCTTCAGCTGAGCTTTGTCAAATCGGCCTTGCCCATCTATTAACAGAATCTTGAGCAAGTTTCCGAAGTTACTGGTGTCTTGCAGTTGTTAAAACTCAGACCAGATTAAAATGTCAATCTCAGACTCAGTTTCACTCTTCCCTGAGCCCCTGGCTGCTCTGAGACCCTCCTGCCGCCCTACCCTGTTTGGGAAAATCAAAGGACACTGGCTGTCTCATGGGAAGGGGGAGGAGTGGGGGAAATACATGAGCCCTTTTGAAGGCTCTTTGAGACTTGAGTAGGTTTCTGCTCCTTGCCTCAGAGGCATCTTAACAAAGGTGACTCCTGACACCTTCCTGTAGGCTCTTTTTGCGTGGGGGATCTCTTTGAGGGGAGCTGGTTGGAGCTCCTTCCTGGCCTTCTCTGATCATCCAACACACACTCAACCATTCCCATACTGCCTAGGTGATGTCATGCCCTCCCGTGGCCTCAAGGGGCCATCGCTAGCTGCCTCTGCCCCTACAAGCTTGGCCTCTACCCTGGACGGTTCCTCTGAGCTCCTCCCCTGTGGTGTCCTGGTGTCAGCTCATCTTATCCACTCGGTTGCCATACAGGCCCCACAGCCTCACTGTCTCCCAAGTGAAAATCAGATCTCTATCCTATTCCCTTCCCCCAACTGTTACCCGTGGAGTCTCTAATTCCTGAATAAAAGATCTGTGCAAGTAACTGAGGCCAGCAGGCCCCTCTGTCTCTCCTTCCCAGCCCAGACTCTCTTTGGGCAAAGCTCATTCCTGGCTATTATGCACACCAAACACCAGTCCTTCAATTTGGGGCTGGGGCAAACAGTTTAACTCTCCAGTCTTAGGAGGAGAGGTCTCCCTTGTCGAAGATGGGAGTGGAGGCCAGAGAACGGGGAGATGAAAGTATATCCCAGCCACGTAGGAACATTTCTGCTGGTGCAAGAAACCTACATCAAAGTGGCCACAAGATGAGCTAATAGAAGGTGGATAAATATGAGTCCATGTTTACTGCACTTTATGTGGAATCTTGACCATGTAGGGAGGGAAGGGCCTGCCTGCGCCATTCTCCTGCTCCCACCCCTTTTTCCCAAGCTGAGCAGGAGCCCCCTTGGGTCTTGGGGTTGACTTTATAGCATTTGAGATTCTTATCTCTTCCTTCTAGTCTTTTGAAGTACATGATGACACTCTCTCCTTCCTCTGCCTTTTCCTCTGGGGAAATATAAGAAAGGAATAAAGACTTATTTGTCTGGAAAAAAACCAAGTCCAACTTTTACAAGTAGAGAATAAACTACAAACAACTTCAATCTGATGGTTGACTTTCACTGACAAGAAATTTCCTCCTTTCCTCTCCATCCCCATCTCTCCTTCCTTCCCTCTTTTTCTAAACATCTAGCAGCCTCCTTAACTGCCCTGTAGGCATAGCCCTGGCTAATACCTGTGACTGGAGGAGCTCTCATCCACCCAAGGTAGACATCATTTCACCATGCCAGGATGCAAGCTGTAGGCGAGGCCTGAGGCTCAACAGATCTTGGAATCCCCCTCTAAATGGGTATGGTCTCTGCAGAATTCAGGCTCCCCTTCTAGTCTATTCTTCTGAGGACCATCTCTTTCTATTTTTCCGTCAACACCCTCTGCCCCTCCTCTGACTCCCTCTCCCATCACCGCTACTCCTCCATCCTCTGGCTACCAGTTTTTGCCTCAGTACTAGGTGGCTTTTTACCAGACTGAACCCCTCAGGGTCCAGGCCTGGCTCAAAGCAGGTGCTCAGGACACAAGTATGGGCCACTGGAAGCCCTGTATCGTGGGGAGGGAGCAGGGAGTAGGGCTTCAGGAAGTGTCTGCAGGAGTGACTTCATACAATCCACTACGATTCTGATATTTTAAAACAAATAATATGTGTGACTTTTTAAAATGTCATGTAAAAACACGATTTAACTTGTCTTTAAAATATACCAGGTATTTACCAGGTTCGTACTTGTGAACAAATATTGTCTTCATCCAAACGTTAAGAATGGCTAAATGCCATCATGTTCCCTCCTCCAAAGCTACCCTCTTGGAAAAGACAAACTTGTCCAAAGAGGCTGCCTTAGTCTAGAACCCAAAGGACTTGTCACCTCCATAATTTGGAGACACAGCATGAGCAAGCTTCGCCTGCCACCCCACAGCCCCGCCCCGAGCCTGGCATACTGGGCCATTGCAGATTGGGTGGCAATACTGGCAGACATCTAGTTCTAAACCTTGAGTTTAGAAACATGGGCACTTGCAAATGGCATCTCTGGTTTCTTTCTGTCCTGGAAACGATCATCGTCTGTTCCCTCCAATGCTCACTGAGCATTTGGTGCGTGCCAGCCCCCATACCTGTTACCTAAGACTCAGGGAGGAATATAAGCTGGTTTCTGCCTTCTAGAGCTCACGGGCTGTCAGGTAGACAGAGGAAAACCCAGTCACCACCACATGATGTGCTCATGAAGGGACTGAGCCACGTGCGTTGGCTTGGCAGTCCCCAGTAGCTCAGAAGGGCTGCCATGGGGAGGAAGCATTTTCTTCCGGTGGTCTTTGAGAAACAACCTCTCTACACTGACACCAAGTACAGCAGCACCTGCCTGTGTCCCTTCACCTGAGTGAAGTCTTTGTTTGTCTTTGTTTGTTTTAGGTAAAATTAATTCTTTCTCAGTTCAGAGTGGCCCCTGATTCTGCCATACAAGTGTGTAGTAGATAAGTTCACGTTCAGTGTCGCTACGCCTTTCTGATTTTGCAGTCTTTATTTCCTTCTAGCTCTCACCTTTACAGACTTAAAAATGCTCCACTGGAAACATAGGTTGTTTGCTATTGGAGTTTTTTGGCCTCTGACACCCCTTTGGCTCCTTGCTTGTGCTCCTCAGGTTTCTCTGGGCCTTCTGGGGGGCTGGCTTCTCCTTCCCACCTGCTTTATAGGGAAGACACATTGCTCTTGGCTCAAGGCACCACCCAGAAGCAGAAGGAACTCTCTCCTGGGCAGCCCAGTGACTGGCACGGGCTCAACAGCTTGAAAGCTCCCCAGCCAGAGGAGGTCTGGCACAGATTGAACGGGCTTGTTGGGAAGTACTTGGGGGCCTCAGAATGGCTGAGTGGGCTGGGCCCACAGCAGCAGGGGCTGGCAGGGCTGGCTTAAGTGTTAAGAATAACTCTTTTCTGTTGTTGTTTTTATTAGTGCTTTTTTATTACGAAAGTAATACACTGCCATAAAAATTCAAAGAGTACAGAAAGGAATAAAGAGAAAACTCAAAGCATCTTCCCAGTCAGCCCACACAAACCCACTTCCTAGAGGCAGCAGTTATGATCAGTTTCATGTGAAACCTTTAATATAATTTTTATACATATGCAAATGTAACAAATATAAGAATGCATTTTTTGCAAATTGCTTTTCTTTAAAGGAAAAAAGTATATGCCCATTTTTTAAAAAGTCAAACACTACAGAAAACACAAAATAAAACATAAAAAATAAAAACAAGGAAAAGACAGCTCTCAAAATCCATATCTTAGAAGATAGCAAGTGTTGACACTCTGGAAGGTGTTTCTCAAAGCCTTTGGGCAATTTGACAGAAGTGAAATCACACTATTTACGCTGCCATGTAACTTGCTTTGATGCAAACTGCTATTTCTCTCTTTCATTCAACAATATATTATTGGCATTTTTCATGCCCCTAACTAGAGATCTAAAATCAACACCTCGATTGGCCACATAGTATCCTGTTATAACTTTGGAATGGATCTTCTGATAGAAACTTATCTTGTAACGAGTTTTTTAAAATATCATGAATAATGTTGCAATGAGCATACAGGTACTTAGTTATCTCCCCCTGATGCAGTTACTACCTGAGGATAAATGCCTAGATGCGAGGGTACTGGCAATACAACCCCAAACCACACTGAGCTGACACTTTCTATCCACTGCATTGAGAAAATAGAACACATCTGACAACACCAAGTGTTGGCAAGGATATGTAGCACTGGGAATTGTTTAGGCAGGAAAGTCAGTGTTCTGCTGTCAGATTGAACATGCACATACCCTGTGACCCAGCAATTCTGCCCCAGGATATATTATATAGATGGTTCATGACTTAACAATGGCCCGACTTACGATTTTTCCACTCTACCATGATGTGAAAGCGATACACATTCAGTGGAAACCAAACTTGAAGTCCCATACAACTATTCTGTTTTTCACTTTCAGTGCAGTATTCAATAAGTTACATGAGATATTGAACACTTTATTATAACGTAGGTTTCATGTTAAATGATTTTGCCCAACTATAGGCTAGTGTAAGCATTCTGAGCACATTTAAGGTAGGCCGGGCAAAGCTATGATGTTTGGTAGGTTAAGTGTATTAAATGCATTTTCTACTTAGGGTATTCTGAACTTATGATGCAGTTACATCCCGATAAACTCACTCCACATCTGGGAATGTTAAATGCTGCTGACATGTCCAGTAAAATGCAAACTGAAAACTGATCATTGGATTTAGCAACATAGAGGGGGTTGATGACCTTGACAAGAGCCATTTCTGTGTAGTGATGGGAGTGAAAGAGAAGGGAGGAAGAGGACTCTGAGAAAGTGTAGAGAATTCTCTGAAGGATTGTTGATGTAAAGGGAAGAAGGGGAATGAATGGACAGTAGCTAGAAAGGTGTATGGGGTCAAGAGAAAGGTTTTTTAAAATGGTGGGAAGAATTCCAGCATGTGTGCATGCTGAGCAGAATGATCCGGTCAAGAGGGAATAATTGATGGTGCAGGAGAAAGGGCGAAATGTTAGCAAGATGTTCCTGGGTAGGCAACAAATGGGATTTAGGGCACAAGCAGAAAACCTGACCTTTCATCTGCTTCAGGACACATCGTTCTCTTGTATCAGGATGGGGCAGAATGTGTAGATAATGGTGCTGTGGAGGTAGGGGATGAAGATGTTTATATGCATCTCATTTAATATAATATATATATGTACTATTTTTGTATGTCAGATAATAAAAAGAATTTTAAAATGTTAGCATTGTTGAGTCCAAGGGATACCTCATCATTCATTTTGTGGCATATTTTTAGATCACCACCCAGAAGGTTGCCCTGACTTATCCTCCCACTCTCAGAGCCCCTGGGGCAGAAGAGTGCCCATTTTCCCACACGCCAGGTACCCCAGGGTTTTGCAGATTTGTTTTAAGTTTTACATACCTGAGGCAGGGGTGGAAACAGTTGACTTTCTTTGCATTTCCTTCATATGCTAATTGGTGACCCGCAAATCTTCTTTTGTGATTATCTGTTCACTTCCTTGGTCCTTTGCTGATTTTCCTACTGGGTTGCTTTAAAAGGAGTCCTTTTTTATTTTCGGAAGATTAAGCCTTTCGCTGTCATATGCAGTTCAAATAACTCTTCCTCATTTGTCATTTGTCTAATGACAGTTATGGTGGGTTTTGCCATACAGAAGTTTTTAATTTCTCCATCTTTTATGGTTTCTGGTTTTCATGACATACTTAGAAAGGCTGTCCCCACCCCAGGATTCTTTCTCATACTTTTATGGTTTCATTTTTTTTACATTAAATTTCTGAGCCATCTGGAGTTTATTTTGGTGTGGAGAGTGAGGTAGGAAATCTAGCTTCTTTTTCCAAATGGCCAGTTATTCCAACATCATCTCTTGAATGATACACTTTTAATCCACAGATTCAAAATGCCACCTTGATCACACACTGCATTTGAAACTACACTCTATCCCTCCGTTCATCAATTTGGCAGCTGCTTCCTGTGTGCCTACTCAGGCATCATACTAGCATGAGGTGTGTTTCCTACATCCAGGAGGAAGGGAGAGGAGACACAGGAGACAGCGACCCTGCAGGGTAATAAGTGCTAGGGTGGAAGGCGGTGGAAGAGACACTTAGCTGGGTCTTGGTGGTTAGGGATGACTTCTTGTGAAGGCAATGACCTCTGAACAGACATGAGCATAGTAGCAGTTAACCAGTGCGAGGGACCGCAGTCAGCACTAAGTTCTAGAGACAGAATGGAGGCCTATGTTGGGAATCAGCAGGAAGTCCAGTATGGCTTCCATATGACAGGAGCTTAGAGCGTGAAGAGGCTGGAGCCATAGCAGGTACTAGACTTGGATGGCAGAGGGAATGAGGAGTCTCAGATGGTGCCCCTGTTTCTAGCCTGGACTGCTGGACATGGAGTCACCTTATCACCCAAGCAGGGCAGAGGGGAAGATGGCTCTGGCTGCTTTGCAGAAAGTAGATGCAGGAGTCAAGCGCAGAAGCCAGGAGACTGGGAAGGAGGTGATCGGGGACACTACTGTGTCCCAGGATAGTGGCAGTGGAAGTGGATGGTTTGGAGCTGCAATCAGGACTGGCTGCTGGATTGGACATGGGAGACGAGGGAAAGATCAGTTAAACACCTAGGCCTTGGGAGGTGCCTTTGATGATGAAGAAAACTGAGGGAGGAGAGGTTTGGAAGGTGAAGGATGGTGGCACAAGAGTTTGTTTTGAACATGTTTCATTTGGATTGACTCAGACATTCATGTGGTGATTTCAAGTAACAAAAGTAGCAATAGTAAACATTCACTGAGCACCACCATGTAACAAACTCCATTCCAAGCACTTTATGCACGCCATCCCATGTCATCTCACAACAACCTATGAAGGTAGATGCTGGCACTCTCATCTCTATTGTACAGGTAAGAAATGGAAACTCAGAGAGGGCAAGTAACGTGCCCAAGGTCACACAGCTATTAATTGGCACAGCTGGGATTTGCACGCAGTCCAGTTCCAGAGTCTGTGCTCATAGCCTTCATGCCTCCAGATAAGTGGGTGTCAGGGAAGCCAAGAGAAGCAAGTTTTTCCAGAAGGGGAAAGTGGAGTGATCAACTGTGGCCACGGGGTAAGTGAAGGCAGAAATGTGAACACTGGGTTTAGCAACATGGAGATGACTGGTGACAAGAATGATGTGAAGGGAGTGGTAGGGTTGAAGTCCTGATCCGGGTGAGTTTATGAGAGAATGGGAGGAGAAGGAGAGACAGTGAGTCTAGACAACTCTTTTGAGGAGTTTTGCTCAATAGCAAAGTGGAGAGATGGGGCAGTAACTAGAGGTGGGAGTGTGGTCAGGTGAGATTCTTTTTTTTTTTTTTTTATGTTGATGGGAAAGCTCCAAATGAAACAGACATTTTTATGATGTAGAAGAGAAAGGGATAATTATAAAGAGGGAAGAGTCTATGAAGGGGAGAAGGAGTGGAATCCAGAAGTTTATATTGGCACCATTCTGCACAGTTGCGTGACGTCTGCCAGCATGGTTCTTTGCCTTGGGGCAAGCATGAAGAATATAGACATTTAGCTTTGTCCAGATTTGATGCCATTATCATCAGGTGGAGGTGACAAAGAGACAGTAGGGTGAGAAGATTAGGATGTTCACAAGACAGCGGTTGAGTAAGCTGGATAGGGAGGGAAATGAAGAGAGGAAAGGACTAATGGATGGATAGAAAGTGGAGCAGCCAACAGTTGGGAGCTTGAAAGATAGTTGTCACAGAAGTGGTTGAACGAGCCTGCTGGAAAGAGAGGAGGTTGGGGCAAGAAGTTGGAAAGCCTGCATTCTCTATTCTGGAGGAAGCAACAGCAGGCAGGCTGCACCTGTGGGAAGAAGCGGCTGTGGTGGAGCTGACAGGGTCTTGGGAGATGCCTGGGGAGCCTGAGGGTTGGGGATAGCTAAGCCACAAGCATGGATGCTCAAGTCACACACTCACTACCACACCTCACTGCTCTCACCCTCACCCTCCCAGTCACTTTCTCACATCCAGGGCAAAGACCTGCCTGAATGTCAGGTGGGGGATGGTGTTGCCAGTTGGCCTGGGCCTCAAAGCGGGGAGGTTTTCATCCAATGGCAAACTGGACTATTCTGAGGTAGCTGGGGTGTGGGAGAAGGAAGAGCCTCCTCTGGATTGAGCTGCCGGGAGGGTGCCTGGCTTCAGTTTAGGAGGAAGTGGATAGCTCCCTCCAAGAAGGGCAGCATACGGGGTGGTGCAATCCTAGAACTTTCTGTGATGATGGACATGTCCACTATCTGTGCTGTCCAACACAGTAGCCACTGGCCACATGGGGCTATTGAGTACTTGAAATGTGGCCAGTGTGACTGAGGAGCAGAATTTCCTATTTTATTCCTTTGTAATTCACTGAAATTTAAATAGCCACATGTGGCCAGTGGCACCTGCAGTAATCAGTGGATTTCTAGAGACATGTGCTGGTTACAGGTTACAGAGCTGCAGTCCCCAAGGCCTGGGATGGGACAGGTCAGGGAAGAAGGAGAGGAGGAACAGACGGCACAATGCCAGGAAGGCTAGAGTTATTTGGTCGAGTTCAAGGTCTCCAAGTACAGGTTACTTGGGCCAAATGCAATCAACAGGAGCCAAATGCATCCCCCAGCCAGGCTGGTCCAATCCTTTTTGATGAGAGCCAGCCCCTTCCCCCATGCTGAGAAAATTAGAGTTTTCATCAAGTGAGGCTCTGACCAGCACCAGCGTGGGCAGAAGAAGGAGAAAAGCAGCAGGTCTGACTCCAAAGGTCGGGGACCACAGTCCTGCTCAGTTGAACAAAGGGGCACCCTCTGAGCTGTTCTCCCCTCTAATCTCCAAAGGCTGCTCTCCATGAGGAAATCAAGGCAGCTAAGCACCCAGGGAGGTTTCTGGGAAAAACTAATAAAGAAGCATACACCCTTTAAGAGGTGAAACCCAGTAACCTTTCCTCTCCTGTGTGAAGAGGACTTGGATTTGCAATGGTGTTTTAGGGATCCACTGCATTTCCTCTTCCCAGGTGGGCATTTCCCAAGCCAAGGGCAGTGCCCAGCCGAAAGGAACATGGCTGGGCATGGTGGCTTATGCCTGTAATCCCAGGCATAAGCACTTTGGGGGGCCAAGTCAGATGAGTTGATTGAGACCAGGAGTTCAAGATCAGCCTGAGCAAGACGGTGAAACCTCATCTCTACAAAAAATTAGCCAGGCATGACGGTGCGTGCCTGCAGTCCCAGCTACTAGGCAGGCTGAGATGGGAGGATTGCTTGAGCCCAGGATGTTGAGGCTGCAGCGTGCCTTAATTGTGCCACTGCACTCCAGCCTGGGTGGCAGACTGAAAAAAAAGAAAGAAAGACAGAAAGAAACAAATCCGCAACTCTCAGAGCCAGACATACCCTCTGGTTGATGTAGTTTCAGCTCCCTCAGCCAGTGGTTTAGCCAGGCCAGGCTTAGCAGGGCCCCAGAGTCGGAGCTCCCTCCCTCGCAGGACAGATCTAGCTGCTCGGAAGTTAGCGTTCACCTGCAGCCTGCATCTCTCTGCCAGACCTCCCAGCCTGGGGCCCCAGAGAGGTCTGGGCGGGGGGTGCTCACAGACCCCAACACTGACTCTGACCTTCCCATTTCTTGAGCATGTGGCAGCTTCCACACCTTTCCTCTTCCAGGCGCACACTCACAATGCCCACTGAGCACCAGCCCTGCCAGAGGGTCCTAGGAGCCTGGGCTGCTTCTGGGGCAGCAGCAGGGCCCCTGGGGGGCGGGGTTGGGCCCAGCTCTGGGGGAGGAGCTCCCAGCTGAGGCCAGGCAGCCTCCAGAGTCTCCAGGCTGAGGACCGCGGGGGCCCTCGGCACGGCCCCTAGCCGGCAGTGGCTGAGCTGAGCTTGGGGGGATGAGGGGGCGCTGGGCAGGGAGCCCACTGTCTCCTTCTCATGGCTTCCCTTCCTCCTTATCCCAGGAGCCTCCCTGCCGGCCAACTGTACTAAAACTCCGGAAAACCATGGCGGGGAGGTTTTCCAATTAGAACATTCTTTTTCCGACCTGTGGATGATTCTTAAAGCAGCAAAAAGCCATTCTTCAGGGCATGCAGGGAGTATCTGCCAGCGAGGCCTTGGCTCCACTCGCGCACTCGTGCTCAGGAGGCCTGGCCTGGGGCTGCTTCAGAGCCACAGACAAAAGGCAGAGCCTGTGTTGTGGGGCATCAGGTCACACAGACCAAGACTGATGGCTGAGAGTTTCCTGGGCTCATTCGAACCAGTAGATTCAAACGGCAGTGGGGATCCAGGCTACAGGAGTGGCAGATGTCAGACCACCTCTCTCCTTGCTTTGTGACAAGGCCACTGCTCCCAATGAGACCACTGTTCACACAGCAAACAATCCCCAGGCATGGCTGCTGTCCCTTGGAGTAGAACTGGGCTGCCTCCTCCCCCAAACTGGGAGCCGCAACAGGCCGGGACAGGGTCTGACTGGTCTCTGGCCAGGGTTGGGGTGGCAGTGCAGTGGGGCAAGTAAGAATGTGTGTGTGTTCCAGAGAGGGGGACCACAACCCCGTAGCTTGGAGTGCAGGCTGAGAACAGGGGGAGAGGAGCAGCCACTCCACATGCTGAGAGGCTGGACCAGCTCCTAGCAGGAGAGCTGGTTACAAACACAAGGGCCTGGCCTCACGGGTTCGGGGCTCAAAGGACCCATCCTACCTGCAATCACACCTGGGGACCCCTGCCTCCAGGGCATCCACCCTGCTTGGAGTCAGCAGAGTCACCCAGCAAGTGTAAACCGGTTGAAGAGCTTAAGAGGATGAGGTGGCAGGGCGGGCCCCGGGAAGGAGGGGATTAGGGATCAAGCAGGAGCCCAGCCCTCCCCGCACATGAACCTGAGCACCCCAGCTTCTCTCCAGCTGGGCAGGGGCTCCATCCAGAGCAGCTGGAACCCCAGGTTCTAAGCCCAGCTCTGCCTCAGACTAGCTGTGTAATCCTGGCAACATCTTGTCCCTCTGTGGGCCTCTGTTTTCCCATTTGTACAACTGAAGTGTTGAGGTTGCCTGCCTGTCTTCAGTCCCCTCTAGCTGAGGACACTGCCTGGGGGAGCTTTGCGGCCTGACAGCTTTCAGGGCCCAACCCCTCTTTCTCCCCCTCTAGCCTGGTAACTCTTTTTGTTTTCTGTATTTTTTGTAGAGACGGGGTCTCACCATATCGCTCAGGCTGGTCTTGAACTCCTGAGCTCAAGCGGTCTTCTCTCCTTGGCCTCCCAAAATGCTGGGATTACAGGCGTGAGCCACTGTGCCCACCTCCTAGCCTGGGAACTCTGGGGCTAGATCACCTTGCTTGAGTTCTCTTCCCAGCCCTGGAGATCAGAATGGGGCCTCCCCTGGAGCTGAGGAGTGCTGCTGGCCAGTTCTTTCCCAGCAGCCACCTGCCGTGCTACCCATCTCATTGCTTAGATGCAGCCTCCCAGAGACGCTGCCTCCACGGCCTGCTTGTGAGCTATGGCTTCTCCAGCACAGGGCTCACCACCTGCTACTCCCTGCCTCTACCTTTCAGCCTCTTGCCTGCCCAGACAGCCCAGCCTGGCCCCACCCTGAAGCCCCTACCTCTCACTTAGAGCCTTGCTGAGGGCCTGCTTGTTGGTGGGAAGAGACTGTCCAGTCCCCTGGAGGTGGCACTGCTGCCTAAGCTGGAGGGACTTCAGGAGAACTCTGCCAGAGCCAGGGGGTGGGAGCTGGCCTGTCTTGGAGCTGCGGATGGGTGGAAAAGTGCAAGAGATGTGAATAGGAAAGGATAGGGCCAAGCTCAGGCCAGGTAGGGACAGAGCCCAGCCTGGAGGCAGGCAGCAGCCACCACAGCCTTGGCCTAGAACTTGAGGGAGGTCTAAGGGAAGGTTCATGAAGGAGATAATGTTACTGCTGAGAGAAAGTGGAGGCCACCTGGTGTCCCTGGGGAGGAAATGTCATTCCAAACAAAGGGAGCATCTTGTGCAGCGTCCTGGTGGTATTTGAGCACTTGGTCTATCTGGGTACATGTCATTTGGGCATGTCTGGTGCTTGAAGAGGCTGAAGAAGCCAGCAGGTGCCTGAAGCCTGGCTGAGGTGACTAGAGGTGCCCTGGCAGGCGTGGAAGTGGAAGACTGTTGGGGCAATGGACAGGTGGGCAGGGCAGGGCAGGGCAGTTACCATTCAAGTCAAACCCGTTTGCAGGCAAGATCAGCTGCAGGGCCTGGCAGCCTGGCAGGGAGGGAGGGGTTCAGGGAAGGCTGATCTCTTTGGCTGGAGCAGTCGTGACAGATCGGGCCTGGGCAGAGACTGAGTCACCTGGGACATGGGAAGAGCTTGAGGCCCTGGGGCGGCCCAGCCTGGGGCAGTCCTCACTTGCTGGCCGTGCCGTTGGACACCACATTTGCTCATGCTCTCCAGCTGGGCCCCCCACCCCTGACTCAGGGCTCTTGAACAAGTTTGCCTTTTCCCTCTTCCTTGCCCTACATCTCACCCATCATGATGTCTTCTACCTTCTACCCTTTCAAACTAGGGGCTCTTGAAGAGGACTGGGACCCAGACAAAGAGTATGACACAGCCTAAGTCATACAGTAAACATGTTTAGGAGGTAAGATGCCAAGCCAAATCCATGGCCACCAGTAGCCACAGTGGAGGAGGGGAGGTGTTAGTTGCTGGCCACCAGACAGGGGCATACAATATTGGAAGCAGAAAAATGCTTGTTGGCAAGAGACGGACATGAACAGAAGTGACTTTATATACAACCCCCTAAGCACACACAGGGTCGCCTTCTCCCTATCTCATGAACCCCAAGAAGAAAAGGATGAGGACAGCTTCCACAGCCTCACTCACCCATCCATCACTTCCTTCTGCAAATTCTTCGGATGCCCTGTGCTGGTCTCCGTGACCCAGTGATGAATCAGAAGGGGCCCTGCCCTCCCAGAGCTCAGGATCTAGAACAATAGAGGGTGACAGCCACTATGCTGGATTGATGTCATCTGAGGGAACTAAGGGGTGCACAGAAGGAAGTGATCAGCTCGACTGGGTGGCAGGCAGGGGAGGCTTTCCGGACACTGGGTGGAGGCTTGAAGAATGACTAAGAGCTCACTAGCCCGACGGGGATGAAGAGCATTTTAGGGAGTCCGAGGAGCAGGAGCAAACACCCCAAGGTGAGCGCCATGTGATGTATTCAGAAGGCAATGGAAAAAGGCCAGTGTGGCTGTAATGTATTGAACAAAGGGAAGAGTGGCTGGACCTGCAGGGATAGGTCGTCTCAAGGAGTCTGGCTTTTACCCTGAGAGCAATGGGAAGCCATGGAGGAGTTGCAAGCAGGAGAGCACCTGATCATATTGACACACGTGAACTTTTAACCTGACCTCCGTGTAGAGACTGAGGGAAAGGAAGGCAAGACCAGAGGCAGGGGGACACCAGCAAGGAGGCTGGTCTTCGGGGCCAGGTCTGGACTAGGGTGGTGGCAGCAGGCACAGGGAGAAGTGGGTGGACTGGAGGGCCATGGAAACACCACATTGGCAGGCCTTGATGAAGGAGAAGCAGCTGGTCCATTCTTTTGAGCCTACCACCCTGGTAGGCCAACTCCTGGCCAAGTCCATGCCATTTCTTGGGCTGGCTTAATTGTCTCCCTGTTTGGGAGGCCGTGGGGTGAGGGGTCTTTCCTCCATGCTCTCTCCATCCTTAGCCCCAGCCCAGGGCCTTGCACACAATAAAGCACTCGGTGAGCACCAACGCGTGACACAGGTACATCAAACCGCATTGGCTCTGGGAGTCTGGCTGTATCTCGTCGCCCAGCCTGGGAGATAGCCCCGTTTGCTGTGCCTTGTGAGCCCCGGGTCCGTCCCAGGATGGCCTTCCACGATGAGCGGCTCCCTCACTCTTCTCCTCCTTTCCTGCCTGCAGGACTTCCTGGATGATCTCAGCCGCCAGCCCCCCGCCCCCCTCCCCGCCCCTGTCTGGGATCTCCATCTGTAAAATGGATCTAGGAACGGTAGTTCTCGACTGAATTAACCCGACAGCATCTGTGGAAGTCGTTGGCCCTGTGCCGGGGCCAGATCGCGCAACTAGGAGCGGGGGCCCTTCACGTGGCGGAGGCTTCCCGGCCTGGGGGCCACGGGCCCGGAGGAATTTGCCTGGAAGTTTTCCATCACGGCAGAGCCTTCTGGAGCTCGCCCCGTGCTCGACAAGGGGAGCCCCAGACTTGATTTCTCCAGCAGCCCCGCGGGGCGGGGCCGAGAAGGGGCGGGCGGGCGGAGGACGCTGGCGGGAGAATGTGCGGAATGTGCCAGGCGCCTCTACCTACCCCAGGAGGGGCAGAGGAAGGGGCCGGCCGAGGGGAGGGGCGAGGGGCGAGGCTCCGGGCGGCCGGAGAAAACCTGTTTGTTCTCCTGCGGGCGGAGCCCAGTCCGCGCCTCCTCGCCTCCCTGCGCGCTCCCCGCTGTGCACCGCGCCCCGCGCCCCGCGCCTGCCTCCCCGGCCCGGCCCGGCCCGGCCGGGCGCCGTCCACCCGAGGGAGCCCGCGCCCTGCGACTGCCCGACCCTCCACCCGCCCCACGAGCCGGGCACCGGTGCCAGGTAGGGCTGTCGAGTCGCCATTGGATGCGGCCCTGCTTGGAGGCAGTGGGGGGCACCCAGTCCGTGCCCAGCTGGGGACAAGTCAGGGCCTCAGTTTCCCCATCCATAACCCTTACCAGCTCCAAGCATCTCTCTTCGGGTTCCCCCCGGGAGTCAGTGGATTTCTGGTTTTCGCTGTGAGTGAAAAGACTGACAGGCAGAGGAGGCCAGCGTCCCCTACAGAGGCAAGTGTCCCCCTTGCCAGCCTGATCCCTCTGTCTTGCCCTTTAGGAAAGACACGGTTTAATTGTTAGTAAACGGCGAGGGGCCAGGATGCTCTGAGAGTTGACTGCAGGCCTTTAAGAATCAGGGAATCTCATATCCCTCCGTCCCCCTGTGCCCATTTTATAGATGAGGAAACTGAGACCCAGAGGCTGGCTCACCCAGAGGATCCCCTCAATCGCCCTGGGGCCTGTGAGGTGCATGTGCTGGGTACAGGGCAATCTTGGGGAGGGCCATGAGGATGGTGGCTGCTCACACTCAGACAGAAGGCGCCGAATCAGGTGTCACTGGGTGTTATCGACAGGATCGGCACTGCACCAGCTCTGTGGCTGGATTGTTTTGATGGGGGCAGAGGGAGCCAAGAGTCTGTCCTCTTTGGAAAGGCAGAGGGATACCTTGCCTTACAAAAAGGCCGAAAGCTCAGGTGCTCCTGCCTGATCTGCCACTTCTGAGCTGGGGACACCTGGGTACTCTGTCGGTTTAAGGGGGTGACACGTCAAGCTGCCTCCCACCCAGGGCTGCTGGGGACTCAGATAAAGTAGGTGGTGGGTGTGTCCCGGCTTTGGGACATCTGAGGCATGGTAGGAGTTGTGTTCTTGCTGAGCCGTCGGCACGAAGCCTTGGCATCATGGGAGGCCCCAAAGCTGTGAGCCCCGAGAGAGGGCCTCTCACACCCCATCCAGCAGTGCTTGAGGCTTCAGTACCTGGACTAAGTCCTGCCTTGGTCTCATGGCCCTTCAGACTTCTGGCTGTCGTACCTGGCTGGGGGCGGGAGGCAGGGGTGCACAGGTTGATAGGCCTGAACAGAGCTGCAGAGGTCCTGCCTTCCCAGGGCCTCCGCTCCTCATCTGAAAAACAAGGGGCAGCTCAGAGGCCAGCAAGTGGCCAAGACACAGATGCACAGATGAGGGGCCAGCCTTCTGGCAGGCCTTGGTGCCTCCGCTGTTCCCCTCATCGCTCCCAGGCCACTTCAGGATGGGAAGGAACAGATCCCTCTCACCTGCCCCTCCTTCCAGCAATTCCCAGCCCCTGGCTGGATGCTGTGCATTCAGCCGTGTGGAGCTGATGGAAGGCACTCAGTGCAGGGCCAGACACGCAGCAGGTGCTCAAGATCTGTTCATTTCCATCCTCTGGACACTCATGACTCAAGCAACAGAGGTGGCCCAGGACCACTTAGGATGTTGCAGCTCCGAGTAGCATGAAAACATTAGGGGTTCCTCAGTCCTGGAGCAGCGAGGCACCCCTGGCTGGGAAGATCAGGGAAGGCTTCCTGGAGGCGAAGGGCTTGGAAGCAGGAGGAGGAGCTCGGCAGCCACCAGGTCAAGGCCCGCACGTCCTTTGGAGCTGCTGGAGTCTAACCTCCCCGTTACTCCTGAAAGATCATAAACCACTTCTTGCTGAGCTCCTGCATATGGGGGCCCACAGAGAAATCAGCTCCATGCCTTGCCCTGAGGAGTGACAGAGAGGCCATCTGTCAGTAAGAAGTTGCCATCTGAATCCAAATGGCAGCAGTGCTTGTCCACCTCACTTCCTGCTCAGCTCAAGTCCAGACTCCAGAAAAAGCCTTTCCCACGTGAGGCCAGTGATGCCAGGGGCAGCCAGCGCCTCAGCTCAGCCTCCCTCAGCCTGACTTGTGCTCCTTGTCTTCCTGCCCAGTGTCCCCAAGGCCTCCTGAGATCTGGCAGGGCAGGGACTCTGGGTCCCTAGCACTGGGCCCAGGACCTGGCCACGATAGGCATCGGCACTTGTTCCCTGAACTGTCTTCAGTTGCATGCCAAGCAAACTCCCCCAATTCTGGCTCGGTGCATTCTGGAAGCCAGAAGCCTGCCTTCCTCCTTCCCTACTCAAGCTTCCACAGGTGACTGCCCCCTTTGGTGCGGGTTTTGCTTCAAGCCACAACTTATAAGGTGCCAGGTCACATGTAACACAAGCTTTCCTTCTGTTGCTGAGCCCTGAGGCTGCCCCCACTGCCAGTCCCTGGCGGCATGGGACAGGACCAGTGCCAGAGAGGAGAGCTGCTCTCCAGTGCGGCAACCCCTTGCAGTCCGGGCCTTTGGGCTCTCATGTTTAGGGTCAGTCCAGGGACTTTGCATTCGTTACCACTGTGCCCATAGTGAACCGGCTGATGCCAAGACAAGGGCAGTGCCATCAGGGGACCAGTCCCTGAGAGATGCTCAGGAGAGGTTGCCATCATTGCTTCCAAAGGCCGGGAAGAGGAGGAGGGGCTGAACTGTCCCACACCTGGTCAGGTGTGTGGCAGGTGAGGGTGGCACCTTCATAGCCTAGTGGTTAAGAGAATGGCTCAGAGGTCAGCCTGGGTTCAAACCCCAGCTCAGCCACCATCCAGTTGTGCAAAGTTCGGCCCTTCATGCAACCCCTTGAGGCCTCTGTTTTCTCACCAGTACTGAAGGGTGGCTAAAGCCAGGAGCACCTGCTGCACTGGGTGCCTGCAAGTGCTAGGTTCCTGGCACAGAGGTGCTCTGTCACGGAAGGTAGCTGAGCCAGGACTATGGTGCCCTCCTTCAGGGCTGTGGTGGCAAGGAGTGAAGTGGGACTAGGTGGAGAGAGAGATGCTGACTGGGATGTGGGCCCCTACCTGAGGAAAACAGTTTAGAAATTACTGCTGATGATGCAAACAGTATCTACCCACATTTAAAGTGACTCACTAAAGAACACTTAATTCTTAGGGTGATTTCTCATGCCTACTAAAGTCTGACTCGCTTTCTTTTTTGTTTTCACTTTTTTTTTTTTTTTTTGTTAGAGCTGGGGTCTCGCCTTGTCACCCAGGCTGGTGTACAGTGGCTAGTCACAGGCATGATCATAGCACACCGCAGCCTCCAACTCCTGGGCTCAAGCGATCCTCGTGCCTCAGCCTCCCGAGTAGCTGGCACTACAGGCGAGTGCCACCATGCCAGCACTGTTGTTACTTTTTATCTTTAATTTTTTTTTTTTTTACCTTGAATTGATTTAAAACTCATAGAAAAGTTGTACGAATCGTGCAGAGAACTCCTGAAGCCTTATCTGAATTCCCGCTATTAACATTTTGCCACATTTCTCATTAGCTTTCTTCACTTGTAGCCTTTGGATGGGTCAGAGGGTGGGCAGGGCTGTTGTCAGTTCATTTTTCCAAAGGGAAACTGAGGCACAGAGAGGGACTTGCTCAAGTGCCATTGATTAGAAACTGAGCCAGATTAACTTCTCTCAGGGACACATATTGATGCATTTGGCAGGTGTTTTCTTGATCACTTTCTGTGTTGGGCGCTGGGGCACAGAAATGACTGAGAACTGACAGCAAAGTGGGAGGGACAGGTCTGAGTGGAGAAGAGACTGGAAAAGGAAAAGACAAGAGGCCCTGTGGGTATCACTCTCAATGTCGGAGGTGGAATGCAGGAAGGAATCTGCAGCTTAAGCGTGTCTCCCAGGGAATTTGACTGCCGAAGGGTCCCAGAGGCCACTTTCAGAAACACGGTCTAGGCTTTTCCTGTTGGGAGTGTGCTCATTTCTCACCTCAAAAGGGAGCTAGGAACTGGGAGGGTGCCTGCCTGGAGCAGGGAGGTGGGTCCAGGCCAGCCAAGAGAGCAATTCCTCACCCACTCATTAACGCCCGCTGAGCCATCCCTCTTCCCGCAGAGCTGCCCTTGGGGCTGCTGCTGCTGAGATGGCGGCAGAGCTCTGAAGCCACGCCCTGGGTCAGAGAGGAGACATAGCCTCTGGGGCCAGTGGGCAAGCCCTAGGCTGCTGGTGGTTGCTGGCGGTGGTCCCTGGCCTTGGCCCCATCTGTAGGCCCAGCTCGGGCACCCAGTCCGGGCCCCTTGGTCTAGTCCCTGTGATCTTTGGCTCAGCACGCCACTTTGTGATGACTAGGTCAGTTTCCCAGAGAGCTTGATGTGGCGAAGAGTTGCTATGGAGAGAGCAAGCACAAGGATTTTAATCACAAGAACCGGCATCCCTGGTGAAAATGCTTACATCAGGCAGTGCCTGCTTTAAACTGAAATAAAAATAAAAATAAAAATAAAACCCAAAACCCCAAACCAGGACTTGCTTCACCACTTGTGCCAGCGATCCCTTACTCATGCTTTCATTCCTTTGGGCCTGAGCCTGGGCACCTCCTTGGGAAATGCAGTGCTCTGGCAACATTCCGCTAGGCCGATCCCCCCAGCACCCAGCCTGGCGGTTAGGGCTCTGAAAATGCTTGTTGCATACATGGCAGTGTGATCCTGGGCAAGTGCTTTCTTCTCTCTGGACTTCCTTATTCTTATCCAAAAATAGGGGCAGTGTTAGAGGTAAGGGTGGGGTTGAGGGGACTCTGGGTCTAGAGTGGGCAGAAAGATGAGAAAGAGGGTTGTGGGAGGGGAGAAGGAGGATAGGGAGTCAGAGCTTTGGGGGAAGTGGGGAGGCAGCGGGCTCTTTCTGTTCCTTTTGCTCCTAACTAGTGATCACCTGCATCTAGGACAGAAGGAATTAGCTTTGGCTGATGTTAGTCAAGGGCAAGAAGGAGTGACTTCCTGTCACTGGCCTGCTCTGGCAAAGACTGAATGGATGGCAGCAGTGGTGTGTGTGTAGGCGGGGGTGTTCCTAGGGGAGAGCGAAAGAGGGTAAAAGAAAGTGGCCGAGTGCGGTGGCTCACGCCTGTAATCCCAGCACTTTGGGAGGCTGAGGTGGGTGGATCACTTGAGGTCAGGAGTTCGAGACCAGCCTGGCCAACATGGTGAAACCCCGTCTCTATCAAAAATACAAAAATTAGCCAGGTGTGGTGGCAGGCGTCTGTAATCCCGGCCACTAGGGAGGCTGAGGCAGGAGAATTGCTTGAACCTGGGAGGTGGAGGTTGCAGTGAGCCAAGACTATGCCACTGCTACTCCAGCCTGGGTGACAGAGCGAGACTCGTCTCAAAAAAAAAAAAAAAAAAAAAAAAAAAGAAAAGGAAAAAAAAGAAAGAAAGAAAGTAGGGGGAGAGGGAGAGGTGCTGTGGAGATTGGAGTGTGGGCTCCATGACCTCTGAGCCTCCTCTGATCTCACTGGCTGCCTTGTCTGCAAATGGGACTAGCATCTCTGCATGACTGGGATTGGCTGAAGACCACATTGGTTCCCTGGCTGCAGAGACAACTGCAGGATGAGGGGTACAGAAGCAGCCAGGGCCCTACAAGAGGGTCCCTGCCCAGCCCTCTGTTCTCCACAGAGACATCTCCAAGGGCCCTTGAAGCCAAGCCAGCCCTGAAATGGCCCAGTTCCCTGAACGGTCGCTTGTATCTGGCTCTCTGAGAACGAGAAAATGGGCGCATGAAAGCCAGGAGGAATCCCGAGGCCCCAAGGAGCGGTGGGTGGCCCAGCTGCCTTCTCCCCTCCTCCTCACCCCCAGCGCCCCACCACCTTGGGAAGGAGCTGGCCTGCCTTAAAAGTCTGCCTCCCAGGGCCCCTCCAGTGCAGACGCCGAGAAGTCTAGATGCTGGGGTGTTAGGGGTGGGATGGGGAGAGGTGAAATTCCAGACTTTCATGCAGAAGTCATTTACCTGTAAAGCACATTTACAAATACCACCCCCGCCATGCGTTCTTTTTCCATATTATATTTTCCCCTCTGCAACTCAAGTCTTTTTCAGCTCTTTTTTTTTCCACTTGCTGAGCCTTTTTCCTGCCACCCTGTTGGCCTCCAGGCGAGAGCCCCTGGGACTGGAGCATCCCAGGCAGGTCGTGCACTCTGGCTCTGGCAAGAGGGGCCCAGCCTAGGCCTCCTGGGAGCTGCACGCTGAGCAGCAGACTAGGAGGCTCAGACGGGATCCAGCTGCTCAGCCCTGCCCACGGTCCCTAAATCACCGTTGAAGTGCCCCATCCCCCTGGATCTCAGCAACTCCTGGAACAGCAGCTACAGCCGCTGCAGCGGTGCCTGTGGCGGTGCCTGCTCCATCCCCTTCCCAGAGGAAAGCAACCTGTCTGCTGACTGTTGCCTTGCCAGCTGCTGAGACTCCAGTGCAGGAGACTGGGAATCAGAATGTCCTGATTCACCAGACCTGGCCACAGGAGGCTGCTTCATCAAATGGAACGTTTCATCATTCCAACCCTTTTGGTCCAGAAAATCAGCACCCGCACCGGCTTAAATCAGCCTGGGTCCAAACTGAGTCAGCCAAGTGCGTGCCTTGAGAAAGGACGGGGTGAGGGCATCTGAGTGGGGGTGGAGGTGGTGCTTCCTGACTTTATAATTCCTCAGGCTTGTCCTTGCACTTCCCATGGCAGCCTCCAGGGGGAGTCTGTGCCACAGCCAAGGCTCTCCCCACTGCGCTAGGCTTTTGACCTTAGCCCCCTCCCCGGGAAGTATCATTGCTTGGGGTCCTGTGGCCTTGGTGATGACCGGAGGGGCTGCACTGAAGCCTACACCTTCCTCACACGACCAGGTGCAGGGGCCAGGGAGCATTTTGAGAATGGGGCTTCCTTAAGCCCATTCCCCCTCCCATGGGCACAGAGCATTCTCTTTTACCTCAAAGTTTAGAAGTGAAGGTCAGGGAGGGTGAGTGACGCGTCCAGTGACTAAAACCCAGGTCCTTGGACTCCTCGTCAGTACTCCTTCCTTTGCTCCAGAGTTGGAAGAGCCAGCATGGATGTGTGGCTTTGTGGCCTTGACCAAGCCCTCCACATCTCTGACGGCACCGCTGTGCCCGTCTCATGACATGACAGATGATAAGGCATGGCTGGCTCTGCGCCGGGGCCTCCTGAACATGTCATGCCCCTACTACCCTCTCAGCATCTGTTTCTGCTGCCCCATCTGGCTCAGGGCTGCAGTCTGGCCGCAGAGAGGGAAGCTCTCTAAGGAAGGAGAATGGGCTGGGAGAAGCCACCTGCTGCCCCTTGTTTAGCAGGCTGCATTCCCTAGCAAGCCAGCTCTGACTATCTCAGTGTCGCCCTTCTCCTGGTCACCCAGACCGCCCTGTTCCTGGGGCAGCTCATGACACTGCGAGGGGTTTGTGAAGGGTCTTTCGTGGGAGGGCCCTTACTCAGAGCTCACAGGCATTTGCTCGAAAGACAGCAAAAGAGGACCTAAGACATGGGGACTTTTCTTTGAGTCTTTTTCCTGACACTAGGTCCAGTGGAGGCTCTTTGCCCAAATGGAACATTTACAGTGAGAAATGGACAGGAGCCTCGACACCCCCACCCTATGCAGAATTTGACCTCCACCCCTATTTTACCAAGGCAAGCCCTCCAGCAAATGAAGCTGTCAGACAGGCTTGGGGGGGGGGCGGGGTCACAGCCTGGGAGGGAACTGCCTCCCTCTCACCCCTTGGTGCTGGTGCTGGTGGTCCCCAGGTTGAGTTGGACCAGAATGGAGGGGTGGAGGGACTCCCCTCCAGGGGACTCCCCTCCCCTCCAGGGACTCCCCTCCAGAGTCCCTCCCCTCCAGGGACTCCCCTCCAGGGGAGCTACCTGGGCTGGCTGGGCTCTGGGGCTTGGGCAGCCTGGAGCCTTGGGTTTGTAAAGCCCAACTCTGGCTCTTGTAGGAGGACTGGGGGGAAAGGTGTAGCAGCTGGGGTCACCCTTGCACATGTGTTTTTCCATGGTTTGGTCATTGCCACCCTTATCGAGTGGTAGGGAACCCAGACACCATGAGGGGAGAAAGGATTTGCCCAGGGCAGCAAAGCTGGGATGAGTCTCCTTCCCAGAGACCAGCCATCTTCTCTGAGGGTTCCAGCAGGCATGAGCCCCAGCAGGTATCTAAGCTGAGGGATCAGCACTGCCTGGGTCCGCCCATCTCTAGGAGCAAGTTCTTGGGAGACAAGGGAGTTATCCCTTCACCACTTACCTCATGACCAGATGGGAGTACTTATGTTTCTGCTGGAGTGATGGGGGCAGGCCTATGTGCTGGTCCCCAGCTATATTCTGGGCCTCTGCCTCCATTAAAGCTCCTTGTCCCAGAGCCACGTGAAAGTGCTTGCAGACAGAGCTTTCCTGAAACACAGCCAGAGGTTTCCTAAAACATAGCAATCAGCCTCTGCAGTGGGCAGCCCAAGTCTTGATGGCTTCATCCACTTGTACTTGACAGATCCATATTTGGTCCCTGTACTTGACTGCAGGGGCAGCACTCTGGGCTGTGTCCCCCTTCTTGCCCTGTCCAGCTGTTTCTTTATGCTGACTCCTGACCCACCCCAAAGGGGTCCACACAGATCTGAGCTGTGAGTGATCCCTGTGAGCCTAGCTGAGGTTGGCACACGTGGGGTGGCAGAGCTGGGTGTCTGCTCAGCTCCTGGATGCAAAGCATCCCAATTCACCTTTGGGAAAGAAGCCCTTCTGCTTGCACCTCTGCCTGTGGCACACCTGCTCCTGCTTGTGCATGGCGCCCAGTGCCCAGCACACATGCACTGAGACAAGCCCTGACACCTGTGCCCTCTGGCTGCATCTCATCCATGAGCAGCGATATTCAGTGCTCCGGGAAGGCAAGGCTGAAGGCGTTTTGCTCCCTTGCCCTCCCAGTTTGCTTAGGAGGCCCTGCCTGGCGTCCTACTTCCCTTCTGCACAGTTTGGGAGCCATCCTAATCCCCTGCGAGCCAGCTTCTCTGGGAGGTGCCGCCCTCGGGGAGTCAGGCAGCGGGGAAGTTCTACAAAACTTTCTCTGAGTTAGTCCTCTCATCTTGGAGGCTGAGCACGTCCTGTGGTGTGAGAGGGAGTCTTTTCTCCTGCCGCTCCCGTCTGTGTCCATCTCCTCACGCTCCAGCACCTGCGTCATTGCCTGCTGCCGCCCCCGCTCCTCCAGCGCACGGGAATCTGCATGCATCAGCCCCCTGCGTCAGCTCCCCTCTCACTCCACTCGCTGATGACACCAGGCTTGCTGTGGTCGGGATAACAGGCTCTGTTCAGCCACCTCATTGGCTCCTCGCTCCTATCTATCCAATCAGGGCCAGGGGCCCCTTCCTTCGAGGTTGCTGGGCAACCTTCAGAGGCCACAGAGGCAGGGAGAAAGGTAGAGCAGGAACATGCCCATGGGCATTTGGAGGCCATCTGAATTCAGGGAAGGCCTGTCCTCATCTCCCCCGCCCAGCCCTGCCAGGGACACTTCCTCAGATTGCCATCTCTCAGCCCACTTGGCCAGAGACAGGAAGAGGGAGAAAGAAGGGGATGAAGGGCGGGCCGGGGCATCTGCCTGGTGTCTGAGGTGGCCTGGCCTGTGCAAGAGGAGTTGGACTTGGCCCTGAACTGCCCTGGGACAGGCTGGTGTTGCCTGAGTACGGGGCTTTGCTCAGAGTCAGCACAGAGAGGGGTACTGTGGAGTGTGGCCACATCTTGTGGGGCTTCGGGGGTGCACCACGAGGGACAGTTCATGCAGAGGGTGTCAGAAAAGCCAACCATTCCTTTGGTGGCCCAGGCCAGGTCCTAAGCAGGATGATATGGAGATTTCCAAAAAACCAGAAGTCTTCTCCAAATCAAGGTAGAAATGAGGGCCATGGTACTGAAAAGGCCTAGAGTGGCTGTCCTGACCAGAAATGTGCCCACACAGGCCATCAAGACACCCGTGTCATGGCATGAGAGATCCAGAGAGGCACATGTTCTAGCTTGGTGTATCCTGTCAGGAAGAGACCCAGTGAGCAGGCCCACAGATGCCACCTTACAGATGAGGAGACCTAGACTCGGAGAGTGGGATGTCACAGCCATGTGAGGCCACTTAGGGAAGAGGAGCAGAGATGTAAGCACAGGCCACAGCCCATGGGGACAGTGTTTGCTTTTGGGTTGTGTGGCCTCTCTGGGTGTCAGGGCTAATGGACTTTGAAAGAAGCCTGAGTTCGCAGAGGAAGAGGAAGACTGGAAGACTTGGGCAGGTAGCAAGCCCCTGGCACCACTTTCAAAGGTGGCTAAGGAAGGAACATTTGCTCTCCATCTTCTTGGCAGGGTAAATGGGAAGGTGCAGGGAACCCCAGTTACAGCAGTTTCTTTTTCTTCAGGAACTTTTTCTGAGTCTTTCTCAGGCACAAGCCCAGAGGCATGAGAGAGCTTGACATACTGGACTCAGATGGAGAGTGAGAGTGTAGGGCTGCGGGAGTGGGTGGCCTGCTCCGTGGGGTCCTGGAGTCACATGTGGCAGGCCTCTGTGGCTGCATCAGGCCGAGCAGCACAGGCAGGCACGGTGCAGCTGGGTGAGTCTGAAGTGTCTCCTCCCTCCAGCGGGTGAGCATTGCTGCTGGGGCCCAGCGGTTTGGAGGAAGCCATAGAGGCGACTGGCAGTGGGTGTGCCCCAGGAGCACTCGAGGCCGTCGTGCATGGGCTTACCTGGGCCACTGCGTGGCTGGGACTCAGAGCCCTGGGAGTGTGGCCAGGGCCAGACACGGGCCCACTCCTGGCTGACTCTGCTGAAGGGGAAGCAGGAGCATTGGCACAGCTCTTGTGCGTGGGCTGCACACGGTACTGCTGGCCTTCTGAGACCTGATCCCAGGAGTGTGCATGCAGGGTGCCCGCCTGACACAGGGGTGGTGCTCCAGCAAGGGAAGCCAGTGTTGTTATTGCTTCCCAGAGGACGGCATGGTTCTCATCGCAGAGCGGAGCCCAGGCCACTGTCCCAGTGGTTGGGTCTTCTGGCCGCTTTGCTGGGACCTGGGTGCAGCCCTGGGGAGGGCTGGAGTCCTGCACACAGGCTCTGGAGGCTTCACTGGCTTCCCAAATGGGGTTCACATCCGCTAATGACTGCCCCGGAGAGCGGAGAGCTGAGGGTGGCCCTGGGGCAGCAGCCATGGTGGCCAGAGGGTTTATCTGCCAGGCCTCTGTGGTGGGTGCTCTCTCCCTGGGTAGACTGGGCCTTTCCCCCCACCCCCTGCTGCCACCCATATGAAAGCAGACATAGGCATCGCATGTCCACACCTGAGCCATAACCGGTCCCTGTACCAGGCTCTTCAGATATTCTGGACGTGAGCCTCGTGAGCAGGGAGTTGTCCTTGCCCCCTGGAGTACTTTGCTTTCTGTGGAGGTCCCTCTGGCTGACTTGCCATGGGCTGGGGAGCCAGGGCGGGATTGCGTGGGGTGGGAGAGGAGCCATCAGTGGGCCTCATGTGCCCTCCTGTCCCGTCATCTCTTCCCTGGGCCCCGTACATGTGTGAACGGAGAAGCCGGCCTCCTGCTTCCAGGGGTGCCACCGCCACTGCCACTGCCGCTGCAGCAACCTCTGTCTGGCATCCGGCCCGAAACACCCCTGCCTGCTCTCCGCTTCCTTCTCCACCCCAGCTTGTGGGAAAAGACGAAGGAGGCCCCGGGAAGAGGCCCAGGCTGCAGCACTGCGTGGCCCAAAGCAGTGCACAGCACAGCTGGGCCCCAGAGGCTGAGGGCCTGCCCTTGCTGCTGTGGGGATTTCCTCCTCGGAGTGAGCAAGCAAGAGAAGTCCCTGCATCTGTTCATTCTCCTCACCTCCCATCCTTCCTAGGCACTGCTTGCCTGGCATCAACTCTTTTTTTTTTTTTTTTTTTTTGAGATGGAGTCTCACTCTGCTGCCCAGGCTGGAGTGTAGTGATGCGATCTCAGCTCACTGCAACCTCCGCCTCCCAGGTTCAAGCAATTTTCCTACCTCAGCCTCCCAAGTAGCTGGTATTACAGGCACATGCCACCATGCCTGGTTAATTTTTGTATTTTTAGTAGAGATGGAGTTTCCCCATGTCGGCTAGGCTGGTCTTGAACTCCTGACCTCAGGTGATCCACCCACCTTGGCCTCCCACAATGCTGGGATTACAGGCATGAGCCACCACGTCCGGCCCTGGTATCAACTCTTGAGACTAATCCCTTGGCTGCTCAAGCATACTCCACTCGCACTTCATTTGGGTAAACCACCGTCGGGCTCATCTTTAGCACACAGAAGATACACGTTCATGACAGGAAAATTAGAAATACACAAAGGAGCAAAATATTTTGGTGTATATCTTTACAGATTTTTTCCCCTGTGCATTTTTATGTAAATATATTTTGACTTAGATGACACCATCATACACATCCTGCTTTACGGGCTGCTTTTCACTGAGTGATGTATAGAAACTGTACACAATACAGGTTTATAAAGCATGTTAAATACTACATGTCTCAGTATGATTTGTAATAGCTGCATAGTATTTGCTTGAATGGATAGATTACAATATGTTTAAATATGATTGATGGGCATGTAGATTATTGCCACATTTTCACCCCCATACTCAACACTGTGATGACACCTGTTTCATATACATCTTTGCTGTACTCGTGCAATTTCTTCCTCAGGCTACTTGGCTGCGAGGGGAATTACTGGACCAGCAGGCCTGCCCTTAAGCCTTTTGATACATACAGAAACTCATTCTGTCGAGATTCCTGGTTTCCCTTCCCACAAGAGCCACCAGGAAGCCACCTCTGGAGGGGTCCACATTCCATCCTTCAAGGCTGCTTACATCCGTAGCAAGGGTCTTCCTGGCTGTCACTGAGTGGAGGGCCACTCTGCCCTGCTCTCTGTGAAGGGCTGGACAAGGGGAGGGGACGGTGGATCTGGGAGGAGACCTGGGTCCGAGCAGGGGTAGGTGGCTTCAGGCAATCACTCCCTGGTGGGGTGTGCTGGGCTGTCACAGGGTGCCTGGGCTTGGTCCTTGCTGAGGTTGGGGGAGGAGCAGGGCTTGCCTGGGAAGACTTGGATCTGCAGGTCTGTGCCTGGCTGTGGGAGTTAGGGGAGGGGAGCACCCAGTAGGAGCAGGGCTGGCCTCGACGTGCCGGGCCCTGAGGGAGAAGCAGGGCTTAGCTCGGCGGAAGTTGGAAGGGCATTTCAGGTGGGCGGACCAGTATAAGCTAAGGCACAGGCATTCACTTGGCAGGGCTACCTTCCAGGGACTCCAAGGCACATGGTCTGCTTGGAGCACAGTGTCGGCATTGGGGGGAAAGAGGCTGGCTCAGGGGACTGGTGATTTTGCTCCCAGTCTTAGAAACAGTGTGGAACCATCAGGTGCTGACTGAGAATTGAAGGCTGATGTGGGCCAAGTGGGATTAGAGACCAATGAGTGTTGCCTGGAGGAGGTGCAGATAAAGGCAGCAGGCCAGGGACCAGGGAGGAGGTCTCAAGGGATCGTGGCCTAGACCAGGGCAAATTGGAGGGAGAAGTCAGCTCTGTAGATGGGATGTAGATTCCAACCTCATTTGCCCACCCCACCCACCCCACCCCGCCCCATCCCATCCCATCCCATCCCATCCCATCCCATCCCATCCCTCCCATCCCACCCCACTACATCTCATCCCATCCCATCCATCCCATCCCATCCCATCCCATCCCATCCCATCACATCCATCCCATCCCATCCCATCCCATCCATCTCATCCCATCCCATCCCATCCCATCCATCCCATCCCATTCCATCCATCCATCCCATCCCATCCATCCCATCCCATCCCATTCCATCCATCCATCCCATCCATCCCATCCCATCCCATTCATCCCATCCCATCCCATCCATCCCATCTGATCCGTCCATCCCATCCCATCCATCCCATCCCATCCATCCCATCTATCCCATCTGATCCGTCTATCCCATCCCATCCATCCCATCCATCCCACCCATCCCATCCCACCCCATCCCACTGCCTGACACTCATCACTTTAAAGGCTCCTTGTCCCAAAGAACTGCCTTACACTTCATCGTGTGGAAAGACTCTACTTTGGCAGAGATTTTTCTGACTCTTTCATATTTATTGTCTCATCAAAAAAGAAATTTCACTTGTGAGACTCAGCCAGGCGTGAGGGAAAGGAGCCCATGCAGAAGCACCAGCCCTGGTCTTTGTCTGGCAATAAACCCGGAGTCTTCTGACTGGAGTCTCAGCTATAAAGACGGGACTGAAGGCAGCATGGTGCCCTCTGCAGGGGACGGATGGTGTTCCCACCCAGCCCTGCCCTCCTTTGCCATGGGTCCCTCTGCCTCTGTCATTCTGCATGTGCAAAAGTGTCTGTCTTGACTTTGGAAGTGGCTTATTTGGTCCTGATTTGGCAGGAAACTTCTAGGCAATGTGGCCATCAGGTTTGACAAGGGGTAACTGATGAGTCCTTGTGCCTGGTACTGGGCCTGGGATGGAGTCCACCCCCGAAACTGTGGATGACCGTCACCTGCTTGCCACGCTCATATGTGGAAGCTGGTGGCTACAGTCCCTGAGGCCTTAGAAAGGAGTACGTCTTTGAGGTGCCCAGCGCAAAATAAGTCATACTAGCTAGTACAGCCTAGCAAGGTTAGAAGGAACCTAAAGACGAAAGACTAGGAGGTCCTCCTGCAGGTGAAAAGCTGAGGCCCAGATGAAGTGAGGAACTGTCCCAAGGTCTGTAGTCAGTCAGTGGCACCCAGAGACTCTGCACATGTGCCCTGCCCATGGGGCCACTCCACAGGTTGCTGGGATGGGGACAGTTAGGCCTGTATGGCCCTAGGAACACCTGTGGAGTGAGCGCCACTCAACAGAACTCTAACGTGGCAGCTTTGGTGCAGGGCTGGGCACGCGGGGCTCCCATTTGCAGTGATGAGGTGCCATTCCTGGCACACAGCAGGCTCGGGCTGTCTGGGCTGCTCGTTCAGTGCAGTTTATGGAAGAGCCAGCTCTTGCTGATGTGGCAAATTTGGTTTGCTCTCGTCCCCCTGCCCTGCCCATTTGAGTGTGCCCCTGACCTCCACAGAAACACATCCAGGCCCTGCCAGCTGGCAGCAGTGCTGAGCTGGTCAGACCCTAGCCCTGGAGGGGCCCAGGGGATGAAAGGCCCTGGAGAGAAAGGCTCTTCTGCTTTGTGACTATGCCAGCACAACCAGGGCCCTGCTTCCTGTCATGCCCACAAGCCTGAGCCCCCAGCCCCTATTTTGAGGCCCAAGGGTTCGGCTGTGGCCACTCAGGGCTCCCTGCAGCTCTGGGTCGCTCCCAGCCTGGAGAGCCAGCTTCATCACCCTGGGCCCTTCTCCGGAGCAAATGGCCCTCGAGACCACCACAGCTCACCCCTCATGGGCACGAGAGGGCAGCACTGGGCTCAAGGGCAGAGAGGCTGAAGGCAGTGTGGCACCGTCTGGGCAGCATGAGCAGCACCGGGCTCAGGGGTAGAGCAGGGCGAGAAGACACAGAGGAAGAGGAAGCAGAGCTCAAGGCAGCTGTGGGCCAGGGCGTAAGGAAGCCTAACTTACCACATTGCCACACTCGCCTGTTCCCTGAGGGCCACTAGGATTTGGCAGTGGGGCCCTGGGCTTTCCCCACTGAAGGTGGAGCCAACCCCCGAAGGAAACAGGGCTGCACACCCCAGACCATTCTTGGCGCTGTTTGAGGACCACCGCGCCTCTCCTAGCAGATGACTTGAGAGCTACTGCTGCTTGGCTCCTTTTCAGGTGGTGCCGGGTACTTATAGGAGCATCGGCGCATTCCATCCTCACAGCAGTCCTGAAAGGTAGAATTTTTTTTTTAACTATCATTTTACAAATGATGAAACTGAGGCAGCTCGGAGAGGTTAGCTGACCTGCCCAAGGTCTGTCAGAAAACTCCTAAGGGGTGAGAAGCAAGGTCCAACCCCAAAGCAGCTGGTCCCCCAGCCCGTCCCTCTCCACAGGCCATCTGCCTGCCCTGAAGCTGTTCGGCTTTGGATGCACTCTCTCCCACCCTCTGAGTCCACCAGTGCCAGCTGTCTTCCCCACACCCCCCAGCCTGAGCCAGGCTGTTAGCACTCTGTAGGAGGGCTCATGTTCTCCCGTTATCAGTGATCGCTTTGAACAGACAGTCCCTGGCAGCCCCTGAGCTCCACATTCTCTAGGTGAGCAGCCCTGGGCAGGCAGGTGGGTGTGCCGCTGGGCAGCAGCAGGTACAGTGAGTGCTGGCCCCCTGGCTTCTGCCCATACTTAGCACTCCACCAACGCTTGCCACCCCCGATGTGCAGAGGGCAGTCTGGATGATCTTGGTGTACCAGGACCCATATGGTCACCTGCAAGACACTACAAATGCATGAAGTGACAGCATTTGCTTACCTTTATCCCCAGAAGCCCTGCTGAATCAAGTGAGAGGAGAGCTGCGGAGCAATCACCATGAGTATCTCAGCTCTTGGAGGCCGCACCAAAGGTGAGGCCTGGGCTCCCTGGTTTCCCAGGCTCTGTTTGGGGCTGTTTGCTTCCAAGCCTGCCCCTACAGGCCACAAGCACTGTCCCAGCAGCAAAGGGAGAGCAGCATACTGGGAGAACTGGAAAGGAGGTCGAGGGTCCTGGGGCTGCATTCCTCTTCTGAGGCGGTTGGCTTTTCCCACCACAGGGAAGCCTCTGCCACCAGGCGAGGAGGAGCGCAATAACGTTCTCAAGCAGATGAAAGTGCGAACCACGCTGAAGGGGGACAAGAGCTGGATTACCAAGCAGGATGAATCGGAGGGTCGCACCATGTAAGGCAAGGAGGCGGGGAGGGACCGCAGCAACGTGGGGGCGCGCAATCCGTGGGGGACCGACCATACCTGGGGATGCGAAGGGGCTTCCACCATTCAGAGCTCCGCCAGGCCATGTGGAGGGCAGAGCGTGGGAAAGGCTATCCAGCAATGTCACAGGGTGGGAGAGCCCCTGGGTGCCTGGGAAGGAGAATGTGTGGCAGAAATGGCAGGACTTGCTGGGCAGCCTCTAGGATGGAGGCCACAGGATGGCAGGTGACAGGGAGTCTCGGAGCCAATCCTTCAGGATGCCTCTTTCCCCCAGAGAGCTGCCCTCAGGCCGGAGTCGCGCCACATCCTTTTCATCAGCTGGGGAGGTTCCGAAGCCTAGGTAAGAGGTGGTGCTCAGGTGGCTGGTGGGTCAGCCCCAGGGACTCTCCTGCAGCTTGGGGCCAGCCCTCAACAGGGAGGGGTGGGCAGTCCACAGGGGACAGGGATGCAGCCCCAGCCAAGGGTCTGCAATGAGTAATTTGAAATCTGCAGGAAGGAGGGGCTTCTCCACTGCACCTTCCTTTTGGGAAGGGGAGTGTAGGAGTCACTTGGTCCAGGCCCTTGGCCTGGCTGTGTGGCTGTGGGGCAGCTGACTTCCCTGCTGGGCCTCCGTGGCTCCAGCTGTTAACTGGGATTGAAATTGTCTTTAAGAAGAAGACGACCTCCCACCCATTCCCTGCAGGGAGTGATACTGCCTCTGAGATGCTTTGGGCAGCTTCCAGAGTCACAGTGACTCACTCCTGCAGGTCACCCTGACTGCTTGAGTGTACTTGGGACTCAGCATGCCTGTAGAGAGGCACGAGTTTGCTCTGACTGTCTCCCAAGTTTACCGTGACATATTTTGTCAGCTGACCAAGGAGAACTGGCTTCTCTCTCTTTTGGGGGCTTTTCCATAACAGTGTCTAGGGGGGCTCTGAAGCGTGGGCACACCCTGCTGGCCTCTGGAGGAACTGCTCCTGACAGAGAAAGGGAACTGAAATTCAGGCTCGCTCCTTGCTCCAAACAGCCGGCAGGCGGCTTCTCAGGGGGTGGTAGAGGCAGTGGCGGCCTCTGGAAGGGAGGGCCTCAAGTTTACAGCCAGCACACAGGGCTACCTTTAGTAACTACGGTCTCTCTGTCACCCCTCGATGACTCAGCGCCCACTACCTGCCAGGTCCCATGCTGGGCACAGAGGATGCAGGAGTGGTCAAGACAAAGGCCCTGTCTTTGGGCAACTGACGTCCCAGCAGGGGACTCAGGCAGGACCCTAGTAAACAGTTCAATACAAAAGCGAGAACCCCCAAGTGTGCCTGCAACATGGCCACCTCTGGGAGGCTGTCCCCTGTTAGAGATGGAGATTGTGGGGTTGGAGACTACCGGAGGCTCTGTGTTGCCCTTGACCCAAACCCCGATGCTCCAGCCCACATCCCCTCCACTGCAGGACAGAAGGGTCTACCCTGACCCCTTGACTCCTCCCCTAACTCTGAGGAGGACTCTTTGCAGGGGCCCCTAACTCCTGCCCGGAGGCCAGAACTTCCAGGCTGACCACCCCTGGCTGTCAGCTCCCTGCCCGCTCGTCTTGGCTGCCCCCTGAGTTATCTGAGCCCCCTCAGTTGCTGCCAAGCAGGAGGTCCCAAGCACCCAGAGCCTAATGTTTCCCAGCCGCTGAACAAGGCCTGGCCGCGCCCTCTCGTCTCAAACTTCCACCAAGACTTGGGGTGTGGGCATGCAAGGAGCTGGAGCAAAGAGGGCCCCGAGGGACAGGAAGGGGGACAGCTGGCTTCGGCTGGCTGCTGCCTGGGCTCTCCCCTTCAAGCCCTCATGCACCTTCCTGGTGGAGGCTGTTGAGGGAGATCAGGTCAGACCCCGGGCTGAGGGGAAGCCTCTGGCTCTGACTGGGGAGCCTCCAGCTTGCACTGGTTCAGCCCCAAGCACAGAGGATGGGAGGGCTGTCAGCTGAGAGCAGTGCTCCGTCGGCGCAGCACTGGGAACTGGCTGGCCAAGGAGAAGCTGGACTTTGGAGAGGCCATCAAGCTGCCTTCCTAGGCACCTGCCATGAGGAGTCACCTGGGGCACTTTTCCTGGGGGAGCATGAGGGAAATAGGCAGAGCATAGCGGGCACCTGATCAGGGGCACAGGGGGCTGGCACCCCTCGTTTCTGCTGTACTGGGACACCTGGAGCACTTGCCAGCCAATCTTATTTGCTATCGTTAAGGGCAGGATAAAGTAGGATGACCTCAGCCCTCCAGCAAGCCTCGCTTCACTCCACCCCTTCTTCTCTTCGGCAGGCCTCCGAGCACAAGGGCTCCCACTGGCTACATCATCCGGTAAGTGACCGCAGGACTCTGCCGGCCTTCCTGTGCCCACTCACGCCAAGCCCTGACTTCTTACCCCTCCAGTCCCTCCAGGGAGCTCACCGGCATCTCCTGGGCTCTCTTTCAGGGGAGTGTTCACCAAGCCCATAGACAGCTCTTCCCAGCCCCAGCAGCAGTTCCCCAAGGCCAACGGGACTCCAAAAAGGTATGTCCATGGGGTGTTGGCCAGTCGGCCAGTGGGGAGGTGTGAGGGCCTGGTCTGGGCTCCTGGCAGAGACAGTGCTCTGCCTATCAGGACTGTGGGGCCTTGGAGGTGCCAGCTTTCATCCTGGGTAGGGCAGGACCCTGGAGAGCAGGGTGGGGTGACCAGAGGAGATGGGCTGGGGTGGGACTGGCAGTCCCAAGTGGATGTGTGGGTCTCTGGGAGGTCCTGGGCCACTAACAGTGTCCTTGTCCTGGGGTCAGTCCTGACTAGGCCTGGCTAATGGGACAGAGAGGTGCAGGAGTTTGGGAGGGGCTGGGTGTAGAGTCCCCCTAGCCTGGCAGTGGGCACCCTTGACTTGACTTGCTGATGGCATTGAGAAGGCTGAAGTTGCATGCAATTCAAGCACCTTGGCATCAGGCATTGCCTGGGACTCCGTCAGACTGGAAAGGCCAAGGGGACCCGGAAACAGGAAGCAAAGACACAGGCAAGAGCCCGCTGGGCTGTTCCCTGAAGCTCGGTGGGGTTTGCCTACACAGCTGCTCTGAGTGGCGCAGTTCCGGGTGTCTGTCAGGGCCAAAAGCAAAGAGGAAAGGCTCCCAGGCAGCTCCTGGTCCACCTCTCATGTGTCCACTGGGCTGTGTGGCCAAATCTGGAGGCAGGAGGGAGCCTGCAGGTAGACACATGGAACCTTCTCCTCTCTAGTGCTGCCAGTCTGGTGAGAACAGCTAACGCTGGTCCTCCCCGCCCCTCCTCCTCTGGCTACAAGATGACCACTGAGGATTACAAGAAGCTGTGAGTATGCAACGCCAGGCTCAGCGTGGTTCCCTCCTCCAAGGAACAAGTCCAAACTCTGGGTCCACTGAAGGCAGCTGACTACTTGCCACCGAGCACAGCCCGGGAAGTCCCGCCTGCCTGACACTCCCTGCCAGTTGCAGCTGTGGCCTGGAGCCCACCAGAGGGTAACAAGCCCCAGAAAACTGGATGGCTGTGCACATTGCACGTCTGATCCGAGGCAGAGCGGAGACCGCAGGAAGCTTGTAGGAGGGGCCCCACGGATCTGGGGAAAGGGTCATGGGTCGTGAGGCTGCTGCTGGCTGGCTGTGCTTCCTGGGCTTGGCCCTGCACCCGGCCGAGCCTCAGGTGCTCTGCCTGGCTGCACTGGGCTGGGGGCCTGGGGATCCTCAGGGTGCTGCTGTCAGTCTGAGCATTGTGTGCCTAAATCTGAGCTGCTTCTTGGATAGAAACCTTCGGGTTTTCCCTTAGTGCTCCCCTTGGGGTCCCTTTCAAAGCCCCCCACCCCCCACTGCATGCTCAGGGAGGAGGGTTCTCTGGACAGAGGTGTGAATTGTGTCTCTAGTTCCCAGGGGACCACATCTTTCCGTTGTTTGTCCCTTGCCTCCATCATCCAGGGTTGGGGAGCTGCTGGGTAACCTTTCTGGGGAAGGGGAGAGGCTCGAACAGGGAGGGAGGGGAGAGCTGGTCTCAGGGAGGAACAAGTGGCATGACCTAAGGCCCAAAGGCAGAGATATTGACTTGCCTCGTCATTGTTGTTGAAAGCCAGGAAGCCAAGCTGCTGAGGGTGGCAGCCTATGACAGGAAAGCGCCTCTCCCCTCTCTTAGGGCACCCTACAATATCAGGCGCAGCTCTACATCAGGGGACACCGAGGAGGAGGAGGAGGAGGAGGTGGTGCCATTCTCCTCAGATGAACAGAAACGGAGGTAATGGAATGGTGCCTTTTGGGCATCCCGGGGGGCAGGGCAGGAGCCTGAGTCTTCGAAGACTGCTGGAATGAATTGTACTGGTTGGGGTGACAAAATGCACAACACGTAGGCCATCAGCGGTAGCCCACGGAGCATGAGAATAGGTGTCATTCTCTGAGTGCCAGAACCACCCACTCAGTGTTGGACCAGCTGAGGGGCCCTTGAGAACCTTCTGTGGGGTAGAACCTAGGTAATGTGGGTCCGGGGAAAAGCCTCCTCATGTGGAGGCTCTTCAGGGCTCTAAATCGGTTTGTTAGAAAGGGCCCTGAGACAGTTGAACAAAAATATTCAGGGAGAAGCCACCTGCACAGTGCCCTCTATCTGCATGATCTGCATGCCTTGGGGGTTCTGAATGCCCCGGACCCCAAACTGAGCTCCAGGCATGCACAGCAGTGGGAGTGTGCCCCATGCTGCTGAAATTCTACCCTAGTCTCTGCGCCAAGCTGCCCTCGTCCACACAGGCCAGCAAAGTTCCATGGACCCTTGCCCCTCCTCAGTCCTCTGTCCATGGGGACTGACCACATACCACCCAGTGCTGGTGAACTATGACAGGAAGGGTTTGTTAAGCACCTTTTGTATGCCTTTGGCTTGGGGCCTGTACAGCAGTTGGGCCCTGAGGAAATAAAGCCCTCCCCTCCCTGGGCTCAGCCAGCCACCAGGTCCATATCTGCTGACCCATCTGTGGCGCAGGAATCACAGCAAAGCCCCATTGCCAAAGGCCCTGGCAGATTGGCTATCCTCAGGGAACAGTTCACAGTGGCAGGGGCCCCCAGGCCTGGGTGGAGCAAGGAAAAGAGCCAGAAGCTAGGAGCTGCCTAGCATTGAATGCCAGCTCTGCCACCTGCTAGGTGAGTGCTCTTGGGCAAATAATGAAAGCTTCTTGGACTCAGTTTCCTCATCTGTAAATCACAGAGGATACTAGCGTCTACTTTCCTGGATTGAGAAGAGCAATAAGCCAATGCGAGGATGTTGGCATCTGGCGCAGAGCCGGGCACATGCCACATGCTCCATAAACATGGGCTGCCCTTCCTTCAGGTTCTACATTTCCTTTGAATAGTCCTTGGAGCAGGTGCAAATCTGGTTTCTCTCACCCCTTGCCTCCCTGGGGTGGCCCTAAGTCACCCCGAGTCCATCCCAGGCTAGGCTGGCAGAGCATGTCCAGCTTGGCACCCATCAGATGCTCCCCCATCCCGTGTCACCCCAGGTCAGAGGCTGCAAGCGGTGTTCTGAGGAGGACAGCTCCCCGGGAGCACTCCTACGTCCTGTCAGCGGCCAAGAAGAGCACTGGGTGAGTTGCCACCAACTGGCTCCAGGCTCTAGGACAGCTCTCCTCTCCTCAGAGCTCCAGCCTTCTCTGGCTGATGAAAGGGTGGGTGGAGAGATCACCCCCAAGGGCCTTCCTAGCTGAGCCTTCTCAGATTCTCAGATGTACTTTCTAGAAAATGGAGAGGTCTGGCGGCTACCACCAGGGACAGTGAAGTGCCGGGAATGGAGAGGGCCCAGGACCCTCTGAGGTAGAGCGGTCTTGATGTCACCTGCCCACGGGCTCTGCCCAAAGCATTGCCTTTCTGCTTCCTTTCCAGCAGTCCTACCCAGGAGACACAGGCACCGTTTATCGCGAAGAGGTAAGTGTCATCAAGGGACACCTTGGAGGCCTGTTACTGGCCACAGGAAGGCCTTCCGTCAGCAGGGGTGTAGTGTGGGAGCTGTGGAGAGGGGATGTGGATGTGGGGGACTACTGTCCCTGAGCAGGGGGAGTTGTGAGGGGCTGGGGGCTTCTGTCTGGAGGCCTGGCAAGCACCTGGGTGGCTGTGGTAGCATATGTGGTCAAGCTCTTCCATTTGCCAATGGCTAATGGGGCTGGGCCCCTGACCCAACGTGGAGCATTTCCAAGGCCCTCTGGGAGTTGTTCCCCTGCCCCTGTTGCTTGCCTGATGCCTTGCCTTCTGCTCTCATCCAGGATCAAAACCTGGGCCATCAGGAGAACTTCCCCTGGGAGGTGACTGTGACATTGGAGATGGGCCCTAAAGGGTGAACAGGGCTTAACAGGGAATGATCAGAACGTCGGGATACTCCAGCTGAATGAGGGAGGGGTGTCACCATTAGTTGAGACAGGGCACCTTCTGGAGGAGGAAAATATTCGGGGGAAAGCAAGAAAGAAACTTCTGGAAACTTGAATTTGAGGGACTTCCAGTTGAGTGGACAGGGAAGGCCTCTCTCTGTGCTGAGGTGGCTAGCTGGGGACTGCAAACCCAAGAGAAGACAGCATGCCAACTGCCCCAGGCAGAGGGCCCCAGTGCACAGGCCCGGGGTGGGACTAGCTTGCTGTGTTGGAAGACCAGGAAGTTGGCAGGAATACAGAGAGCAGGGATGGTGGCAGCACAAAGGAAGTGACAGAGAACGGGGGGCGGTGGGGGGGTCTTCCTGGCTGCATTTGGTTCCTGTGGTTTCTGTAACGCAGTACCAAAAACTGAGTGGCTTAAAACATCAGAAAGGGATTCTCTCCCGGTTCTGGAGACCAGAAGTCTAGATCAAGGTGTTAGCAGGGTGGGTTCCTTCTGGAGGCTTTGAGGGAGAAACCATCCCAGGCCACTCTCCTGGCTTCTGCTGGTGGTTGGTGATCCTTGGTGTTCCTCGGCTTGTACCTGCATCACTCCAGTCTGTGCGTCTGTCTTCACATGGCCTTCTCTTCTCTGTGTGTCTGTGTCCAGATTTCCCTCTTCTTACAAGGACAGCGGTCATTGGATTTAGGACCCATCCTACTCCAGTATGACCTCATCTTACCTGATTACATCTGCAAAGACCCTATTTCCAAATAAGGTTACAGTCACAGGTTCCAGGGGACATGAATTTTGGGGGGACACTATTCAACCCAGTATGCTGTCCTTATCCTGAGCTGGAGTCACTGAACCCCCAGCCTGGGCCACCTCTTGGCCGTGATCCTGAAGGGTTGGGTCAGTTAGACGCCACTGGAAGCATGTTCTTTGAGGCCTCCAAGCTCTAGGGCAGCCAAGAAGACCACGAGCGCTGTTTCTCTTCTTGCTCAAAGGGTGGAGGTGGTGGAAGAGGACGGGCCTTCTGAGAAGAGCCAGGACCCACCTGCTCTGGCAAGATCCACTCCTGGCTCAAACAGGTAATCCATTGCGCTCATCTCTGCCTGGGGCTGGTGGCTGCCATACCTGCCACTCAGTCACTGAGGAACCTCAGTCAGGGCACCTCCATGCTGGGCTTCGAGATCAGTGTCCCCATGTGCCCAGTGACAAGACGGGACAAAGAAATCAGTAAGAGCCCATCTGGCTGGATGTCCCAGGGCTGAAAGGAGCAAAACAGTCCAGCCCCCCGGGAGAGAGCACCTGGCTCTGGTCTGATGAGTACGTATCTGTGTCACCTTAACCCTTGCACCACTGAGCCTGGTGGCAACTTGAACACCCCAAGAAAAAGTACCATCCTTGGGGTTTGAGAGGGCCAGCCACCATGGCAGTAGCATGCCATTGTCAGACTTGCTCCTTGCACTCCAATAAGTTAGCCACATTCAGCATGCCCAGGGAGGAGGCTCTGACATCTCCAGAGCCTCTCACAGCCACCTTCTTTGCCAGTGCGGATGGAGGCAGGACCAAAGCGTCTCGGGCAATTTGGATCGAGTGCCTGCCAAGTATGCCTAGCCCCGCTGGGAGCCAGGAGCTCAGGTGGGTGCCGAGAGCTGACTCTGGCTTGTGAGTGGGTGTGATGGCTTCCCGCCAGCCTGGCTGGCTGGTTCTGCCAGCTGGGGAGGGTCTGGCAGTGGGGTGATGGGGCAAGGACAGGCTGAGCACTGGTGATCTCACTCCAGGAAGGGCCGTGATTTGTCTTGATTTCTGATCCCTGAGAATCTGGGCAGATAATGGTGCTCTCTTGTCTGTGGACAACTAATACCTTCTTGTACTTTGTGCAGAATGGTGCTAAGTCCTGCAGGGAGAGCCACCACCTGCTGTTGCTGCTGTTTAAAGTGCCTGCCTGGATTGAGACCTTTGCTCAAATCTAGGTCTCCTAAGAGCTGCATCTCTGTAGCACCCTTGGAAGACCCCTGCATCCAGAAGGGGAGAGGGCCTGTCCCTACCGGTCACTTCCCAGGCCCCCAAGGGCTGTTCAGGCTCTCCTAATACCATAGCAATCCCCCAATTTGAGCTCCACAGCCATTTATAGACAGGTGACCACTGTCCTCAGGGTTACTTCCTCAGTCTGGGAGGGAGACAGAAATGCTGGCAGAGGGAGCCAGGAGCATGAGGCCAGCTCCCTCCATGGCCCCAGGCAGCAGACTGCCAGGGTGCTTCTCCTTTTCACTCTCTCCCTCTCTTGATCTTCTCTGGTTGTCTGACTCTCCCCATAAGAACTTTGGTCCATAGAAGATGTGGAAAGGAAGATTTGAGAATTCTTTACAAGGCAATATCTAGGGCAGAGCTCCCCAGTCTTTTTGGCACCAGGGATTGGTTTCGTGAAAGACACTTTTTCCACGGGACGGAGCAGGGGATGGTTTCAGGATGAAACTGTTCCACCTTAGATCATCAAGCACCGGATTCTCATAAGGAGCGCACAATCTAGATCTCTCACATGTGCAGTTCACAATACGGTTCGCGCTCTCATGAGAATCTGCTGATCTGACAGGAGGCGGAGCTAAGGCAGTAATGATCTCTAGCTTACCTCCTACTGTGCAGCCTGATTCCCAGCAGACCACAGACTGGTACTGATCCTCAGGCTGGGGTTGGGGACCCCTGATCTAGGGGACTTGGCAATTGAGGGATATGGGGGCAAAGGCTGCCACAACAAAGTATTGTACCACACCCTGGGGCGCTTAAACCACAGAAACGTATCATCTCCCACTTCTGGAGGCTAGAAGTGTGAGATCAAGGTGACGGCAAGGTTGGTTCCTCTTGAGTCTCTCTCCTTGGCTGGTAGACTCCATCTTCTCCCTGGGCCCTTATATGCTCATCCCTGTCTGTGTGTGCCTGCGTCCTAATCACTTCTGTTTTTTTGAGACAGAGTCTCACTCCGTCGCCCAGGCTGGAGTGCAGTGGCACAGTCACCACTCACTGCAGCCTCGACCTTCCAGGCTCAAGAGAGCCTCCAGCCTTAGCCTCCTGAGTAGCTGGGGCTACAGTCACAGGCCACCATACCCAGCTAGTTTTTTTTTTTTAAATTTTTGTAGAGACAGGGTTTCACCATGTTGCCCAGGCTGGTCTGGAACTCTAGGACTCAAATGATCCTCCTGCCTTAGCCTCCCAAAGTGCTGGGATTGCAGGCATGAGCCACCGCGCCCAGACCCTAATCACTTCTTATAAGGACATTGGTCCAACTGGATTAGGGCCCACCCTAACAACTGTATTTTAACTTAGTCACTTCTTTAAAGGCCCCATCTCCAAATGCAGTAACATTCTGAGGTCATGGGGGAGTTAAGACCTCAACATATGAATTTTGGGTGGCACAAGTCAGCCCATAACAGTATACAGTTCTCATTTCTCCTTATTTCTCTTTTAAAGAAAGGCAATAAATGGTTTCAGGTGCCTTTCTGTTTGTTCGTTTGTTTGTTTTGTTTGTTTTTGAGATGGAGTCTCGCTCTGTCGCCCAGGCTCTGTCGAGTACAGTGGTGTGATCTCGGCTCACCGCAGCCTCCGCCTCCCGGGTTCAAGCGATTCTTCTGCCTCAGCCTCCCGAGTAGCTGGGATTACAGGTGCACGCGACCACGCCCGGCTAATTTTTGTATTTTTAGTAGAGACGGGTTTCACCATATTGGCCAGGCTGGTCTCAAACTGCTGACCTTGTGATCTGCCCACCTCAGGCTCCCAAAGTGCTGGGATTACAGGCGTGAGCCACCGCGCTTGGCCTCAGGTGCCTTTTAGAAGATAATATAGGAGGCTGGGCATGGTGGCTCATGCCCGTAATCCCAGCACTTTGGGAGGCCAAGGCAGGAGGATGGCTTGAAGCCAGGAGTTTGAGACCAACCTAGGTAACATAGCAAGACCCCATCTCTACAAAAAAATAAAAAATAAAAATTAAAAATTAGTTGGGAGCATTGATGTACACCTGTAGTCCCAGCTACTTGGGAGGCTGAGGTGGGAGGACTGCCTGAGCCCAGGAGTTTGAGGCTGCAATGAGCTGTGACCGCACCCTTACACTCTAGCCTGGGTGACAGAGCAAGACCCTGTCTCTAAAACAAGAAAAAAAAGAGAGAAAGAATGGAGGAGAATTAGATTGTGCTGTATTATAGATTTAAAAGGCACTTTGACATTTATTCCACAAAATTCCTTTCGATGTTTAATCCCCATCATATGGTTGTCATTGCAAGGTGGCTTTTTAAGTTTGCTCAGGTTGCCATAACAAATAAAGGCTAGAGATTCAGGGTCCGGGGCAAGCTCCCAACAGGAGGCTCAGCTTGATGCTTCTGATAGTTCTTTCCTCCAATTCTGGTCACTCAATATTTGGAGCTCACCCAGGCAGCTTCCAGGAAAGCTGCTGGCTGATCCTGACCCTGGAGGGCCGTCTTCTCTGACCCTACCACGTTAGGTGCTGCACTGGACCAAGCAGCCACCATCAGTACTCCCAGGCCCAGCTCCTATCTGCCTGGTGTCTGAGAAGCCCAGCCCGTGAGGAACAATGACTCAATCAAACTCAGGGTCCTGCAGCACTTCAGAAAAGGCTGGTTTGTGGCAGAGTGGAAGAGGAGAATGTCACAGCCTTGTCCCCAGGCACAGACCTATCGAGGCTACCCTCTCCCCACCCCCTGCCCTGCCCTGTTTCCCTTAGCTACAGTGCAAAGGTCAGCTCCTCATAACTCTTGCCCCCCTTGCAACCTGAACCCAGTTTAGGGACCCTCTCTTGGAGAAACTGGTTCTACACATGCACCCCTTCTCGGCCCCCAGGCCTGGCTGCTTTACCCGAAGCACTGGTCAAGCTTGCCTCACCTGACCAGGGCATGGCCTCCTGGGTCCCGGTCCTAGGCTCTGCCCAGCATGCTGCCTGGCAGAGCGTCTGGGGAGCAGGGAGTAGGAGCACAGCTTCTGGCACAGGACAAAACCCTGGCTTTGCATCAGACTGACTGTGTGACCTTGAGCAAGTCTCTTCATCTCTCCATGCATCAGTTTCCCCGTGGATAAAATAGGGAGAGCAGTAATAGCTACTTCCCAAGGCTGTCCCAAATGCTAAATGAGATCGTGCACCTGAAGTACTTACCACAGTGCCTGGGTGCTGGTATCCTCGGGGGCTCCCAGTCATAGGCGTGCTGAGCTGCAGGGCCCTTATTCAAATACAGGAAGAGATCAATATCTCCACCTGCTGGCATTTGAGGGAAATGTGGCCAAAGGCAGTGAAAAGGAGGTATCCCCTCGCCCCACATCCCCGCCTCCTCGCTCTTTGGCAGAATGAGTCACACACTGTTTGGCACAGGCCACAGTTGGTCGCATTCCCACAGGTGGCTGTGATCAGTTTTGGGCTTCAGGCTTCAGCAGATGCCTGCCTCTCTTCCTTGGGTGCCTTCCAAGGGTGTGCAGCCTTCCAGCGTGGTCCTGGACTTCAGCTTGGACTGGAGCTGTCTGTGGTTGAGAGTCTGGGGAGATGGTGGGGTAGCGGGTTGTGGGGGAGGAGAGACCCTTGTATTAGTTTACTGGAGCTGCTGTAACAAGGTACCAGAAACTGAGTGGCTTAAAACCACACGCATTTATCCTCTCACAATTCTGGAGGCTGGAAGTCTGAGATCAAGGTGTCGGAAGGGCCATGCTCCCTCCAAAGGCTCTGGGGGAAAATCTGTTCCATACCTTTCTCTTACCTTTTGTTGCCTGCAATCCTTGGTGTTTCCTGGCTTGCGCCCGCCTCACTCCCATCTCGGCCTCTGTCTTCGCGCAGCCGTCTTCCCTCTGTGTCTGCCCACATTGCCCTAGTCTGACATCAGTCACTGGAGCAGGCTGGGGTGACACTTTGTTCCCATTTCCTCTGTGACAGAGCCAGAAACGCCAGTGAGAAAATATGTTGTGCTTGCCTGTGACATCCCTGTTCCCTGGCACCACCTGATTTAAATGAGGCAGCCAGGGGTTTTATACTGTCATCATAAATGACATCATCCTCAACAACGATGTCATCGTCGTTATCACGAGAGGAGATGGGGAGAAGTCAGAGCTGTCTGTGTGTCTAGGGCCCCTCCTGGCTTTCATGATGGGAGAGGCCTTGTCCTTGGTAGCCCTTCCATTTCCCTCTGGTCACTTTGAGCACTCCAGGCCCTGGCCAGGGTGGAAGTGGAGGGACAGAGATGAGCAGCCCGCTGACCCAGCCCTCCATGGCTCATTCCTTGCTTTCACCTTGGCCACTCCATCCCCTACCCCTCCTGGGACCCCTGAGTGGCCTCTTTAAAGTGCCAGTCTGAACCTATAAACCCCCCACCTCCACTTCAAGCCCATCCTGCATCTTCCCTTTGCCATACCAGATCTAGTCTGTACATTCAGGACCCCTGCCAGCCTCTACCTCCTCCTCCTCCCCCGATCTCCCTTCAGCTGGCCTGGGTCGGGCTATGCCTCCATGAAGCTTGTCCACTGCTCCCATGGCTAAACCTGTTCTGGGCCCTGCAGCACAGCAAGGTCAGTTTCCATGCCTCTCTGCCCCTGCCTGACCCTGCTGGGCCCAGAGCTTCACCAGGGCAGGCCTGGGGCTCAGGCTTGTCTGCACTTCCAGGGCCCAGGGACAAAGGCAGGAGTGACTGCAATGTGGCTTGGAATTAGGCTTTGCTCCATGGACCTAAGGAGGTCTGGTTTGGGGTGAAGGGTCCACCCCCAGAAAGCCTGGGAGCTCTATATTCTCTCTGGCCCTGGCCACACCATGGCCAAGCCTGCTGGGCGTCATGCCTTGCAGTACGGCCAGAGAATGCATCAGACTTGGAGGGATGTGTGTCCGGGGTGGCCTGTGGTCATCTGGGGGAGGGCTCTGAGCGTGGCTGGCAAGAGGAAAGCTCAAAGGGGCCCTTTGTCCTCATCCCCGAGTCTGCGACATCCCCTCCCACTGGTTTTCATTCCATATTTGGTCTGTGGGTTTTCTCAGTCTCTCGTACCCCTCAGTCCCCACCAGTCCATGAATGCAGAACTACCCCTGGCCTCACAAATGGCCACTTTGGATACCCTGGTGGGGTCACAGGCTGCGGTTGCCCCTGCAAATGGTTGGTAGAAGCACGGGTTGGGAGGTTTCATTTCTACCCAGAAGGGCCCTTGCTGTGCCTGAGGGAGGGCTGGGCTCAGGTCAGGGGTGGGAGACCGGGGAAGGGGCCTACAGGTCAGTGGCCCGAGCTCAGCTGCAGCACCAACAAGGCTCAAGGCCAAGGAGGAGATGAGAGCACATCAAAAGGGGGCAGTGGGTCTGGGCGGCCCACCGCACTCACCAGCCCAAGAAGGGGGAGACTTTTCTCACCTGCAACCCACTGGGTCTCTCCTTTGGCCCGCAGCTCAAGAGGTGAGGAAATTGTCCGCCTGCAGATCCTGACACCCAGGGCAGGACTCCGCCTGGTGGCCCCAGACGTGGAAGGCATGAGGTATGGGGGTCCTGCTGCTGTCCTGGCTCCCTGGACACCATTCTAGAGATGGAAGCAGCAGCCTCAGGTGGCAAATGATGAGGCCTAGGGCCGGCTCTGCCACTGTAGGGCCAACAGGTTGATGGGAGGCATGGTCGACCTGGGTTTTCTGCCCCATCTCATTCTTTCACTCAGAAAACCATTATGGAGCAAGCGCTTAGTCTGTGTAAGGGCACAGGCCCGACCCTGGGACACAGTAGTGAACAGGACCCCCTGGCTGGAATTGCCATCTGCCTGGTGGGGGAGGCAGACGCCGACATGAGCATGAATGAGGTCAGCCAGAGATGCTGTGTGCCAGGAGCCCCTGGGAAGTGACAGCTCAACCCTGCCAATTGCTGAAGATGGGACCAGTCAGCCGTGCTGGGGATGTTGGTGGGGGTGGGAGGAGGATTGGGTCTAAGGAGCCCGTGAAGGCCACTGAGGCCATTGCCCTGCCTGTGTGAGAGGGCCACTGGGAATAGAGTGGGGTCACTGGGTCAGAGTCCACAGCTCTCCATGCCACTAGGCTCTGTGCTGGGGAGGGGTGGGTCAAGGAGGCCACAACCAGCAGGGAGCACGAGGGGCTCAGCCTCTGCCCTGGGGTGGGGGTCAGACAGCCAGGTGACATGCAGGCAGGATTCGGGGGCTGGGGTGGAGGCTAGGAGAGATCCGAGCAGGGAGACTGGGCCCCTACCTTGTGAAGGCCAGGGACTGGGGAGAGAAGCGGGAGTGTACACTGAAGGTCATCCCTTAATCCCTGGGGTGGCAGGAACTTCGAGCAGAGGCCTCTCAACAGTGTGGTGGGTGGGAGTGCTTGGGGAGGGCTTCCTGGAGGAATTGACATCCAAGATGAGTCCTGAGCGATCTCTAGGTCCCTTTACCCTCCTCCTTGGCTCCTCCCACTTTAATTCTGCCCCCAAGGCACCAAGTCCTGTCCACTTTATTTTAGAGATGTTTCCATCCCTATTGCTCTGCCCCTGGCCCAGGCCTCCACTGCTACTCACCCAGTTGTCTGCGACCGTTTCCTACTGTCCCATCCCTGGACTCCCTTCCACATCTACCTGGGTGATGTTTCCAAAGGGCAGAAGTAGTTATGCCAGCCCCCTGCAGAAAGCCCTGCAAAGCCCCTCCCACTATGCTCTGCAGCCTGAACTCAGTACCTGGCCCCACCTGCAGGCTCCTCCCTCCCTGGGCCTTTCTCTGTGCAGGCTGGAGGCTCTGCCTGAGATGCCCTTTCCCCTCTTCATCTTTCTGTTCCACCTCAAATGTCCTGTCTTCTGGGTCATGTCCTTCTCCTGAGTTTCTTCCCCAGGCAGCATCTGAGGGCTTGTCGATTCTGCATGGCAGCATCCATTCTGCATGGATGTAGATACAATCACTATGCCCATTTTACAGATTAAGAAACTGAGACCCTGAATGGTTAAGTAACTTGCTCAAGGTCACATGGTCCAGAGCAGGCAGATCCGCTCAGCCTGCCCTACTCCCACCTTCCACCTTCTGCACCATAGCTCATTGTACTAGTTGGGGCAGGGAGCAGGGGGACAGAGAGGGGTGATGGAAAGACTTGGCATTTGCTGAGTGAACTCATTTGACGAGTTTATTCGTAGGCATTGAAGTCAAAATTTCCAGGAGGGAGGTATTTTAAGGTTTGTGATTGAGGTTTGAGAGAGTGATTAGGGCTCAAGAGATTTCCACGTTATATGCAGACAGAATAGAGCTGAAATCATGAGCGTAAACTAGCTTTACATGGGGCTCATGGTGAGCCAATGGAAGCTGGGCACCGACCTCAGTATGCAGGTGGCAGCCACCTGGCCAGCCCTCCTGGGGACAGCTGGGCGAGGGCAGTCTCTTCTCGCCATGTTGAGAGTGGGCCTCCTGAGGGCCAGTTGGGAGTTAGTGGGTGTGCAGGCCAGTATAAAGGAGAGGCAGGAACAAGTGGAGATCCCTGCTTCAAGGGTGGCAGTTGACACCTTGGGAGGGGAGGAGACAGCCCAGCAAGTGGTGGAGCACGCCAAAGGGAGGAGAAAAAGGCGGAGACCAGGAAGGTGTGTGGCCAGGGAGGTAGGCAGGTGGTGTTGACAGGATCAAGGGAGGAGGGGTGGTGAGAAGGCTGGAGTGGCCCACTGGGTCAGCAGTACTGAATGGTGGTTTGAAATAATGATGGGACTGTCTCTCCTGGATTTGACAACATGGGGCTCCCTGAGGACCTGAAGGAGAACAGAAGGGGGCTTAAATTAGGAGATTAGGATCAGGGATATAGTCCAGAACTCAAATCCCAGCTACTCCTCTTATTACCTGTGAAATTTGGGGCAAATCACAGGGGCTTTGTGTGCCTCCGTTTGCTCATCTGAAAGATGGGCATGGGTGATAACAGTGCCCATATCCTGGGGTTGATTTGCAGAGTTAATGCATATAAAGTCACGAGAACAGGCTCAAATGCTCAATCAACAGTAGCTATTGCCAGGCACAGTGGCTCACACCTGTAATCCCAGCACAGTAGCTATAAAACAACAACAACAAAAAACAAAAAACAGTAGCTATTAGTAATGAAGTTTTGATAATTGGCCAATCTGTCAATCAGCAGGGTTTGTTTGTTTTTGGTTCTGTTTTTTAAGACAGCATCTTGCTGTGTGTGCCCAGGCTCAAGTGCAGTGGTGCCATCACAGCTCGCTGCAGCCTCAACCTTCCAGGTTCAACCTCCCAAGTAGCTGGGACCACAGGCACACACCACCACTCCTGACTAACTTTCAAAAATATTTTTGTGGAGATGGAGTCTAGCTGTGTTTCTCAGGCTGGTCTTGAACTCCTGGCTCAAGTGATCCTCTTGCCTCGGCCTCTCAAAATGCTGGGTTATAGGCGTGAGCCACTGCACCCGGCCCAGTAGCAGGTTTTAAGCTCCGTGGAGACAGCTGGCGTTTGAGGATGAGGTAACAGCCCACACCTGAGTGTGAATGGCTGCTGCATGGTTAACTTCCATTTCTTTCCTCCATAGGTCTTCCCCAGGCAACAAAGACAAGGAGGCCCCCTGCTCCAGAGAGCTCCAGAGGGACTTGGCTGGTGAGGAGGCTTTCAGGGCCCCCAACACAGATGCTGCAAGGTAACTCAGTGCAGGAAGCAGACACTTCATTCCCAGAACACGGAGCCCACATACACCCAGCTGAAGGACTTCCATGGCCTCCGGTGCAATGTCAATGGATGCAGCTGGGGCCAGGAAGGTCCTGTTCCCACTGTTCCCCCAGTACCTGGGGTACTGCAGGTCTTTAATGAACATCTGTTGAAAGAAAGAAAGAATGAATGAATGAGGCCTGGAGGGAGGTAGGCCCCTGCCATGATTCCTCAGGGAGCCAGTTAGAGAGCAGGACCAAACTCCAGGGCAGGCTATCCCCAGCTCCTGGCCTGTGCTGAGTTCCTTCCATTCCCCTGAAGCTTCCACACTCACTGTGCTTTTACTGCAGGACAAAGCAGCCCTGCCAATGGCCAGGGCAAAGCAAGGCCACCAAGCTGGCAGTCTGGGAGAGTCAGTGACCAAAGTATGTGGGCCCCCATAGAGCATGTAGCGGAGACTTTCAGGATGACCCGTGGACTAAGGGAGACATTGTGGCAAGGGGTGAGGGGTCCAGGACGGGAAGTTGGAGCCATAGCGGTGGATGATGAGTCCAGATGGGATGATTGTCCCCAGTCGCTGCACAGCCAGCCCACTGACCTGTCCTCCAAGCCAGACCAGTGCCAAATGTGTCTGGTGAGCAGTGGCTGCAGGCTGGGCATTTCTTCAGTGAGAACCTGGTAGCCAGTTACAGCTAAGAACCCACACACCCGTCTTCTCAGTGTGGATCCCTGGAGCCCCTAGCTGGAACCCTGAGCCCTGGAAATGAGGAAAGGAATCCCTCTATGGCTTATTACCAGACCCACATGTCTTGCCCCTTGCTCTGTTGGCAATCAGCTCCCCCCACCACCAACGAACTAACCTCCTCCTGACTTTCCACCTTGCTCCCAACCAACCCATCAGGTTTGGAAAAAATACAGAAATACTTCCTGTTAGAGTCAACTTGGGCTTGGCTCAGCTCTGGTCAGAGCAGCACAGAGTAGCAGCCAAAGGCCTGTGCTTCTGGTCTTGAGGCCCACTCTCATGGCATCTGGGTTAGATGAGATCAAAACGCAACTAGAGTCAGCAAATACTCCACTTCTCATAACAGGTCAAGTGCACAGTTGAGTGATGGCAATGTGGGATCCGGAGCCACGGGCTCCCGGCCTGAAGGCTTGGCTGCAGTAGACATCGGCTCCGAGAGAGGAAGGTGAGCTGCCCGGGGGAGGCAGGTTCTCTCATGCCCCTGGTGACAGACCAGGGTCAAGCTGCCAGGCTGCTTGGGCTGCTATGGGTGGGGCACTGGTCACTTCCTATGGCTCCTGTCTACTGCTTCTCCCACACTCCCACATTCCACCACATCCTGTGTCCTTGGGCTTTCCACTTTTTGGAATCTTGTTCATTTTTCTGATCCCTGCCACTGGCCCTCAAGCTCCTCCAGAGTAGGCACTAGGCCCACTCACAGCTGGAGGCCCAGCCCTCACATGGTGCTGGTCTTGGGCTGGTCAAATGAACGTGTAGGGAATACATGAAGGGACAAATTAATGAGTGAATGACTGAATGATGGAAGAGTCGGCACCTTCTTACTTCTTGGTTAAGCTCTGAGGACCAGCTAGGAGGCCCTTTGCTCCTGCTTTCTCCCTTCTCTCCTTTTCCTGCCCCATCCCTACCCCAGGCAGCTCTGCTCTGAGGTTCAGGGAGAGGAAAAGCGGTAGCCCTGGAGAGACCAGCGTGTCCAGCTGGGCTCTGGCTTCTTGGACCTGGAGGGAGTCAGGGGCCACTTTCTCAGGTGATTTGCAGAGTGGCAAGGTCCCTCTTGTCCCTAAGTGGTTCCAAACCAAGCCTGAATCATTCTTGGGGCAAAGGCTAGGTATGCAGATGTTGGCATAAATAGTTTAGCTCCAAACTATGCTAGAGTCCTTCTGGTTCAGAGCAGATGGCTAGGGAGGAGTGGCAAAGCCAGTGTCTGCAAAGAGCTACAACCGCAAGATATCATCTGCCTCCTGCATCCTACTGCAGTCTGGCCAAGGAGGGAATCCTGTGGGGAAGGCCCTGCTGATGCTTTCCTACTTCCCTCAGCACACCCAGGGCCCCTTTCCCTCACTAACTTCAATAGTTTGCAATTCATGCCATGGAACCAGAGCCCGAATTCTAAATCCAGGCCCACAAGTCAACACAGGAAGGGGACAGCAGGTCCTGGCCTCTGAAACCACTGTCTCCGAGCAGGTCCAAGGAGAGGCCACCAGAGACTCTGTTCTTTAAGCTGCCACTAATGGGGAGGACTCCGCTAGAGCCCTGTCCATGCAGCCTGCATCTTTTTGCCATCTGCAGAGGCATTGGAGGGATCTTTTTAAAAATAAGCTAGATCACATTTCTCCCCTGCTAAAACCTTCTAGTGGCTCTCCATTTTCCTTAGAATGAAGTCCAAACCCTTTCCCATGGCCCACTGGGTCCTGCATGGCAGAATCTTTGGCCTTCTATCCAGTCGGGGCTCCTGCTACTCTCCCCACAGTGGTGCAGCTTGACTGGCTCTGCTGATGGCTGTCGCGGAAGAGACTTCTGGTCTACTGTGATTGGGTGGCTCTGGTCTCCTCCATGTCACCCCGCCTGCTTATACACCCTCATAACATGAAGCCTGTGCTGTCCACTGTTTCCTTAAAATGAAACCAAGCCTCAAAGTTACTTGTAAAGTCATCTGAAGAATCTTCTAGATTTTCATGAATTTTAACCCAGTCTTTTACAGTTGTCTTACCTATATAGTAGTCCCTAGGTATCTGTGGGGGATTGGTTCCAGAACCTCACTCATATACCAAAATCCATGCATGTTGAAGTCCCTGATATAAAATGGTGTAGCATTTGCATGTAACCTATGCACATCCTCCTGTACCCTTTAAAGCATCTCTAGATTATTATAATACCTCATACAATGTAAGTGGTATGTAAATAGTTGTTATACTGTATTGTTTAGGGAATGATGACAGAAAAAAGCCTGTACATGGTCAGTACAGATGCAGCCATCCTATTTTAATTATTTTTCCCACATCTCATCTCATCCTCTCCTCTCCTCTCCTCTCCTTTTTCAGACAGGACCTTGCTCTGTCACCAGGGCTGGAGTGCAGTGCTGTGATCACAGCTCACAGCAGCCTCAACCTCTGGGGCTCAAGGGATCCTCCCACATCAGCCTCCCAAGTAGCTGGGACTACAGGCGTGGACCACCACGCCTGGCTAACTTTTGTATTTTTGGTAGAGACGAGGTTTTACCAGGTTGCCCAGGCTGGTTTGGAACTCCTGGGCTCAAGCAGTCCACCGACCTCAGCCTCCCAAAGTGCTGGGATTACAGGCATGAGCCACTGTACCTGGTCCCAAATATTTTCAATCTGAAGTTGGTTGAATCCACAGATGTGGAACCCACAACATAGAGGGCTGACCACACTTAGTTTGACTATAATTTTCAACAAACTCCTTTATTGTTTTTCCTTTTTTTTTTTTTTTGAGACGGACTCTTGCTCTGTCCCCCAGGCTGGAGTGCACTGGTGCGATCTCGGCTCACTGCAAGCTCCGCCTCCTGAGTTCATGCCATTGTCCTGCCTCAGCCTCCCAAGTAGCTGGGACTACAGGCGCCCGCCACCACGCCCGGCTAATTTTTTGTATTTTTTAGTAGAGACGGGGTTTCACCGTGTTAGCCAGGATGGTCTCGATCTCCTGAACTCGTGATCCACCCGCCTCAGCCTCCCAAAGTGCTGGGATTACAGGCGTGAGCCATCGCGTCCTGCCTTGTTTTTCCAAAGGAAAGGTTGTTTCTCATGGCAACAACCACTCTCCTTTTCCATTCATTTTCATGGATTTACTTAATCATCGAACTTAGTGATTCTTCTCCATTAGTGGCAGCTCAAAGAACTGAGTTGCTGCCCCAGGGGCCTTTCCTTGGATCTGCTCAGAGACATTGGTTTCAGAGGCCAGGGTCTGCTGTCCCCTTCTTGTGCAAATACAACTGGCATAAAGAGGTCTGGGACCAAACAAGAGCACCTCTTAGTGAGTGTGCTGGTTAGTGGAGGGCACAGGCTTGTATAGGCAGTGATTGTTCAGCATGCCGTGAGCATCAGTCTGCCTGGTTTACAGAGACACAGAGAATGTGACTCCACCCTGAGAAGGTTGGGTAAGACATTCCCCACTAAATCCATATTGAGTGGGTGAATACAGGTGGACTGGGAAGGTGCACTGCTTCTATAAACAGCCACTGGGCCCTGTGGTAACAGGAACACATTAGCACATGTTATGGCCCAGGCATTATTCAAAGTACTTGGCATCTATGAACTCATTTACTTTTCTCAGAATACTTACGAGACAGACATGATTAGCATCCCTATTTCATTGATGGTAAAACTGAGGCCCAGAAAAAAAGGTCAGGTAACATGCCCAATGTCACACAGCTGGGAGATAGCAAAGCCATGATTTGCAACGCCAGAGGGCAACCACTATGCCACAGAGCCCCAGGTGTCAGGCTGCCTTGAGATATAAATATTGTTCCTCAAGCATCCATTTGAGCAGCTTCTTGGTCCTCATCATCTGTGGGGGGCAGGATCCACTTTCTCGGGAGAGGGTAGACATACAGACACAAAGTCCTGAACCTGGACCAGGTCTGGCCTTCTTTCACAGGCTGTGTGCAGCTGCTAGCTTTGCCTCTTTCCTGGAAGACCAGGATGGGCACAGTGCCAACTCTCAGTCCTGCAAGCCTAGACCAGCAGCCATCAGGTAAGGTTAGGGCCACTGCCCTAGTGCCCTATCCCATTGCCAGACACAGCCTTTGGGGCCCAGCCTCAGCTGCAGCACCCCAGGATCCCCCTCGAACTTCTCAGCTCCATGCCACTTTCACATCAGGTGATCACAGCAAGACAGGGAACTCCAGGGGGAGCTCTGACCAGGGGCAGTGGAAGAAGAGGGATGGGTGATATGTCTGCTCACCCAGAGAGCCCAGCACCAACCTACATGGACCCAAGCTGAGGTGGCAGAGAGGAGGGCATCTGAAGGCAGAGCCTGGGAAGAGATCCTGCTAGGAGGTCTCAGAGAACCTCTGCTGTAGGGACTACAGCCAGGTTTAGCAAGCAGGAGTCAGGGAGAAGATTCCCAGGGGCAGCCAGCATTAGAGGGCTCAGTTCCCAGGAGCACAGGACCGGTGGCTGGGATGGGCAAAAATGGCTCCTGGGGCACAAAGGTACAATGGGAAGAAGCTGTGCATTCCCATGCTGTAAGCGTCTGCCCTGTTTCACCCACCAATCCACCAGTGGGCATGGCCACTTTGCTGTGGGTGTGTGGAGCATTTGGCAAGTCCTAGTAAGGAACGATCTTTCTTAACTCCCATAAACCCTACAGAGGTGTAGGTCAGGTAAGGATACGTCATGCTCAGGGTCAGGTTCCAGCCGCAGCTGAGGGCTAAGGGGAATGGGTGGACGTGGGGCAGGGAGCTGGAAGAACACTCGAGAGATAGCAGGTAAATGAGACATGGCTTTACTCAGCAGCAGCTCTCTTACACAGCTTTCTCAAACTAGCTTTCTCATTAGCAGCTTACTCTCACACCGTCTGCCCTGTCTTGGCTGCTTAGTCCGGTGGCCCCTACGCACAGCTGCGTGGCCAGCTCTCCCTTGCCTTCAGGGTCAGCAGCTTAATTCTTTCTCTCCCTGGGCACGGGCAAGCCAAGCTGTGTCCTGGCTCCCCTCTGTCCTGGCTCCCCTCTGTCCACCTGCAAAGACAGACAGCTCTTGCTCTCTCTCTTTCTCTAGGTTCCCGTGCACCCGCCATGTCAAGCTATGTTGAGCTGAGCCAAGCCCCAAGAGACATGTCCCCCATACACAGCGTCAACAGGGCAGTTATACCTTTTACAGACAATAGTGGTTTAGAGCCAAGTATGAACTTACATAAACAGGTTATATAAGAAGTGGAGGTGTGCACCTGTGCACCAGACTCATTGAGTCATGCAGGCCTGGATATCCCCCTCTGCCTATTCCTTGAACAAAGCACATCCAGGTACCTTACAGGATACTAGAACCCAAAACCAGGAGACTTCCCCAGGGAACCCAAGTTGGTCAGGGGCAGTGTTTGCTCTTGAACTCAGGTGCTAAGGCCATGTCCAAAGCTGACATGAGGTTGTCACACACAGTGGCATCGGTGCCACACTAATGCCAGGACTGAGACACCAGCCTTTACTGGAAGACACAGTTCCTCCCTTTCTGGTGAGAAGGCAGCCTGGAGGGGGAAGACCTGGGCCCCAGCCTTCTTTGGTCTGAGATCTCAGCAGGCCTGTGTTTCCTTCCTCAGCTCCAGTGCCACTTCAGTCTCTGCTGTCCCTGCTGATAGGAAGAGCAACAGCACAGCAGCCCAGGAGGATGCAAAGGCAGACCCAAAGGGGTAAGGCATGAGCAGACAGTGCTGAACTTCTGGGGTGGAGAGAGGCAGCTTGGGCTGTGTGTCCATTGGCCTTTGGCTGGGAAGGTGAGGCCAGCAAGGTTTGTGAGCTGGCCTGAGGCACATAGCAAGGGCAGAAGCCCCAACCAGAACCCTCTGGCTTCTGGGGCCAGGGAGCTTTCCACTAAACTGTTGCCTTGGCCAGGAAATACATCATAGTCAGAAAGGGTCTTTCAGTCAGCAACCACTCTGACAGCAACTGCCTTTTGCTGGAGGCTGGAGCATGCAGACAAATCAGAAACACCTCTGCCCTCCAGGAACTCTCAGGCAGGGGGTGGGCAAAGGCTGGTCCAGATTAGAGCAATACATGAGCGCTAGAGCAGGGGAAGGGGGCTTCATGGGGACTGTATGTAGCTGGATGTGGTCAGCGATGAGTGTCCTTGTTGGGGAGTGCTGGAAGAGGAGGCTCAGTGAACTAGGTAGGGCTTGATTGGCCTCTTGTACTGTGATATTGGAGTCCACTGTGTGCACAGCCCTCTACTCACAGTGTCTCATACGGTTCTCCTCACAGTCTCTCAAAGGTTTATGCCTAATTACAACAAAACCCAAAAGCCTGGAGCCTAGGTCTCTGTGCCTCCTGGGAAGGATAGTGCTCCGAAGAAAACAGCCGCAGCTGAGATAGAGTGATGGCAGTGAGGAGGGTACTACTTAGGTGGGTGGAAAAGGCAACTCAGGCGATCTCCTCTAAAGAGGAGAAGGAGCCAACTCTAGAAAGAACACGGTGGAGAGAGCTATAGATAAGGAACCACAAACCAACTAACCCTGAGGTGGGAACATGCTTAGCATGTTCCAAAGGACAGAGTGGCTGGAGCTTGGCCAGTGAGGAGGGCCACAGATGGAGCAGGGCCTTGGTAAGCCATGGTTAAGAGATTGGATCTTATTTCAAGTTTTAAGCCAAAGGGGAGTCTCATGTGATTTAGGTGTTTAAAAGGTGAATGCATGTTTGCATTTTCATACCACATTGCTGTTGCTTTTTTACTTAAACCAAGATGCTGGGGGCTGGGGTGGGCAATGGATATCTAAGGTATGAGGCCTTATTGTGTTTCTTTTCTCATTCGAATTGCACTGACAATTAACAATCAGAGTGAAAACAACAGCTGACACCAATACTGTGCTGTGCTAGGTGCCTTACAGCCTTCCCAGCAACTTGTGAGATGGGTAAGGTGGGAAACTGAAGCATAGAAAGATTAAGTGACTTAGCCAAGGCCTTACAAGTGGCAGAACTGAGTTCCAAGGGAAGAGGCTCTAAGAAAATCCTCAGGAGAAACTACGAAAAACTAGTTTATGAAATCTTGTCTTTGGAGCCTAGTCTCAAGACCCAGAATCAGTAACTTACAGCTGGTTAACATGGTTAACATGCTGTGTGATCTCACCTTAATTTTCCCCAAACGTGGAAAAGGATAAGGCTTCTTATTATGCAACTTGACAGAGGAGAAAATTGAGGGACTCACTCCTGTAATGAACACACTTAGGAACAGAGCCCAGATCCAGCCAACTCTAGAGCCAGGCTCACGCTACTTTCCTCTGATGTTTAAACGTCTGCAAAATCAGAGGTGTTTTTTTTTTTTTTTTTTTTTTTTGAGACAGAGTTTTGCTTTGTCGCCCCAGCTGGGGTGCAGTGGCGCAATCTCGACTCACTGCAACCTCTGCCTCCTGGGTTCAAACGATTCTCCTGCCTCAGCCTCCTAAGTAGCTGGGATTACAGGCACATGCCACCACGCCCAGCTAATTTTTATATTTTTACTAGGGATAGGGTTTCACTGTGTTGGCCAGGCTGGTCTCAAACTCCTGACATCAAGCCATCCACCCATCTTGGCCTCCCAAATTGCTGGGATTACAGGCGTGAGCCACTGTGCCTGGCCAATACAAACTTTCTTGATTACAGTGTTTCACAACTCTGGCTGTACTTGAGAATCACCTAGGAAGTACTGAAATACACTGTTGATGAAAAAGGCCATACTCTGTAAAATATTTGAAGAAATTCTGAGCCAAATGTTAGGACTATGACCCGTGACACAGCCTCAGGAGGTCCTGAGAGCATGTGCCCAGGGTGGTTCACTTACAGCTTGGTTTTTTATGTTCTAGGGAGACATAAGACATCAATCAATACATGTGAGGTATACATTAGTTAGGTCCAGAAAGGCCTAGGTATACATTAGTTAGGTCCAGAAAGGCCGGACACCTCAAAGCTGGGAGTGTGGTGGGGGTGGGGGTGGGGGTGGGGTTCCAGGTCATAGGTGGATTCAGAGATTTTCTGATTGGCAATTGGTTGAAAGAGTTGTTATTCTCTAAAGACCTGGAATCAATAGAAAGGAGTGCCTGGGTTAAGATAAGGGGTTGTGGAGACCAGAGTTCTTATATAGGTGAAGTCTCATAAGTGGCCGCCCTTAGAAGCAATAGATGGCCAATGTTTCTTATTCAGACCTTTAAAAGGTGCTAGACTCTCAGATCAGAAAAAGTCCTGGAAAGGGAAGGAGATTCTCTACAGAATGTAAATTTCCCCCAGGAGAGACAGCTTTGCCAGGTCATTTCAAAATATGTCAAAAAATATATTTTGGTGTAAAATACTTCAATTTCTTTCATTACCTGCTGTCTGTCATGTGATGCTATACTAGAGTCAGGTTGGAATTTGGCATATTATTGCTTCAAGGAGTCTGTTTTGTCAGTCTGAATATCTCTCTCAATGTTAATACTGGTCAGTTGGGCATGAATTCCAAAGGGAGGAGAATATATTGAGGCATGTCTGACCTTCCCCTTTCTCATCATGACCTGAACTAGTTTTTCACGTTGTGTCCCCTTGGCTGAGAGAAGTGTCCATTCATTCAGCTGGGGAGCTTAGAATTTTATTTTTGGTTTACAACACAACAAAAACTTCCCGAAGTCCCAGGTAGAGATTTGGATTTTATTTTTCTGGGGTGGGTCTCCATCATGTGTCTTTTTCAAAGCTCCCCAGTTTGTTCTCCTTCCAGGCTAGGTCGAGAACCATCGTTCTCAGGTAGTGGTTCTGACCCAGGGGCATCTCCCAAAGCTTCCAGCCTGCTACGATACAATGTCTGGAGCCATTTTTGGTTGTCAAAACTGGGAGTGGGAGACACTACTGGCTTCTTATATGCAGAGATCTGGGATGCTGCCCCACATCCCCCAACACACACCATAGAATTATGGGGTTCAAAATGGTAATAGTGCTAAGGTTGACAAACCTTGCTGTAGAGCCTTGACGATCTATTTGGGAAGACAGCAGGGACGGAAAAGAAAAAGGGATGGCACAGAACCACACCCCTCACCTTCCCCGAAATCTGGGTAGCGGGCACAGGACGTGTGCGCCTGCGCGAATGCGCGCTCGCCACCAGCGTACGCGACGCGTGCGCGCCTGTGCACCTCGGCGAGCACGCGCCCGTAGTGAGTACGCCTGCGTAGGCCGCCATTTCTTGAAGCCCCGAACTCGGTCGCAGTGCCCGCCGGGAAAATGCGACCGTCCACAAAGTGAAATGGCCGCCCGGGACGAGCTCGGCCTCGGCGGGGATTCTCTTGAGGCCATGCCCGTGCCGGCCGCCAGAGGTCGCCCGAGGATCACGAATGGGCCCGAGGAGCTGGCTGCCCCTTCCCCCGCGTAAGGTCTGAAGCCGCGGCCAGAGTGGCTTTGGGGTGACCGCGCGTGGACCGTCGCCGGCGGGAGGAAGCGCGGTCCCGCGAGGGGCCGAACGGGGCCCCTGCGGCTTGAGCTTGTTTCGCAGGGAGCCCTGGGGCCATGGCCTCTGGGACACTGGACACGGGTCGTCAGGGCTGCCCAGGGGGAGGGGGTGTGGACGTGCAGACAGGGAAGGCAGCTGGACCCTCCAACCACGCTGGGCCCTCGGGCTGACCGGGGCTGGTCTGTGGGGCAGTGAGGAGGGGCTTCGTTCCCTAGGAGTTTGATGAGGGAGCGCCATGGGGGTGGCGTCATCCTGACATCCCGCAGGGCAGTGGAGCCTTACTTTCCCTAGGTTACAACACAGTTTTAACTGTCCCAAACTGTGGGGACTCCGCCCTATTCCATCTTGGGCCGCTCCATCACACTACAGGGAGAGGCGGTATAGTATAGTGGTTGAGAGCCTGGACTCTGGTGCTTTGGGTTCCAGTCCAAGCTCTGTCACTTACAAGCACCGTGACCTTGGGCATGTTACTCATCTTCTCTGTGCCTCAGGTTCCTCACGTGCGGAATAGTGGTAATCATACCTCCTACCATATAGGGTTGTTGAAATGGCCAAATCGGTTTGTATATGTAAAGCCTGTAGGACATTTAAACCTGCGAGCTAAGTGAAGCAGCACCAGAGGAATATCTCCTCCTCTCAGAGGTGTTCAGGGACACCTGGAAAGCTAACTTAACCAGCTTTATTGGTTTGATTTCATTTGACATGACACGATATCTCATCTTCTTCCTACTAAACTTTTGTCATCAAATTTTCCATCTAGAACATGCTGTTTTCCTCATTATGTTGCAAGCATGGGCTTCTCGTTTATATTTTTTCTGCATGAGGATCAGGTGAAGTTTAGGCACCACATTTCCTCACCACTGGCAACCGTTGTTGGCCAGTGGAGGCAGTACAAGGGTGGAAGTGTCAGCTGGGTGCAGTGGCTCATACCCACCTGTAATCCTATACTTTGAGAGGCCGAGGCGGGAAGACCACTTGAGTTCCGGGGATTGAGATCAGCGTGGGCAACGTAGTGAGACCTCATCTCTACAAATATTATCTATATCTATATATGTATATGTATATGTATATCATATATATGATGTATATCTCATATATATATGTTTTTGAAACAATGTTTCACTTCTGTCGCCCCAGACTGGAGTGCAATGGGGTGATCTCGGCTTACTGCAACCTCTACCTCCTGGGCTCAAGTGATTCTCCTGCCTTAACCTCCCAAGTAGCTGGGACTACAGGCACACACCACTGCACCTGGCTTATTTTTGTAGAGAGGAGTTTTTGCCATGTTGCGCAGGCTGGTCTCAAACTCCTGACCTCAACTGATCCACCCACTTCTGCCTGCCAAAGTACTGAAATTACAGGCGTGAACCACTACGCCGGGACTACAATTTCCGTTTTTTAAAAGAATGGAAGTGTGTAGATTATGGTTGTGTTAGGAGTTGACAGTGGCTGTATTAGGCTACTGGATCTTTGGTCCAATTACACTCAGAAGGAAAGGCTTCAGAGAAATTAATCCAAAATCCAAAATCCCGTTGGTCACCATCCCCTATGTTACCTTGCCTATCTCTAACCACTTGACTTCCAGGAAGTTCATGAGGAGCTCGGACAGGATAGCTGGGAAGTAATTCCCCTGGATGTTACATTGTCCAGCAGAGCTTCCTGTGAGTGTTTGCCTAAGATTTCCTTTTTATGACCCACATAGGTCATATGTCCTAAAATCACAGTGGCCCTGCCACAGGCCTAGGAAAGAAGAAGCCTTGTTCATCCATTTGTCCCTGTGTCACAATAGAGCCCAAATTTCTCTTTGTGGATAATCCTGGCTCTATCCACAGACTTGGTGAGGGCAACCTCTACTAGTGTATTTCTACAGAGGACGTGGGACAGGACGGGACTCTGATTAAATCCATAGTAAAGCTAACTCAGGGCTACCACAGTAGGGAGACAAGCTCTTCAGGCCTTGTATGTTTGTCTTTGGCTCAAGCAAGCATGTCACTGACAGAGATTGAATGGGTGTGTCAGGGCACCCTGCTGGCAACCCTGGGACTGGTGTTACCTGTGCAGACCACTTTTGGATCTGCATGGGCTGCAGCAGACCCTAAGGGTGGAAGCAGCACAGAGAAGCACAGGCCCAGTGGGATGGTTCCCCACAGTTACTGTGTGGCGTCACACTCACTTGCCTGCAGTTCTGCCTGGTGCAGCTGGAGGTGGCAATTAGCTTGTTGTGCCTGCTGGAGAATTTTAGTTCCCTTGACCTCCACCTGAGGCTGAAGAATCATGTTGCTTTCAGGGCATACTTTCCAAAAAGTGTGGCCTCTGTTGGCCTTGTTATTCCAGCTTGAAGGCAGGAAGCCTGCCTAGACAAAGTTAACTCCTATATACAAAGAGTCCCAGGGTAGTTTGTAGCGTGTTCTTGTCTCGGGGTAGCCCCCACCAGCTATTGAAGGTAGGCTGGTGATGTTGGGAAGGTTATATTCAGAGTGAGCTAGGATCGAGGTGATGGCGAAGTAGATTTTCATTCTGAAATGCTGGGCTCACTCTCTTAGTAGCCCAACTTGGTGTTTGCCCCTGGCCTAGTAGACTCTGGAAGCAGTACCTTGCACCTCGGTGTGGGGCTGGTGATGGGAGGGGTGTGGAAGTGGAGGATCAGCTAGCAGCCTCTTTCCCACGGTACCCAGATTGGAGGGTGCAGTGCAATCATGGGGTGAGGCCAGGGAGGACCCCTGAAGAGCTCGATGCCTGAGACATCTGGGGGAAGCCCTGTCCTTCTTGCTGGATTCAGGGGTGGCAAAAGCCAAAAATTGGAGGGCCAGGTGCAATGGCACATGCCTGTAATCCCTGCACTTTGGGAGGCCAAGGCAGGAGGATCGCTTGAGACCAGCCTGGGCAACATGGTGAAACCTTGTCTCTACAGAAAAAAAAAAAAATACAAAAATTAGCTGGGCGTGGTAGTGTAGACCTGTAGTCTCTGCTACTCAGAAGGCTGAGACAGGAGGATGGCTTGAGCCCAGGAGGCAGAGGTTGCAGTGAGCCGAGATGATGCCACTGCACTCCAGCCTGGGCGACAGAGTGAGACCCTGCCTCCAAACAACAACAATAAAAACATCGGAGGCTTCGGCTTCATCTATTACACATGGAGGCCTGTTCAGTGAGAAGGGAGCAGCGATGCTGGGCTCCTGCCAAGGAGGAGACTGTCTGCTCCCTGGAATTGGGGCTGTGCCTGGCTCCTTTCTGCCCCGCTTTCAGGGATATGAGTCCCTCCAAGTCCACAGGAGGTGACAGCCAGCTTGCGTCCTGGGGCTGAGGCAGGGTTAGTTTCAGAGCACTTTTTTCATAAGGGTGCTTATTCTTCTTCAGGGCCTTGGCTGATTATGAGGGGAAGGATGTGGCCACCAGGGTCGGAGAGGCCTGGCAGGAGAGGCCTGGAGCTCCAAGAGGTGGCCAAGGAGACCCAGCTGTACCCGCTCAGCAACCTGCAGATCCCAGCACCCCAGAGCGGCAGAGCAGCCCCAGCGGATCTGAGCAACTTGTCAGACGAGAGAGTTGTGGCAGCAGGTAAGGGCTGAGCTGCAGTGGGCTCTGCCTCTGGAGCCCATGTTTTTGTTGAGGTCTGCGACCCACATGGGAACCACTTCCCCACACCCTGTGCCAATACCCGACACATTGCACACCCAGGCTCCTGTTCTGTGAGTGGGTCATGGTGATTCCCTGGTCCTAGAGCAGTGTCATCAGGCTTCTTGTGGCTCAAGGAGCTGGGAGGGGACTGTGATAGGAGGATGTGTCTGTCCCCAGGTGTGAGAAGCCCTGGCTAATTCCCAATGCATGGGGCAGGAAGGAAGGCTGTCTCTCAGAGTACAGGTGCTCTACAGGTGGGGGTCCTGGGCAGAGTGAGGGCTATTTGTGTGGGTAAAATGCCATTGTCAGAGAAGGACAGAGTGTGAAAGAGCAAAAAAACAGGAGGGTAAAAGTGCAAAAGTGACAGAGTGAAGCAGAGAGAGAGAGGCCAGAGGGAGAGAAAGGGAGCATGTGTGAGCAGGCATGAGAGAGTGACACAGGATGTGACTGGCCATGTGTTGGTGTGTGCCACTGTGCATGAGCAAGAGGACAAACGTGCCTGTTACTGGAGCTGACCATGTGGCATTGGTGTGAGAGTTTCAAGTCAGGCTCTCTTGAAGGCATCTTGCCTGCCAGCGCAAACACTGCATGTCCTTGCAGCTCTGGACACGTCAACAGGCCAGTGATTCCAGGGGTGCAAAGCGAACAGTTTCTTACACAAGACAGAAATGTAGAAGGAGAGAGCTAAGACTCATATTGCCCCGAGAGAGGAGCTAGTGGAATCCAGCAGGGCATCTGCTGTGGGGAGCAGGTGGAGCCTGGGGTTCCTTTTGCAGGGATGAAAGAAACACAGTCATCTGCCTTCTTTGTTCTGGGGCTTCTTGTACCACAGAGGTTCCATAATTATTAATAGTTAGGTTATTTTTAGGGCCTAGCTCAACTGTTAGATAACAAGTTTTACCTTCTAAGAATATCTAGCCCATCTTTGATTCCTTGGCTCCAGGCCCTGGAGGGTCCCAGTCCAAAAACAGAGTGAACAACTTTGGACTTGCTGTCACATTGTGTGGCTTCTAGAACTAGTCAGTGTTCCATGCAGAAGGGGTATAAAAAGTGAGGCTTGTGGATGAAGGAGGAGGCGAGTGGTTCTGGGTTTTGTTTTCGTTTTGCGGGGGAGTGTCAGGAAAGGCTTTCTTTACAGGGAGAGTGATGTTGGAGCTGGGTTTGGAAGGCTGAGGGAGATTTTGCCAGATGTGCCAGACGTGCTTGGGAAGGCATTCCGAGTGGAGGCTCACAAAGTGTATAGGGAACATCCAGTCAGGTAGCCATCACAAAGGAGGGTTAATCCAGCCTGGCTTGGCAGGAAGCACCAAGTAGGGGCTGGGCAGGCACCTGCTCCTAGGCTGAGGAGTGTGACCCACATCCTGAGGGCCTTGGGAGCCACCGATGGTTTTCCTGCAGGAGAGTGCCACAGCCAGACTCGAGTCCAAAGAAGATCCCTCCATTGCCCTGTGGAGGACCAGGCCAGGGGAGTATACGACGAGACAAGGCAGGAGGCCATATTGGAGACTGTTTGCTTACACCAGGGGCAAGGTGATGAGGCTGCAAGTATTTTTGAATTATTAAAGGTAAAAGCGGGCTTGGCGTGGTGGCTCACACCTGTCATCCCAGCACTTTGGGAGGCCGAGGTGGCAGTATCGCTTGAGCCCAGGAGTTTGAGACTAGCCTGGGGAACACAGCAAGACCCCATTTCTACAAAAAATTTAAAAACATTAGCCAGGTGTGGTGGCACATGCCTGTAGTACCAGCTACTTGGGAGGCTGAGGTGGGAGGATTGTTTGAGCCTTGCACGTCGAGGATACAGGGAGCCATGTTCCTGCCACTGTACTCCAGCCTGGGTAACAAAACAAGATCCTGTCTCCAAAATAAAAATAAAAAAAATAAAGATAACGGTGAGGGAAAAGTGGTAGCCAAGGTTGCTCCCCAGATTTCAGGGCTAGGCAATTGGATGGGTGGTGACAGGAACTAGCTGAGGGTAAGGAGTTTGGGGGCAGGCCCGCTGAGAGATGCACAGAGATGAGAAGGTCACTGGGCCATGCCGAATGAGAAGTGCCTGTAGGGGCTCCAGCCAGTGATGTCCAGTAGGCTACTGAGTAAACAAATGTGGAGTTGAGCAAAGATCTGACCTGGGGCTAGAGAGCTGGGAGTTGTCAGCTCATAGGAAGTCACTAAAGAGAATGCATGAGGTTGCCTGGAGAATGCCTTTGGAAGGCAGTGTGTACAAAGCATGTATTCTCGGCTTTTCTCTGCAGACTTCCAGGGACAGTTGTCCAGCCAGGCCCTTGGCTGGGTGGGTGAGTCCACGTGGTTCAGGGATGCTGAGGGAAGCTGCTTCATCAGCTGACATTTCTCTCCATTTTCTGCTCTTCTTTTGTCTCAAAAAGAAAAAAAGAGGGGATATTAATTATTGATCCCCTAAAACCCTAGCTGAATATATAAAATGAAAAGAAGTAAAAATATGAGAGAAGCAAAGGCAGATGGACCATAATTTTGGAAAATAATTCCAAAAGGTCTTAAGGAGGAAGAGGAGCTACAGAGAGGTATTGAGAAGGAAAATTTTGGATAAATGGAAGAATCAGGAAAGACTACCGTCATGGAAACCAAGCCACGCTGAGCTAACTTTCCAGTGCTCTGTAGATGCTGAAATAGGCCCATCAGATTTGGCTATGTAGAACTCATGACTGCCTTGAGGGGAGTAGGTTGGGGCAGTGGGAAAGGCTGTAGTTGGATTATAATGGATTGAGGAGGGAGCGGAGGATAAGCAGGTGCAGTTGATGGGGTACACACTCTGAAACTGGCTGTGACGTGATGGATGTGGGAGGGGTGAGCAGATAATTACAGCTACAAGATAATGGGGAAGGTTTCCTATAGGTGAAAGCAACGTGTGCATGTTAGGTAAAGGCTGGGCAGAGGGTGCCTACGTGACCAGTCCCCGATAAAATCCTTGGACTCTGAGTCTCTCATGAATTGCCCTGGTCGACAGCATTTCACACTTGTTGTCACAACTCACTGCTGAGGGGAACTGAGTGAATCCTGTGTGACCCACTGGGAGAGGACTCTGGAAGCTTGTGCCCGGGTTCCCTCAGAAATTTGCCTTGTGTGCTTTTCCCTTTGCTGATTTTGCTTCGTATCTTTTCACTATAATAAACCATAGCCTTGAGTGTGATGATGTGATGTGTCCTGTGAGTTCTTCTTGTGAATCACCAAGCCTAGGGATGGTCTTGGGGACCCCTGACACAGATGGGCAGGATCAGAACTTTATGCCATAACAAGGACTTTAGATTTTCTTTCGAGGGCAAAGAGGAGCCAGGAAGGTTTGAAGCAGGGGAGTGATATGGCGAGAGTATTGCTTTGCAATGGGATCTCCAGTGGCAGTGAGAAGAGTGACTGAAGTGGGCAGAGTGGAGCAGGGAGAAGAGGAAGTGCTTACAGCATCCTCCATGTAAGAAATGATGGGGCCTGGACTAGGGGACTAGCTGTGGAGATGGAGACAGAACTGTAAAATAAGTAGAAGAGATCCCAAATTGGATGACAGGTAAGACTTGGGAGAGCAGTGACGGAGAGGGAAGTGACAATTTAGAAAGCCACATTTCTGGTCGAGTGAGTGGAGTATGTGACCCCTCCTGGCTTAGGTGGTGGCCAAAGTATCTCTAACCTGCCTCTATACTGCCTGCAACTGACTGAGCAAATGCCTGGTCCGTGGAGATCCCAAGCTGACAAGGGCACCTGAGGCAAGCCTCTGGCTTTCAGGTGGAGGCCCTACCTAGGCTGGCCTGGCTGGATTGCCCTGGCACACTGCTGTTTTGCTGAGGCAGACAGCAGCACTCTGCAAGTGCTCTTCTCCTGTTCCTCTTAGTGGTCTAAATCCTGTAGCATGCTGGGGTGCGACTGTAGACAAATCCCCTTTCCGGGCCCCCTGGGGTTCTCTATTTGCAGTCTTTGGGTCTGGTCACTGGCATGGCATCTCAGTAGGCTAGGTTCATCAGGAAGGGTCAACTATGTCATGGCACCTGATGGGCAGCATTTAGAGTCTGTGGGCCAGGGGCTTAAGGGCTGCTTACTGCTAATAGTTCTAAGTAGCAAGCATTCCCTCAGCCCTAGTCTGGGCACACGCCAGGAAGAAAGCCACTAGATGTGCTCTCCTAGTGGATAACTAGCCTGGAGTTCCAAGAAGGGCAGAGACAGGCAGAGTGAGAGCCTTCAGAGATGTAGGCAACGATAGTAGCAGAACTTCGAGGGAGAGTAGATGGAAAAATTAAAAAAAATCCTTGTCATTATTTTTAAATGTCTGAATTGACCAGATTAGAATCTTTGAGAGTCTAGACACTAGGGAGATCTCATGGGTGGGCCAGTTATTATATCATATGGAGGGAGAGTACGTATGACCCAGCACGAGAGGACCAGAGGACAGTCAGTGCTAAGGGTAAAACCTTAGGCCATGGGAGATTGAGTTTTTCATCAGTTGGCAAGTTTTCACTTTAATACTCCACTGTTTCCATCATTTCAGACGACTGGGGATGATAAGGACAATGTAATTTGGGGGATAAAGGAAGAACTCATTATATTTCTTGGATGACTTTACTGGGGAAATGGATTCCTTAGTCATTTGAAAGAAGCGGTAGAATTCCACATGTGGGGAATACTTGTTCTAACAAAAGCTTAATAACATTAGTGGCAATGATCCTTTTATATAAGGGAAAGCTTCAAGCCAGTGAGAAAAACATAAATAAACTAGTAAGAACATATTTATAACCATGAGATTTGGGTGCAGAATAAAATCAAATTGGCAGTTCAGGAAAGGTCCTAAACATCTGTATATTAACAATATTCCATCAGTGAGCAATGTGAATTTCCCATAATTGAAATGATGATTGATAACCTTGTATTGTTCTTATCTAATATAAGGCAAAGCAGCACTGGGGCTTTGATAAAGAGCAATATCTCATGTACACTGAGGACACTGAAACCCCGCTAGGAATTCTATGGAATTTCTAAAATATTTATATTAAGGACATTTTACCCATTATAGACTAATTTAGGGAAGGTTCTGCATTTTTTTTTTGATTTGACAATGTTTCCAATGCAATTTATACAATATTAAATAAGACTAATTAGTTTTTGCACCTTTCTTGTTACAAGGTGAAAGAACTAATCCTTTGAGATTTTCCAGAAGGTCCCTGGCAAATCCCAAAGCCAGTTTTAGGTATAAAATATATTTAAGTTTTGATTGTGGGAAGGCAAATGTTAAGAGTTGTCAGGAGTTCTCGAACATTTGATTGAATAGCATTATGGGTTAGCGAGAAATACTACTTGGTTAGCTAGTGAATCAGAGTTGTAAAAATTTTCAAGTAAACATATGAGGTAACATGGTTGTAAAGAATCTTCAGTTCCTTTAAAATTGAAAAGACTTTAAAAAAATAACTAAGGACATAATAAACTGAACATACAGATAGGGCATTACAGTATTTTGATAAGACATAAAATCTTTGCCTCTTAGGCAGATGACTCAGAAGAAAAACAGACCATTTATAACTTTTTATTAGGGACAGACCAATGATCAAGAATTTTTTTTTTTTTTTTTTGAGATGGAGTCTTGCTCTGTTGCCCAGGCTGGAGTGCAGTCGCGCGATCACCATGTTGGCCAGGCTGGTCTCGAACTCCTGACCTCAGGTGAACTGCCCACCTCAGCCTCCCAAAGTGCTGGGATTACAGGCGTGAGCCACTGCACCTAGCCTAAGAAAATTTTGTTATTTTAACAGAGAAACCAACATTTTAATTTTATACAAGTATAATATTTGATATTAGTTCTTTTTTGAAAATCTTATAAATACACTGAATAAAAGTTTTAACCATGACAAATAAAATTCCTTTTCTGTGAACATTTTCTAATTTTAAAGATATTTGTTTACATTTTGTCTCACACATTTTTAAATTATTTGTCATTTTAATTTGGGACAAAGCTATTCTCTTTTTCCTTAGGAAAAGCATATTTGCATACAAAGTTGTTTCCCTTTGCCATTTTTGCCATTATTACTTTTAGCAGTTTATATATATATATACACACACACTTATTTACTTATTATAATTTTAACCATTAATAACTTCTCTTTCACAGAGAAAACAGGAGGTAGGTAATTTTGAAATATCATATACCAGCATTTTGTAGCAGACTAGTAAAGCTTATGAATATACATCTCATAACTTTTTATAGTTGTTATATACTTTTTATAGTACCATTTTGCAATGTGGACAAATGAACACATTTAACAGATCCATATGTAGTCACACTGTACCATAAAAAAAGCAAAAAGTATATAAACTTAAATTTAGGTCTAGTGACTAAGTATTTTATCTTCTTTATAAATGATATTTAATGAATTTAGTTAACTTAATTCAGCATAAGTCTAAGGTTTTAAGTTACCAAAAAGATTTTAGAAACTGCCTTTAAGCTTACATATTATAAAACATAATTACTGTTGAAATAAAGTTTGCCAGAATAATGACTCAGTTTGGTTAAAAGCAAATTTAAATTTTTATAATCTTAAACATGTAGTAGATATAATACTAGCTTATTCAACATGTAAACCTGTTTAAGTTTAGGAGGAACATACCCAAGTAGAGTAAAAATATATGCTTGTATTCTGTTGTATTATATGTAATGCTGATAACTCAAAGACACATAGGTGTCTATTAAACTAACAATATTAAACTAGTTTTGTTTGCCAAAAGTTTACATAAATTCTGTGAACTTGAGTTTTAAAAGCATTTGGGTTAGTTTTTATAAGAATACTTTTTTGTTGTTTACACTGAAAGTATTAGAAGTTGTTTCCTTAATTTATGAGAGCTTTATAATAATTTATATAAGTACTTATTTATCTCTAAGTCAATTAGAATAGAGGATAAGGGATTTTGTAAATTAATTTGGTAATGCCATCTGGAGGTACTGAACTATTACACATATACAACATACATGTATACTAAACATACAGACAGACACAAATAGAGATCTAATGGCGAGCCCTCAATGGGTGCAGGGGGCCTGAAGCTCTACTGGCTATAGGCAGTTGAGAGGGCTGAGTGGGAAGGGGAAAGCCTGGTGAAGAGTAGATAGGGGTATGTAGGAGGTAGAGGCATTGAAGGGGACAGATGAAAAGATTCAGGGAGCTGAAGGGAAGGTCCAAGGTGGTGAAAAGAAGGGAAGAGGGATGCGGTAGGAAGATGAGAAGGGGGAATCTTAGATGAGCAGGTTTGGGGAGACCCCAGGTTCCCTAATAAGGTCACTGAAGTTCCAAATTACCCTTCGTGATTACTTTTTTTTTTTTTTTTTGCCAGTTTTGGAAATACTGGACAGAATGAGTGCCATAGGGGCAGGGCATGTAGTCAGCAAGGGAGGAGGAGGAGGATGAGGAGGAGGAAGGGCACCCAGTAGATTGAGAGTTACCTGTGGGAAGAGGCAGATCAAATAGAGAAAGGAGCCAGGCTGGACAGTCTCATTAGGAAGTTCTGCACACAGTCGTCATCTGGGAGCCAAAGTTTCTCTTCAGTCCTCATTGAGGAGCTGAAGGGCTTTCCTTGTGCAATCTCTAGACAAGGTGTCAAGGGAAACAATGAGGCCTCACAAAAGAGCCAGGAATTTGGAGTAAATCTCCACTCAAAAGGAACCAAGAAAACTTCTATCCAGGACGATTCTGGCTAAAATTGAAAAGGACCAGGAAGAGTCCTGCTCAACAGAGTCAGGGGTTAAATCCCCACTCAAAAAGAGCTAGGAAGAGTTCTGTCTGCGAAGATTCTTGCTCAAACAGAAAAGAACTGGGAAGAGCTCATTTAACAGAATCAAAGTAACTGAATCACAGAACCATAAAAAGTGTCCAATAAAAGCAAATACCGTCTCTGGGCAGGGTGCAATGGCTCACACCTGTAATCCCAGCACTTGAGAAGCTGAGGGAGGAAGATCACTTGAGCCCAAGGGTTCGAGACCAGCCTGGGTAACATAGCGAGACTCCTATATCTATAAAAATTTTAAAAATTAGCCAGGCATGGTGGTGTGTGCCTATAGTCCCAGCTACCTGGGAGGCTGAAGTAGTGGAGGATTGCTTGAGCCCAGGAGTTGAGGCTGCAGTGAACTATTATTGCACCACTGCACTCCAGCTTGGGTGACAGAGCGAGACCCTGTCTCAAAAACAAAAAACAAATATGGATTTAGATAGAGACTTTTATTTTATTTTATTTTATTATTTTTGAGACAGAGCCTTTCTCTGTCACCCAGGCTGGAGTGTAGGTGCCATCTCAGCTCACTGCAACCACCACCTCCCGGGTTTAAGCAATTCTCCCGCCTCAGCCTTCTGAGTAGCTGGAATTACAGGCGTGCGCCACCATGCCCAGCTAATTTTTCAATTTTTAATAGAGATGGGGTTTCGCCATGCTGGCCAGGCTGGTCTTGAACTCCTGACCCCAAGTGATTCACCCGCCTTGGCCTCTCAAAGTGCTGGGATTACAGGTGTGAGCCACCGTGCCCGACCAATACTTTATTTAAAAAGACTATTGCAATAGGGACAATGCTGCAACCTCAGGACTTGCAAACATCACAAAATAATACAAAAAACATCACAAAATAATAAAAAAAAAAAAGCCTTTTTTTTTCAGTAGGGAGTAGTAAGCACAGCTAGCAGCTCAGCTACTTTCAAGGGCCAGTGGGCAAGCAAAGGGGAACCTGTTTGGCATGATTTGACCAGAAATGTGTTTCCCTGTGGTCAGCCGGTTCTCAGGAGAAGCTGCTAAGTGGGGCATGTTCTGCATTGCAGCACTTACTTAACCAGGAGCAAGCAAAATTCAGGCCCTGTGGGGAGGACAGAAGCCTGCCTAACATTCTGTCAAGGCAAAGGAGAGGGTAAAAAGCAGACAGCTGTGAACACTTGATCATCCTTCAGGCAATAATCCATTCTGGGTTTCTGGCTTAAGACTCTTGAGAAACAAGGGGAAACAACTGGTAGGAGCAGCAGGCTCACCTATATGTAGTTCCGTGAGGTAGCCTTATGGACTTCTGCCACCTTCCAAAACTCAGCATGTCCCAAACCATCTTTATCAACACAGCTTCTCACCAAAAACAACCAAATAAAACAAATTAACTAATGTACTAATTCTGTATCTCCCCCTGTGTTGTTCATCTCAAAAAACTGTTATCACCTCATTGACTCAGACTCTCAACCAGCGAGGTAGAAGAAATGTTTGGGGGCATGTTAAATGTAACACCTATGAGACATGTAAGAGGTGAGGTGCAGGACGCAGGTACATGGTGATAAAAGAAAAACCTCAGCCGGATTAAATTTAAAGGAGTTTCATTGAGCAATGAACTATTTGTGAATCGGGCAGCCCCCAGAATCACAGCAGATTCACAGAGACTCCAGTGCAGCTACATGGTGGAAGATTTATAGATTAAAAAAAAGGTGGAGGGGGGGAAATGACGTACAGAAATTGGAAGTGAGGTACAGAACGGCTGGATTGGTTACAGGTTGGGGGTATGCCTTATTTGAACACAGTTTGAACACTCACCAGTGTATGAATGGTTGAAGTATGGCCGCTGGGATTGGCCAAGAGTTAGCTATTGTTACAGGTACACACTCCTAAGTTAGGTTTTCAATTTTGTCTGCCTCTAGGTTACAGTTTATTGACAAAGACTCAAATATAGAACTATGGAGTCCTTCTCAGGCCGTATTTAATTTGCTTTAACAATTCCCCCTTTTTGGTCATTTTCTCAACTTTGAGAGATTGACAAAAACCTTAGTTATTGATATCACTATTACCCTTGTAAATGTACTTATATGGTCTTGAAACCCACTGGGAAACAGGAGGACAGTGGGTTTTGTAAGGAGAGAATAAGGACTGAGTAGAAGGTACCTCTTTATGCTAGAATGTTCTGTTTACAGGACAAAAACAAAACCTGGTCTGTTTTAATAACTATTTGTTTCCTTAAAGTCTTAGTTTGATTATGTTACATTTAGCATGAGCAACTCCATTTTGTTTGGTTTGGTCTGTTGGGTCCTAGTGCATGAGCTCAGTACACAACAATGGCTTGCCAGAATTTTGTTTAAAAAATTCCCCTTGGCTGGGCGTGGTGGCTCATGCCTGTAATCCCAGCACTTAGGGAGGCTGAGGCGGGCAGATCACGAGCTCAGGAGATCGAGACCATCATGGCCAACATGGTGAAACCCTGTCTCTACTAAAAATACAAAAATTAGCCGGGCGCGGTGGCATGCGCCTGTAATCCCAGCTACTCGGGAGGCTGAGGCAAGAGAATCACTTGAACCTGGCAGTCAGAGGTTGCAGTGAGCCAAGATCACGCCACTGCACTCCAGCCTGGTGACAGAGCGAGACTCCACCTAAAAAAAAAAAAAAAAAATATTTCCCCTTATTGGCCAGGTTCTCACTTAGGTGAGAGTGTGACCAAAACTTAGGGCCTTAGCACCACTTTTAGTTACCTAGTTACCATCATTTTAGGTTTCCAGTCTCAGCATGTCATTCATAGGTTATGATGTCCTCATAATCATACATTTCAATCAGTTTTGTTATTCCAGTTGAAGAGAGACCATTTGACATTTCAGAGATGGCTGCATGCAAACATTTGAAACCTTTGAGAGAATACAGTGCACTGGGGAGACTACTATGACTACCAGTAGGATAATACCCAGAGTTTGAAGTATGCTGTTTACCTGAGGTCCCCATAAAACAAACTGCCTAAATTAAATAAAATAAAGAATGAGCTAGACGAAGAGTCTACTCACTTCACTAAGTGATCTTTTCATTAATCCTGTATGACTGAATTTTTATAATCTGCACTTGATATACATATTAGAATTTTAGAAACCCCATATAATTTTGGAATATATATTAATATAATTCACTAAAAATATACCCTGAAGATTAAACATTATTTTTATTGGCCAAGCGCGGTGGCTTACACCTGTAATCCCAGCACTCTCGGAGGCCGAGGCAGGCGGATAACCTGAGGTCAGGAGTTCAAGAGCAGCCTGGCCAACATGGTGAAACCCTGTCTCCACTAAAAATAGAAAAATTAGCCAGGCATGGTGGCATGCACCTGTAATCCCAGCTACTCGGGAGGCTAAGACTGGAGAATCGCCTGAACCCAGGAGGTGGAGGTTGCAGTGAGCAGAGATCATGCCATTGCACTCCAGCCTGGGCAACGAGGGCAAAACTCAGTCTCAAAACAAAACAAAACAGTATTTTTATTTTGACAATGCCTCCCATGATTTTTATACCAAATAAGCCAAATGTCACTGTTGCATTAGTGCATTATCGATGTCAAACCCAATTCTTAAATAAAACCTTATAGACAAATGTATTCAATCTTAATCAGTTTGAACATAAGGTAAGAATTTTATAAACCTTTTATAACCCTTTACAATTTTTGTTGAAGAGCAGATTAGTGCTCTAAGAAAACCTGTTGTGCTTTTATGTCCATGTTCAATTTATGGAAAAACCTAATAATACCCTTTTAAATTTAGTATTATCATACATAAAATTTTTTACAAGGTTAATTTTTTTTTTTTTTTTGAGACGGAGTCTTGTTCTGTCGCCTAGGCTGACAGTGGCATGATCTCGGCTCACTGCAACCTCTGTCTCCCCAGTTCAAGCAGTTCTCCTGCCTCAGCCTCTGGAGCAGCTGGGACTACAGGCGTGTGCCACCATGTCTGGCTATTTTTTTTTTTTTGTATGTTAGTAGAGAGGGGGTTTCATCATGTTGGCCAGGCTGGTCTCGAACTCCCAGGTGCTCAAAGGAAAATTTAAGACAGTCCATGGAGGAGAAAGGTATAGACAAGGTCATGCAGATATTAAACCAGAAAGGACTTATTTCCTAAGCCAGGAATCGAACCCAGACTGCCACTGTGAAAGGGCAAAACCTTAACTACTGAGCCCAGAAGGAGTCTAGAGTAGTTAATTTTGAGCTTGCAAAGGCTTTTAACTAGTCAAGATAATTTTTAGAACTAACTATGATATGAACCCTAAAATTCCTGTTCCCTGGAAGGTAGAGACAAGGAGAAAGTACTGCCACATGGTTACAAGGTCAAGCTCCCAAGGACATAAAACAGGATGGCGACCTTGTCCAGTTTTTTGTTGGTTTCAGGGACCTGCAGCAAAGTTTGTCACTGACCAGCTTGCTGGGCCATCTTGAGCAGCAAGCTTATGGGGGCCCAAGCCCATGTTTTATCCTAAGGTACCCCTCGACACAGAAAAACGACTTTATAGCACAAAATATACCAGATTGACTACAGCTTAAGACTAGACAGCCTCAGAATTCCTTTTTGCATTAATTAAAATTTTACAGAGGAGATAAACAGTGATTTTACAATCAGTTTGCACAGAGAGAGAGAAGCCTGAAATCTGACTGGGAAGAGATATTTACCCTTTTGCTGGCATGCCAGGCTTCTGGGCTCCCTTTCCCTGAGTGGCCCTGGTGATCTGGCTCTCTGCACCATTGCCCCGGGAGCCAAGCCACAACACAAAAGAATTTTTTTTTAAAATGCACTTCAGTGTGTTGTTGTTCATTTGGAATGTTCCACTGTAAGTTATCTTTCGTAAGATGTCACCATTTCTGTAAGAATTTGCTGCCTCCCGGGCGTAATGTGTAACCCAGAAGGAACTCAGTTTTCCAGAAGCAATTAATAGGTTCCATGGAATGTTGATGGTAAGAAAGGAAGGAAAAGGTGACAAGAGTGAGCGTAGACAGCTCTTTCTAAGGAGTTTGGCTGCTGGAAGGGGAAGAGAAGCAGCTGGGGTTAGGTGGGAGGAACTAAGTTTAGAGACGCTAAAAGTGTATGTAGCAGGAGTCACCTGATCAGGTTGAACTGCAGCAGGAACAAGGAAGTTCCATTTTGACTACTATTAGTTGCAAATTGGACCCTTATGTCAACTTTTTCATCTGTAAAAAAAAAGGGATGGCCAGGCACGGTGGCTCACGCCTGTAATCCCAGCAGTTTGAGAGGCCGAGGCGGGCGGATTGCCTGAGTTCAGGAGTTCACAACCAGCCTGGCCAACAAGGTGAAGCCCCGTCTCTACTAAAATACAAAGAATTAGCCACGCGTGGCAGCGGGCGCCTGTAGTCCCAGAATCTCTGGAACCCGGGAGGCGGAGGTTGCAGTGAGTCGAGATCACACCACTGCACTCCAGCCTGGGCGACAGACCGAAACTCCGTCTCAAAAAAAAAAAAAGGGGGGCAGGGGATGAAAATGCTATTGCTTTCCAGGAATAGCTATGACTACTTCCAATAAAGAAGACAAGAAGGTTCCACATGTGAAAACTACGCGGTCACAACGATAAGTGGGCGGGTGCACGCACGCGCGCTGAGATCGTGCGTGCACAGGCCGGGGTGCGGCCGGCGTGAGTACGCCTGCGCGTGCCGCCATTTCCTGCAGCCGCAGACTCTGCCTGCGGTGCTCGCCGGGAAATGAGACGATCAACAAAGAAAATGGTTGTTTTGGGCGAGATCGACCGTGGAGAGGCTTTTTCTGCAGCAGTCCCGGTTCCTGCCGCCAGATGGCGCTCGAGGATCACAAATGGGTCTAGGGTTCTCATAATGGCCCCGCCTAAGAAATTTTGGATTCTCCTGGCCCTTCCCCCCTTTGTGGGGTCAACAGCGGATTTGGGAATCTGGTGACCAACACGTGCGCACTCCCCTACCCTTGCCCCTACCGAGCCCTCCAGGGTAGCTTGGGGGAGAAGCTCCTCCCTAGACTGCCGGGTATTTGATGAGCCTGGCCAGCGCACAGGTCTTGAGCACCATGGTCAGGGAAGAAGGCTGAATGGCTTAGGTCTTCCTAGAGAGGCCGGAGGCGGGAAAGAACTGGAGAAAGGAGAGATGGCAGTGGGAGGATGGGGACAAGAATACCAGTGTGTTTCCAGCCAGAAGACGATGTCTTTTAACACCTCATTGAAGTCGTCAGGTGACTTTGCCCTTGTCAGAAAGGAGCAGCACTGCGGGGGTCCTACTGAGGAGGAGACTGACTGCTCCTTGGGGTGGGGATTGTGCCTCCTTCCTGTCTGCCCCACTCTTGGGGAGATGAGTCCCTCCAAGTCCACGAGACATGACAGCCAGCCTACCTGCCATGGGAGAACAAAGTCTAGTCTCAGGGCACTCACTTCATAAGGGTCTTATTCTTCCTCAGCGTGTTGACTGATTTTGAGGGGAAGGATGTGGCCACCAAGGTCGGAGAGGCCTGGCAGGACAGGCCTGGAGCCCCAAGAGGTGGCCAAGGAGACCCAGCTGTACCCACTCAGCAACCTGCAGATCCCAGTACCCCAGAACAGCAGAACAGCCCCAGCGGATCTGAGCAATTCGTCAGACGAGAGAGCTGCACCAGCAGGTACGAGCCAAACTGCACTGGGACCTTACCTGCTAGAGCCAGTGTTTTTGTCCAGGGCAGCAACCCAGGACAAACCCCCACACACTAGGCATGCCTGTTTATCCTCTGCAGGTGAGTGTGGTTAGGAGCCAGAGGGAAGGAGAGAAACCAGCATCTCAGGGGTAGATATTCATGGGTTTCAGCTTGGAGCCATAGCATCAAATCTGTTAGACTAAGTCTGGCACAGAAAGGATGCACAGAGAACCAGGTTGTCTGGCAGCCAGTTCGAACCTGGAAACCTGGGTCAGGGGAGGGATATAGGTTGCTTTTTCTGTTAATGGAGATGGAAACTCTCTGAGCAAGGTGTGCCATGGTGTGGATGTGATTCACTGCCAGAAATAACAACTGTACCAGTTGGATGAGCTCTTCCACTGCCATCAGCACTGGGATGGCCATGGATTTGGACAGTAATGTAGCTCCACAGTGCTGACTCAGGGTTGCTCATTGATTGCAAGAAGTTGGCAGCAGTAGCCTGAGGAAACAGGGGCTCTGAATTTTCTGAGAGAGACCAAGAACCAA